>NC_000012.12:129810372-130111995 GCF_000001405.40 Homo sapiens | reverse complement strand
ACTGGCTGGAGGTACAGTGGGCCGGCACAGAAACAGATGAGTGACTCTTCCACAACGCATCCGGCTGTGCTGGATGCCGGGGAGAAGACGTGAGGCTGTGTGTCTGAGCTCACCCAGCATTCACACCTGCTTGCACCTGGGAGGTCTTCGATCAACCTCTGTCAATGGAATGAATGACGCCATTCCTGGCCTCTTCAAACTTAGAAATGGAACCAACTGATATGCCAGATAGCCGGCTTTCAAAACATTTACTCTCTAGAGATACTTAGATGTCTTTAGCTTCTTGCGAATTCACCTTCCTCACATGTAAAATGGAGAAGACACCAGGACCTACCTCAGGGCATCACAAAAGTCAATGGGACAGATAGAAAGCTCTGTGCTTGGTCCAGCACCCGGAACATTGCAAGTGTGCAATGGATATTACCTGTGATTATTCTTTCCGAAGGTAGGCACATCACTAAAAGTTCATTTTCACCAAAAGTCCTAAACTTGATTTTGTGCAGCCAACAGAGAAATTGTCCCTTTATTAAGTTAATTTCAACTTAATGGGTTGGCCCTAGATCCTAAAGAAGGGAACAACTTGCTCACAGCCTCCCTGTCCTTGATAGGATTAGATAAGAAGCTACGTGCAAAGTGCAGCATAGAGCTGGACATGTAGTAAGTGCTCCATAAATCTTTATGACAATTACCAATACTCTTCAAGAGAATTACATCATGTATTGATTATAGGTGAGAAGTATTCCTGCCCATTTTTCTCCTGAAATGCTCTTTAAGCTCAGTGCTGCTAAGGTCTACGAGTCATATCTGATCTCCAAACGTTTACAACTGCTAAGAAAAATAAAACTTGTGGAGCATGAAACAGAGGGAAAACACACGTGGGGAATGGCCCATTAATCTCTGTCAGTCGGGAGATGCCAACGACAGACCTTAGGCGAAGGGGAAGGGATCATAGGGCTGTTTTCTCTTAAGCACATGTTTTATGTTAGAGATCTGGTAACTAATAAAAGTGCTCCTTAGAGGGGGAAAAAAAGGATGAGTGTAGTATAGTTGGTAAGTTGCCTGTATAATGTGGCGCTCGTGAAATACAAGTTAATTTTTGCAAAAATCAAATCTGCTACTTAATTTCATGCAGTAATAGAGAGGCAAACCTACATTGTATTTCCTTTAATTTCATTGTGCATTTACACAGGGACAGTTAATATGGAGGACATCTCAAGGAGAAATCGATCCACTCAATGATTTTATGAATTATATCACAAACATTATAGTTTCTTCTAAATTTCTGCTCCAAAGTTGTTTTTTTCTTTCTCCTTTTAAAACTGCCCCTGACAATGGGGTGGTGGGGAGGTACCTCAGAGGTCACGGTTCTAGAGCACAGTCAAAGAAAGGTGCTTGCTGATGCGTGAGGTGGGGAGGAGACTGAGGTCTGCAAAGGACGGGGAAATGATATTAAAAATAAGATGCAGTAATGGTTGGATAGAGGGATGGATAATGAGGAGACATGTGATAGATTGAACTGGGAAAGTGTTAATGGTGAAAAGGGTACATGCTACCCATGGGTGCAGTGGGTATTTGTGCTGTAAATCTTCCAACTTGAATGCATGTTTTAAAGTTGCTGTCGTAAAATGCTGTAAAGATAGGGTCTTGAAGAGTATGTTCTGCTGCTCTGTTCTGCTGCTGGTTACGAACTCTTGCTGTTCAGAAGGGGGGACAAAGCAGGAAGAGTTGTCAGCACTGAGTAGTGGGGATGTGTGGTGTTTGTTTCTGTTATGGAGGGAGATTGAGGAAGGTCTGCATATTCAATATTTACAAGTGGAGGATATGGACGTCAGCTACCTCATCTAAAATGTATCTAAAAATCAGCAGGATGAATGGAGAGAGGGCTCCCACTTGTAGTGCTAGAGGAAAAGCTGAGTGTTCTTGCGGATGCTTGAACTTCGCTGAATTTTCATTAAATTGTAGAAAGCGCAGAAAAGGGCCCACCCACCCCCACAGCGACTGAGGGGTCAGGAGGCCAGGAGCACAGGCCGGGCTTCCCATCTTGGCTCTACTGCTTGTCGGCGGTGGGGTCCTGGGCAAATGTTACTCTTGGAATGTAAGCAGATTCACTTTCCTCAAAACTGATAAAAAACAGCAGAGCCCACAGAAAGAGAGTGGGGACCCAACGTGGAAACCCAGGAGGTGCGGAGTGGCTGGACCTGGGCCTGGCTTCTTGCTTCACTTTTCTTTGCGTGTCTTTGCCACACACTCCGCTCACGGTTCAGACCTGACCCTCATCGCTTCTCAGTCCGCGGGGTGGCAATGCCACCAGCGTCTCTCCTATGTTCAAGTCTTCTTTTCAAGTCAAATCAAGCCTACAACCTCGTAGCTCCACCTCCCGATTCCCAGGGAAGAAACTCTGGTCCCACTCAGGTGAAACACCCTTTCCTGGTGTCATTGGCTGGTGTGTGGATGCTGGTCCACACTGTTTGAACACAGTTACTGGCAGTCCCTGGCTGCAACTGTATGGTTGAAGAGAGCCTGTTTCAAGAAAAGGGAGGCTGAGTAGATGTCTCTTGGTGGTGTTCACTGCATTTATGTTCTCTGTAGAATTTGTCAAATGGAGATAATATGCATCTCATAAGTTTTAAAGAGTGTATTTAGCATGAAGGCTGGCAAGTGGTGAATGCCCAAAAATGGTTGTAATTATTCACCAGTGCGAACTAATAGAACCTTTTGACACAAATTGCATAATAGGACACTTGGATACAATTGTACTGCGCAGAGAGTATTCCAGTTATCTATTAATGAAAAACAAACTACTCTGAAACTTAGTGGCCTAAAGAAACAACAATCATTTATTTTGCTTATGAATCTGCAGTTTGGGTGGAACTTGGTAGTGGGCGCTCATCTTAGCTCCATGCAGTGTTGGCTGGGCTACTTCATCTGGCTGGAGGATCTGCTACCTGGATGGCTCACTCATGTGGGCAGCAGGTTGGTATCGGCTCTCAGTTGGGAGCTCAGCTGGGGTTGCTGGCTGGAGGTCTCTGCTCCTTCCACATAGTCTTCTCCACAGAGCTTCTTGGGCTTCCTCACAGCATGGTGGGCTCAGGATAGACTGACTTGTTTCACGGTAGCTGGCTTCTCCCAGAGTGAGTGTTCCAGGAGGCCCGAGTGAAAGCTGCAAGGCTTCTTATCCCATAGTCCCAGAAGGCTCAGAGCATTCCTTCTACTTTATTCTATGGATCAAGCAAATCATCACCAAGGCCAGCTCATGTTCAAGAGAAAGGGAATTTAATTCCACCTCTCAATGGGAGAGGGAGCAAAGAATGTGTAGTCATTTTTTATCTACCACAGTTGGTCCAAGCAGTAGTTTGAGTATCAGGCTATGGTACTGCTGTATTCTTGGCATTTATTGAAGTGAATATATTCAACATTTTCCCATCTTCCATGCATAAATGTAAAAAATTCAGTCCTTGCCCTCAAAAGCTTAGGTAGTTTGGGAGACAAAGCATAGCCACTTGCCCACGCTGTAAATGCATGTTAATCTATATCAGAAGTGCAGAGCCCGAGGGCAGAGATTCTCAACGAGGGAGTGTGTCAGGAGAACAAGAACAGGTGTGTTAAAAAAACGGATGCCTGGGCTGGATGCTTGAAGAGCCTGCTTCAGTAGGTCTGGAGAGGAGTCCGGGCAATGGACATAAACAAATAACTTTATTTATCTTTATGTAAAGGGAATATATGCATATAGTACCAAATTTATCAGTACCAAAGAATATATTGTAAAACATAAGTCTTTCTCCTACTCACTCTTGACCTCCAGCCACTACGTTCCCCTACTCAGAAGCAACTGGACATTGGTTCAATTGCTTGGGTATCTCTACAGAGCTATTTTAGGCCTATACATGCATGTGTTAAACACTTTTCCTGTTTAGAAAAAAAAGTGCAGCTCACTGCCAGCACTCACTGAATTTTACATAAACACACTCTTTGAGGCTGAAGCAAGTCTGTCTGATTTTCCATGGGGAAATAAAATATAAAACCTGTCCAGGGAGTTTTTATTTATTTATTTATTTTTCAGCTAGCATCTCATTTTGCCCAGGCTGGAGTGCAGTGGCTTGAACTTGGCTCACTGCAACCTCTGCCTCCCAGGTTCAAGTGATTCTCGTGCCTCAGCCTCCCGAGTAGCTAGGACTACAGGTGCTGGCAACCAAGCCTGGCTAATTTTTTTATTTTTAGTAGAGATGGGTTTTCACCATGTTGGCCAGGCTGGTCTCAACCTCCTGACCTCAAGTGATCCACCCACCTTGGCCTCCCACAGTGCTGGGATTCCAGGCGTGAGCCCCCGCGCCTGGCCTCAGGGAGTTATTTCTAAACAGAATGAACATCAGAATCATCTGAATCATCAGAATTGTCTACTTCAGAAAAATCAGATTCATCGAGTGAATCCTCAGCCAATAACTGTTCAAGAACAATGTTAACATCACACATGGAAATGCTACGTGTTCTAGGATACGACATTTCCAGTGATCGAGAATTACTATATTTTGCAAATGGAATTGTCACTGCTAAAAACAGAATGCTGTAAATAGAACGATGTCTTTTGTTTCCAACGTCGATATACTAGAGCGATGTGAAAATGATAATAAAAGTGAGATATTTCGTGACAAAGTTATCTTGGGGTGAATGCTGCACCAACCCACAAGTGCTGCTGGCGGGTATTCTCAGTGCAAATGGGAAAAGGGTTAAATGGCAGATGTAAGTATAGGCAAGTGCTGCTGGCGGGTATTCTCAGTGCAAATGGGAAAAGGGTTAAATGGTGGATATGAGTATAGGCAAGTAGGTGTCTATTATATATATATAATCTATGTGTGTAAATATATTCCGTCTCCTTTATGAAGATAAACACATAAGTGTATCTCTATTAGGTTTCTCCAGAGAAACAGAACCAATACACACACATATATTTATATACACATACATATAATATTTACTTATTTATTATAGGAAGTAGTTTATGAGACTATGGAGGCCAAGAAGCCTTATGATCTACTGCCTACAAGTTGGAGAACCAGAAAAGCTTGTAGAGTCATTTGGTGCAAGTCCGAAGGCCTGAGAAGCAGGGGCAGGTAGTGTAAGTCTTGATCCGGGTCCAAAGGCCGGCGGCCCAGGAGCTCTGATGCCTGCAGGCCGGAGAGGATGGATGTTCCAGATCACACAGGGCGAGTAACTTCGCCCCTTCTCCGCCTCTGTGCTCCATTTGGACTTCCCACACACTGGATGATGCCACCCACGCTAGCAAGAGCAGACCTTCTTTGCTCAATCTAACAACTCAAATGACAATCTTTTCCAGAAACAATCTCACAGACACACCTAGAAAGAATGTTAACCAGCTATCTGGGAATCCCTTAGTCCAGTTAAGTTGACACATGAAACGAACCATCATAGTATCTATATATTGATACCTACACACAAGGACATACACATGTATTCTGTCTTCCTTCCTCCCGTGGTAACATTGTTTCCGTAGTTCTGCACCTTGCTCCTTTCTTTTTTAAAATTTCCCTTTTCCTTTTTAATGCCTGCATTATATTACATCGTACGGAGGGACTGCCATCCATGTTTTTATGTGGCTAGCCATTTTAGATGGCTTCCAGGTATTTTGGTGTAATAAAAAATCCACGTGGGCAAGTCTGTCTAAGACAGTTTCCTATTTCAGGGTCAAATGGTATATGCATTTGAAATGTTGGATAGTTTTGACCCCATTGCATTCCCCGTTAAGTTGTATCAACCCGCACGTCCATCAGTGATGTATGAGAGCAGTCAAGATTTTTAGCCAGCTGCCCGGCAGATTCCAATGGACAGAAAACTTTGAGAACCATAACACTGCGGTCAAGGTGCTGCTGTCAGCTTCGGGAAAGCACAGCAGAAGGAAAGTTAGAGGAGGAAGCTTTGCAGCTAGAGGTTAAAGGAGGGTGCCTGGAATAGCACAGCCTGTCAGGGAGTGCCGGCGACTTGACTCCCCACTCTGCGACATCACAGATGATCCAATAAAAACACTTCTGTGTGCTTCCCGAGGAGCGCGGCGCTCATGCCCAGGACCCGTCAGAAGACGCTGTCCTGGAAGGTGAACATTCAAGACTGGGGTCCCCTGCGAGCGCTGACTTTTCACACCTGGCTTGTTCCAGCCAGTGACCCACCTCCTAGCGACTTTGACCCCTGCCAGGGCGAGGAGGAGCTTTTCCAAGGTCATAGTTAAGCATCCCCGGTGAGAACAGCACAACTCTTGGGCTACTCAAAAATAGCATTCTTATTTACTCATGAAATGCCGCTGTGGTATCTGGAAGCTGCTTCAGACTTCCCCGTGGGGTTCATGGAAGGAGTAGGCATAGAGACCACAGAGGCCGGCCTCAGTTTGAGGATCGCTGCAGCAGTGTAATAAATCCACCAGGAGCCATCGTATTTTCTCTCCGTTGGTATACATTTCAAATTTCCCCTAATAAAGGGCTTTGATAAATGTTCCTGATTAAGATACAGAGATGATTAAATGTACCTCGATTCCTTCATGTATTTTATAAAAGCATTTCCGCAGCAGCTGAAAATTTAAAGCACCCATGTTAAACAGAGTTGAAAGCAACTTTTACATGCAACAGGTCCCGCCCTCCCTCATTTGTAGAATACTCCCCCTGTTTCATCTCCTAAAGACAAAATCCATCAAAAACCCTCCTGACAGCCTCCAGATGCCTTGAATTGGCTGTAAAATATTTCAAGGTCTCAGAGTAATTTAATGCCCTATGAAAGTAAAATAAATTGTGTACAAATAATTCAATAAGCTCAGGGAAGTGGGGAAAAAAACATTAAGCATGTCACAGATGGCACCTCCAGGCAGTTTATCAAAGCAAGTTTCATAATTTAACAAAATCATCTTGGCATCACACACAAAGGCCTTCCTGTTTGATCCCTTAATAACACTGCTTAGCACTTTCTGGGGAACTGGCTTCCAGTGCCGGAGCTGTTTCCAAGCATTAGCTAATCAATCATCAAAAGATATTTTTCACGCAGGCAGGCAGAACTCGGAATCCTCACTCGACCACCACGGAAGTGGCCAAGGAAGCTAAGAGGCTTTCCCAAGGTCACCAGTGGGGCAAAGGTCCCGGCTGGGGTCCCAGCTAATGAGTTTCTGGTTTCTTCTGTGCCCCTGACAACGCCTCCTCCTGCCTGGCTCAACCACGTGGCCAGCACCCAGGCGTCCTGAGAGTGCTGGTCGGAGCTCCGGCTTTGAGCTTAGGGCTGAAATGGCCCTTCATCCGGGATAGCAACGTGCTTCTCACAACAGGGTTTCCGAGTCATTTTCCTCTCCCCTGCCCTGGATCTCAAAGGGGACTGGGTTTATTTTCTTTCCCGGAGAACGGAAAGCTTTGCTTTTGGCTAAGGGCCAGGGAATCCGACCCCTGAGTTTTGTCCAGCGACTTACATTTGTTTCTAGTTGTTTGTTTGTTTGGGGAACTATATGTTTAAATTATGGAATAATACGTGCATAGGTTGAAAGGGAAACCTCGCAGAAGGGTTTAAATGTAAAAGAAGAATGACAAATAAAATGAGTGGATGTTCCCGGGGGAGGAGGAGCTTAACTAACCCTTCCTACGCCCCCTCCCCCAGCACTTAGGGACTCACTTCTGCACAGCTCAGGGAAAGGGAAAAGTGGAGACACCTGGCAGATGCCACCTGGTCGCCAAGGTTTACACCTCGTGACTGCCCCATATGATGTGAAGACAAGGGCACGTTGCTTCCGGCGTTCTTCCCTCAAACCCAGTCTAATTGTGACGAAAAGCACCTGACAAACCCCACCTGAAGGATGTTCTATAACATGCCTGACAAACTTGAAAAACAAAGACTGAGAAGTGGCCACAGTCAGGAGGACCCGAAGGAGCCAGGATGACCCTCTGCAGCATGAGCTCCCGACGGGACCCTGGAACAGGAACAGGAGCCTAAGGGGGAACTGGGGACGTTGGAATGAGGTCTGAGGTTCAGACAGTAGTGAGTGCCAAGGCTGGTGTCTCAGCTTTGACAAATGGACATGGGAAGATGAGAGGATAACATTTGGGGAAATAAAACTGGCTAAAGGGTACACGGGAGTTCTCGGTATTAACTTTTTAACAAATTTAAACTAATAAACTTTATTTTTAAGAGTGGTTTTATAGGTTTACAGCCTCGGTACTATCTTTACAATTTTTCTGTAAATCTAAAACTATTGCAAATACATTTGTTTTAAATTTAAAGGTGAAAATTTTCCCCCACCCCTTCCCCTGCCCTATTTGACAGAGATAACTACTGGAACGATTTCTAGAATATTCTTCCAGAATTCTGTGATGCATATACACATCCTTTTTTCTTTTTAAAACCAAGATTAAGGCCGGGCATGGTGGCTCACACCTATAATCCCAGCACTTTGGGAGGCCGAGGTGGGCAGATCACGAGGTCAGGAGTTCGAAACCAGCCTGACCAACGTGGTGAAACCCCGTCTCTACTAAAAATACAAAAATTAGCCAGGCGTGGTGGCGCACACCTGTGATCCCAGCAACTTGGGAGGCTGAGGCAGGAGAATCACTTGGGAGGCTTAGGTTGCAGTGAGCCGAGATCGCATCACTGCACTCCAGCCTGGGTGACAGCGCAAGACTCCATCTCAAAAAACAAACAAACAAACAAACAAACAAGATTGAATCCTCCACTGTATGTTTTTGGTTTCTTGCCTTCTTCATTGAATCTATATCTGGGAGGTACTTTTGTGGAGAATATAGTTGTACTTCATTCTTTCTAAGTGATTTGAGGTCATCTATGGTTACTATGTTCCCATAATTTATTTAAACAGATCCTGATGGGTAGATCAGGCTGGCTTTGTTTACTTGTTGTTATAACAAAACAACGAATCAGGTGTATCACAGAAGTCAATAAACACAAGAAATTTCTTCACTCAAAATCAGCTTCACTCAACATTTTAAAAGTCTAGATAAAGAGGATACCAGGTGTGGTGGCTCATGCCTGTAATCCCAGCACTTTGGGAGGCCAAGGCAGGCAAATCACCTGAGGTCAGGAGTTCGAGACCAGCCTGGCCAACATAGTGAAACCCCATCTCTACTAAAAATACAAAAAAAATCAGCCAGGCGTGGTGGTGGGCGCCTGTGATCCCAACTGCTTGGGAGGCTGAGGCAGGAGAATCGCTTGAACCCAGGAGGCAGAGGTTGCAGTGAGCCGAGGTCGCGTCACTGCACTCCAGCCTGGGCGACAGAGGGAGACTCCGCCTCAAAGAGCAAAAATAAAAAGATGATACTGACAAACCATTTTTGATCTCTCGGATTGGTAAAGATTGAGAAGTTTGATTGTCACCAGTCTGGTGAAGACGTGGAGAAACAAACTCTCATTCCCACTGTTTGAAGGAGGGTCAATGGGTGAAAATGCTTTGGGAGTGATTTTGACAACATGCATACCTATTTAGAAGGTGCTTGGCCGGTGACCTTCTCTTTTTGAGAGTGGTGTTGGGTACGTAGGTGTGTTTACTTTGAGATTAATCTTTGGATGACACATTCATGACTTATAACTTCTCTGTATGTTATACTTTAACCAAAAGTTAAGAATAAAGGTGTCTAGATTTGAGCAGGCCCCCTGGCCTTCCTTTTTGAGAAATACATGGAAATAAAAGACTGGTGGTCTCCAGACATGGTCCTCTCCCTGGCTGAATTATATTCCTGGTACCCATATAAATTCTATTATGTATATATATAAATATTCTTCCAAAAATCTGTGACTCAATCTAATAATTTCTTAATACGATGTGATACTTATTAGGTTAAAAAAAATACCAAATCATACCTTTACCTAAATTTCCACAAGTAGGCTCACCATTATTAAATGGCATAACAATTGAGATTCTTTTTCTTCCTTCTCATTTGCAAAGACTTAAAAAAATTCCTAGAACTTAGAGAATTACAGATTAGGTTGGGAAAAAGAGAAACGTGATGTAAGTTAATGGAGTTATTGTACCCACCTGTTAACCGAACTTTTCTACGAGAAAACACAAGGTAAAATCAAAGGTGCCACAAGTTCTAAAACCAAACTAAAGATCTGGAAGAAGCCGGCACAGACCTCTGCAAGGGGCTTTCAGTGCGTGACCTGCTGCTAAGATGAGCAATTTGCCGCTTTAAGAACAAGAAGCAAATGACCCGTTTTCCCTCTAGGTACAACCTGGAGGTCATGCCTGGGAATTGCGGGAAAACATTTAGAGAGGCTCTCTGCTCCCCTAGGGGGTATCAGCAGGGCTGGATTGAAAATTGATACCCACGTGTATTTTTGTAAAACGCCTAGGCATTCCCTAGGACTGAATTGGTGGTCCTCAGTCCCAAAGTCCTAGCACTCAAGTGGAGAAAAAGACATTGACCTCCTCCCTGGAGGCGTTTCTCCCCTCCTCCCACCGCAGAAGCAAGCCCAACCTTTATTTGGCTGCTCTTTGATAAAGCAAAGTCTCCTCTGATTTCCCCATATTTTTCCAGCTTCTGCGTGTCACGCAAGCCTTTTACATTATTAATAAAAGTTTCAAATTCAGTTACTTTGCTCTTGAATATGAAAGCTTCTCTTTGGGGGACTTTGAAACACACTAGATGCAAACTTTCCATGAAGACACTTAGAGATAAAGCGTGATGATCATCCTCCTTTGAACGTCTGGAGATTTTAGAAAGCAAGACCGCCCATGGAATCCGGAACTGTATTTGCACTAAAAGAAAAGGCAGAGAGGACTCACGGAGCTCTCCATTTTCATGTGGCATAATTAAAAGTTTACTTTCTTCAGGCTGTTGCCATGGGAGCAGCATTTGGTTGCATGTCTAAAGATCATAAAGGCCGGTGGGGATAGATGGAGGCAGTTGAAAATGATTTGGGAAGGTGTTTTTAAGAATGTGTGGTTTGAGAGGGGCAGACTGGAGGTAGGGAGGAAGAGAACAGATGAATGCATCCAAATGGTTCCTTTGACTTGAATTATTTTTGCCTAGAGGCAAATTTTTAAAAGATCTTCATGTTCCGAGTAGAATTCTAGCCAGAGGTTGATGGCTCTGATTGCTCCTAAATGGAATTATTCTCATAGTCAACATTTCCTTAGAAAATGGACTTTGCTTCTTTGTCTATTGCAACAGCAGTGCCCAGACACAAATAGTTTTGAGGAAAGAGCTAGTTTATTATTCAGGCTGGCAAGATAGATTCCTGGGGAGCAAGGCTCAGTGAATAATCCAAAAGCAACATAGTCTAGGCTTAGCCTAGTTCCTGCCTTTTCTAGGAAATCTTTCTGAAGTGCTTCGGTTTGCACTGATGTCTTTATTTACCAAATGCCATAAGGACAGCTTCTACTTTGTCCTCTGGGCTGGGCTGAGGTCTCATCAGGCTGCTCTGGGACTTCAGATTTTGATGTTGTCTTTTAACGGTGCAGCTCTGGGAGTCGACATATCTCATCAGTCCTTTCTGGCCCTTAAGGCAAAGCTCCACAGACTACCTGGCTTAGGAGCCACAGACATTTATTCCTCACGGGTCTGGGGGATGAAAGTCTGAGATCAGGGAGCTGGCTAGGCTGGATTCTAGTGAGAGCTGTCTTCTGGGTTCTGGACTGTCAATTTCTCCTTGTGTCCTCACGTGGTGGAAGGGGCGAGGCAGCTCTCTGGGGTCCGTTTTATAAGGGCACTTGATTGCTTCATAGGCCTCCACCCTCATGAGATAATCACCTTCCCCAAACCCCCACCTCCTAGCACCTTCCCATTGGAGGTTAGAGTTTCACCATATGAATTTTGGAGGACACACACATTGCGTCTGGTTTGAATTCTGGTTCTATCACAACGAACTGAAAAGCCTGACCAAGACCACCTGTGGCTCAGCTTCCTTGGAGGCATAAGATCAGCTGCATTTCAGAGGCCCCAGTGAGGATGGCAGGAGAAAGTGGACTCAGTGCTTGGCTCAGGGCAGGCACACGGTAGGTGCTCAGGAATTAGGAATTCTCCTTCTCGTCAGCAGGTCCTTCCTGGTTCCCACTGCCTCTCACCCCCACAAGGCTCAGCACTCATGGACTGATGGCTGGGGACCTCCAGCTTCCTGTTTATTGGGAGGGAGTGATTATTAACTCCAGAGAGTGGGTGAACTCTGCACTGGTCACTCTGAATACATTGTCTCACTTAATTCCCACTACCCACTGGGAACACTTAATTCCCACTACCCACCAGGAACACTTAATTCCCACTACCCACCAGGAACACTTAATACAGGGAGGCAGGCTCAGGAATGTGCACGCCCTATCAGAGGCCACAGAGCCAGATGGCAGAAGAACCTCCAGCTGCAAGTGAGATGGTCCCATCCTGTGCCAGAAAGCCCCAGACCTCCTTCAGTCGAGTACCTTCAGGAGGGTCTTGGCCAATTCCAGTTGCAAAAAAACATTTGGGTATTTTTTGGAGTGGCAAGGAGGGTGCTCAGAGACCACGTATAGTCCAAGGCAGGCACTACCAAAGTTTGGGGCCAATTAGAGCAAATTATGGATGTTTTACTCAATCTGACAAGCGGAAATGCTTGCTGGAGTCTCGACTGTGTCAGTCACTAAGTATCCAATCCATTCGTGGTTTGTTTATTTTTGTTTCTTTTTTTTTTTCTGAGACGGAGTCTCGCTCTGTCCCCCAGGCTGGAGTGCAGCGGCGTGATCTTGGCTCACTGAAAGCTCCACCTCCCGGGTTCACGCCATTCTCCTGCCTCAGTCTCCCGAGTAGCTGGGCCTACAGGTGCCCACCACCACGCCCGGCTAATTTTTTTTTTATTTTTAGTAGAGATGGGTTTTCACCATGTTAGCCAAGATGGTCTCGATCTCCTGACCTTGTGATCTGCCCACCTCGGCCTCCCAAAGTGCTGGGATTACAGGCGTGAGCCACCGCGCCAGGCCACCATTTGTGGTTTGATGACATAAAGTTAGCATTCTCTGTGGCTTCATTTGTGGATCCTGTAGGTCAGCGTCGTTGATGCTTTCCCTATTTTCAGCCACTGCGATCAACACCATGGCTTGTGCAGCAGTGTGTAGTTTTGCTGAGCGCAGGCTGATTGTTCAGAAGCCCCTTAGAGTTCTAGTCTCTCAGATACGTGCTCACTCAGCCTCACAGCATCCCAGGAGGTGGGACAGGCCTTGTGGAGACCAGCACACCTAGGACAGTGAGTGATGGCAGATGGGATTCCAGGCCCTCTTCACACCTTGGCTTGGCTGCTGTTCCAGGGCATGCTGGGGGTAGCCACCCTGCTGTGAGCTCAGCTCTGAAAAGTCATTTTCCCAGAACAAACAAATTGGTGCCCTTCCTGTTTATGAAATGGATCTTAAATAAAATGAAATAGCCTCCTCTGGGGCATTGTTGTCAGTTTGACAGAATTCTTCATTCCTCTTTTAGGGCAAGGGTTGCGAACTCAAATGCTTTTGGGTCCAGACAGGTGACACAAAGGGGCCCGCCGCGGGCAGGGTGGCTAGCATCTAGGGGTGGTGAGGACTGTCGCCTACCAAGGCACCATTGGCAAGCTGGCTCTGCCTAACAGCTCTCACATGCAGAGGTTGGCCCAGGGCAGCATGGTGGTTGTTTTTCAAGAGAACCATAAGTAAGAGTCCTTGTGTCAAATCTACAGACTCTGGAAGCACCAGCAGTGCGTGTTCCTTAAATAACAGCGAATGGCTCAAGGAATAACAAATCTCCTCCTCCTTGTTTACCTGAAAGCCACGATCATGCCCTGACCATCTCTCTGGCATTTCCTGTTCCATTTCTGAGCACCTACCATGCCCCAGGCACTGCAGCAGGCACAAGGGCAGACGATGAATCAGATTTCTCAGAAGGCACACCTGTCCTCCCTGGAGCTCCTGCTTCCCTGGCACCTGGCAAATATTAAATGTGCCGGTGCAGTCAGGCAAGTCATGCCCAGCAATGCAGTCACCCAGCAATGCTGTTATCTAGCACCGAGGACCTTTTCCTCCTCAGCAGCGACTGCGGACTGATAAGCCCAGTGACTTCATCTCTCCTGTGTCCTGCGTTTCACTGTCACTCACAGACCCAAGGAATGCGTAATCCAACACACCTCAGAGCATTTGGTTCTTAGAACACATTCTTTCCACACCCTCAGCTGAACACATGTAACTTTTCACTTTCTTCTTAATTGAGCCTAAAGAGATTCCCAGATGAGAGCTCAGGAAGATGCCTTTGAAATTCCTGAAACAGCCCTCTCTCTTCCCCTGTCTGGAGACGAGAGGGCCAAGGTGCTCCCGTCATTTGCCAAGGGACAGCCAGGCAGCTCAAGGATTGAATTTCTCCAGGGCCACCGTCGCTTTGATGCCGCCCTGACACCCCCAGGGCCTAGCACAGTTCCTGGTACATCTGCAGGTTCTTGGTGACCCATTGTTGTCTAATGAATGAAACGGCCCTTCCAGACTTGGTCATCTGAAAAGGTAACCATGAAGAAGTGATGAATGTTCTGAGTAAGCGTTGTGGCATGAGCCTAGATCCCAGCCCACCCATGATGGGCTAGGTAGGCACTGCTGTTGTTTGGGGATAGGAGTGCCTGTGTTCATTCCCTCCACGAGCTTCAGTGAAGCCCAGACATCAGACACAGGCTTGTAAGTGGAAATGGGACAAGGAGGTTTCCTGCACATTTTCCCCCACGAGCGACGGTTTCTGAAGTGTTTATAAATAGTCCCCCACACGCCAGGGAAGAACACTAGGATGTGGGAAGAAAATGTTACCATGTGTATTTATTTATTACTGTTTCTATTTAGTTATTTTTATTTAAAAACATAGGATAAGGCCGGATGCAGTGGCTCACGCCTGTATCCCAGTGCTTTGGGAGGCTGAGGCAGGAGGATTGCTTGAGGCTTGGAGTTCAAGATCAGCCTGGGCAACATAGTGAGACTCTCTGTCTACAAAAAGATGTTAAAATTAGCCAGGCGTGGTGGGGCTTGCCTGTAGTCCCAGCTACTCAGCAGACTGAGGCGGGAGGATCACTGGAGCCCAAGAGTTTGGGTCCAGTCCAGGTAACATAGTGAGTCTCCATCTCAAGAGTAATAAAAATAATAATGAATACAAATATACAGTGTGACAGAAGAAATAAAACCTAGTGTTTGCTAGATCAGTAGGCTGACTCTAGTTTACAATCATCTTTTGTATATTTCCAAATAGCTCGGAGAGAATTATTTGAATGTTTCTAGCCTAAAAAAAGACAAATATATAAAGTGACGGATATCCCAACTATCTGATTTGGCCTTTACAAATGATAGGCGTACTAAATTACACATGCGTGGGAAACTAGGGAGATCTCCTATGTATCAATTAAACAAAAATAAAGTTAACAAAAAGAAAAAAGTAAACCTGGCTATAAGGGAAGTAGGACCATATTCAGCTAAAATAGACATTTTCATCTGTCTTTGACATTTTGCAGTAAAGGCTAAATATGTCCTTTTGAGGATGTACATATCTGTAATCACAGCATGTCTGACAGCCGCAAGCTGCAGATGGTGTCCGTGTACGGTGCTGGGAACTCCAGTACCACACAGGGCATTGCCGTGGATGACGATGTTTTTCAAGACAGTGGCTGATGGTTGACACCACTCCAAACTAAACACAGTGCAAGCTTCCCTCCTTTCCCATTGTAACTACAACGCCGGAAACTCCATGTACATTGAAATCGTGCAAACATGCTTTGTGTTTATTTACAAAATGGGGTTTGGTTGTAGGGTCAGATGATTACAAACAGGCCTTTCTCCTTGTGGAAGATGGGACAGTTATTTATTGGGGAGGGCTGTCCTCAGGCATCGAGAGACCTCCAACATCTCCGCCCCTGCCCTGCAAGTGCAGGTAGCCACTGCCAATCACTGCACCAAACAAAGACACTTCCACAGATTCCCATAATCCTTCCCGGGGCAGACCTGCCTCCCATAAGTGGCTGGGTTAAATTAGGTGCATAGTGTTTTATCACTCACAATGTGGGGGTCCTACCTGATAAGCCCCTACAGATTTGCGTGCCATAGCTCCGGCCTAAGATCAGCCTTTCACGTAGACTGGAGGCTGGGATACCTTAGGCTTATTGTTGAAGGTTACGGGTTTTGTTCTGTGCGATTTTCCTTTCCGGGATCTCTCTCTCACTCACATGCATGAGCACTGCTATACCCACTCTCCTCCTCCCAGCTACATCAGGAGCTGAAATGCAGAGACCTGAAGGGTCAGGGGAAGTGAAAGCTGAGTGGAATGGGTCAGATGGTATTTATTCAACATAGACACACTATTTTTATTAAAACATGTGACCTCCTTGAACTACTTTTGCACTGCCCCACTTTAAAAAATGTTTTATTGTGGTAAAATATGCATTCTGTAAAATTATGTACATTTTAAAACAACTAGAAGAGTAGAATTGGATTGTTTGTAACACAAAGGACAAATGCTTGAGTGGGTGGACACCCCATTCTCCATGGTATGATGATTACACATTGCATGCCTGTATCGAAATATCTCATGTACCCCATAAAGATATACACCTACTATGTACCCACAATTTTTTTTTTTTTTTGAGATAGAGTCTTGCTCTGTCGCCCAGGCTGGAATGCAGTGGTGCAATCTCAGCTCACCACAACCTCTGCCACCTGGGTTCAAGCAATTCTCCTGTCTCCGCCTCCCGAGTAGCTGAGACTACAGGCGCCTGCCTACCATGCTCGGCTCATTTTGTATTTTTAGTAGAGATGGGGTTTCACCATATTGGTCAGGCTGGTCTCGAACTCCTGACCTCAGGTGATCCACCCGCCTTGGCCTCCCAAAATGCTGGGATTACAGGCATGAGCCACCGCACCCAGCCCACAACAATTTAAAATTTAACTAAAAGGAAAACTTAAAACAGCAAAAAATTAAAATAAAATTTATCATTTTAACCATTTTTAAGTGTACAGTTCATTGGCAGTACGGATAGTCACATTGTTGTATAACTATCACTATTCATCTCAAAACCTACCCATCTTCCCAAACTGAAACTCTACCCCATTAATCACTATCTCCCCATTCTCTCCCCACTAATCCCTCGCACCCACCTCCTACTCTCTGTCTCTATGAGTCTGATACCCTAGAGACCTCCTGTAAGTGGAATCAGACAGTATTTGTCCTTCTGTGTCTGATTTCTTTCACCCAGCCTAATGGCCTCAGGGTTCACCCATGTCACAGAGCATGTCAGAATTTCTGTCCTTTTGAAGGCTGAATAATATTCCACTGTGAGGATGGATCACAGTTTGGTTCTGCATGGAGAC
This sequence comes from Homo sapiens, assembly GCF_000001405.40. NCBI lineage: Eukaryota > Metazoa > Chordata > Mammalia > Primates > Hominidae > Homo > Homo sapiens. The sequence goes on along the minus strand of NC_000012.12, from coordinate 130,094,693 downwards.
TTAGGGGTGGACACTGGGCTGCTTCTCCCTTTCGGCTTTTGTGACTCACACTGCTGTGAACACGGGTGTCCAAACACCTGTTCAAGTCCCTGCTTTCACTTCTTCAGGGTTTTATTGAGAAGTGGGGTTGGTTGCAGGTTCATAGGGTACTTCCAGTTTTCATTTTTTTGAGGAACTACCACTCTGTTTTCTGCAGTGGCTACACCATTTTCCTATCATCTCGCTTTTGCTGGAGACATGAAATTGTAGACTATCCACTCCAGCGAATGTAGCCCTGCGGGGAGGGAGCACAGTGGCCCAGTTCATTGAAGACTACGGGCCTGGAGATGGTTACCTGGGCTCTCCTCCCTGCTTTGCTACTCACACCCAAACTCTGAGGACTTGGACCAGTCATTTCACCTCTCCTGGCCTTTGCGTCCCCAGCCGGGAAATGGGGGTTTTAACAGCACCTGCTTATCGATTTGTTGTGCAGGTCATAAGCCCCAGCCCTGAAACAGCTCCTGGTGCACAGTAAGATCCATATCAAGACTTCGTTCAGTGAAGTGTGATCCCATCTTGCCAAATCTTCCATATTATTAAAGACAAACTGGAAATCTGGGTTTTTAAAATATGACATCTCCAACTTGAAAATGTTGACAACTTAGTTCAGGTTAAAAATAAAATAATGTGTGAGCTAAAGGGACATGTCTGTGAGCTAGAAATGCTCCTGGGCTGCCTGTGTGACCCGCAATAACAAAATGATGTGATGCAGCTGCAACAGCGGAATTCAAGGAAGGCTGCATGGAGGAGGAGGCATTGAAACTGAGTCACAACACAGACAGCATGGAGACAGTGAAAGACAGGAGGCGGCCCAGGAAGCAGGCAGGTGATACACAGGTAGACTTCAGGTCTGTCATTGAGGGAAGAAGGTGTCTATTCTCAACACAACCCCAAACGTTTTAACAATCCAGCCTTTCTTAGCAAACAAAGTGGCCACACTTCCACGTGTTCATCAACACGGTTGTTGAGCTTTGAGCTTGTGCCCCACAGTCCAGGGAGGTGATTTATCTGCTTGCACCTGAAAGCCAGTGTTATAACCAGGCAGCATTCTGGGTCTTGTCACCAGCGATGCACATTGGAACAATAAAAGTAAATGAAACTGGTATTACAAGGGGCTCGGATTTCAAAGGGAAATCTTTCAAGGACCCGGATGAGAGGGCCCAAGTTCTCATTTAAATTACAAAACTACATTGAAGTCTATCGCCCACTACAGAGAAATTGATCCGTGGCTTCATAATGAGTATATCAATGGCAATTTAAATTATGGCACCTTTTACAGTGTGTGCCTTTTGATAGTTGTCATCCCCCACATTTGGATTCCCTCCTAGACGGCTGTTACTACACACACAATCGGGGACCTTGGGAGCACCCAGGTCTTCATTCTGTTTCATCTCTTTAACGGAAGAACGTGTTTTCATTCTGAGTACAAAGGACATCTTGAGATTCGGAATTGGCAATCTGAGAGCGGATTCCCCTCCCTTAGAAAATACATATAAATACGGGACACTTGGAGGTAGCAGGTTAACTGGTTTATGACAATCCTGGAATAGAATAACCCTGCTGGTTTTCAAACAGCCGTCTTCAGGTCGGTCCTAGGCGCGCTGCTTCTGAATAGATCCAGGGACATTGAGATTGTGAGGCTAGATTTGCACTGGCCACTGAGATATCTGAAACTGAACTGGATGGAACAATATTGAACATTTACCTATATGCCAAGCACTTCGCTAAATTCATATAAAGCAAGGAACCTGGTGTCTCTCTGCCTGTCGTCCCCTTTCTGATCACAGGGTCCAGAGCTCTCCTACCTGAGGCAGGCAGTTGCCCTTCCTCCTGGAATGCTCCTTCTCTGGCCCCTCAGGGAAAGGATGCTGCCTCTCCACGCCTTGGACTCAGCTCAAAGCCCAGCTCCTCAGAGCGGCCTCTGTGACTACCCTGGCCCTCCCTGCCAGCCCCCTTCCCTGCATCGCTCTCACCGTGTCTCGGCCTCCATGCCGTCAGCATTTGGGGCTGGGTGGTTCTCTGGTGGGAGCCATCCCGTGCACTGCAGAGAATTCATCAGCATCCCCGGCCTCCAACCCTGGATACCAGGATCTCTGCTCCCAGGTGTGACAACTGAAACATCTCCAGTCATCACCAAATGCCCTTTGGGGACGAAATTTCCTCCCTCCCCCTGTGAGAAGCCCTGCTGGGCCACCCCTGGCTCCCTCTTCCATAGCACCCATCACGTCGGGCGGTCTTATCTGCTTCCTTGTGTGCTGGTCGTCATCCCCCTGGAATGCCGGTGGTGTGGGAGTCAGGACCTGGGCTGCCCTCCTCTCCTGCAGTTAAGGTGCCTAGAGCCCACCGGGCATGCAGCAGGCAAGGGACTCAGTAGACACTCAGTAGAGACTCAGTAGACATGCAGTATGCACTCAGTAGGTATGCAGTAGGCATGCAGTAGGCTTACAGTAGGCACTCAGTAGACAGTAGGCACACAGTAGACACTCAATAGGCACGCAGTAGGCACTCGGTAGGCAGTAGGCCTGCAATAGGCACTCAGTAGCCATGCAGTAGACACTCAGTAGGCAATCAGTAAGCACTCAGTAGAGAGTAGACATGCAGTAGACACTCAGTAGGCATGCAATAGACACTCAGGAGACACAAAGTAGACACTCAATAGGCACGCAGTAGGCACTCAGTAGATACGCAGTAGACAGTAGACAGTAGACACTCAGTAGGCACTCAGTAAACAGTAGACAGTGGGCAATCAGCAGGCACTCAGTAGACAGTAGGCATGCAGTAGACACTCAGTAGGTGCTCAGTAGGCATGCAGTAGACACTCAGTAGGCATGCAGTAGACACTCAGTAGACAGTAGACACTCAGTAGACAGTAGGCCTGCAGCAGACACTCAGTAGGCACTCAGTAGGCATGCAGTAGGCATGCAGTAGACACTCAGTAGACAGTAGACACTCAGTAGACAGTAGACACTCAGTAGAATGCAGTAGGCACTCAGTAGGTACTCAGTAGGTACTCAGTAGACAAGCAGTAGACACTCAGTAGGCACGCAGTAAATGCTCGGTAGACACCCAGTAGGCATGCAGTAGGCAGTAGGCACGCAGTAGGCATGCAGTAGACACTCACTAGACACGTAGTAGACAGTAGGCACACAGGAGGCACTCAGTAGGCATGCAGTAGACACACAGTAGACAGTAGACGGTAGACACTCAGTAGGCACTCAGGAAACAGTAGACAGTCAGTGGGCAACCAGCAGGCACTCAGTAGACAGTAGGCATGCAGTAGACACTCAGTAGGTGCTCAGTAGGTACGCAGTAGACATGCAGTAGACACTCAGTAGGCATGCAGTAGGCAGTAGGCACGCAGTAGGCATGCGGTAGACACTCACTAGACACGTAGTAGACAGTAGGCACACAGGAGGCACTCAGTAGGCATGCAGTAGACACACAATAGGCACACAGTAGGCACTCAGTAGGAATGCAGTAGACACACAGTAGACAGTAGACGGTAGACACTCAGTAGGCACTCAGAAACAGTAGACAGTGGGCAACCAGCAGGCACTCAGTAGACAGTAGGCATGCAGTAGACACTCAGTAGGTGCTCAGTCGGCATGCAGTAGACACACAGTAGGCACAGCATAGGCACTCAGTAGACACACAGTAGGCACTCAGTAGGCATGCAGTAAGCACTAAGCAGACACTCAGTAGGCATGCAGTAGACACTCAGTAGGTGCTCAGTAGGCATGCAGCAGACACACAGTAGGCACAGCATAGGCACTCAGTAGACACACAGTAGGTACACAGTAGGCACTCAGTAGGCATGCAGTAAGCACTAAGCAGACACTCAGTAGGCATGCAGTAGACATGCAGTAGACACACAGTAGGCACTCAGTAGACAGTAGGCACACTGTAGGCACGCAGTAGGAATGCAGTAGACACTCAGTAGGCACACAATAGGCACCTACCTGAGTGAACTAGTGAGTGAGTGAATGCCTGCATGCCAGGGGTCATTTCGGAGAGCTGGTGAGTGTTATGGTTTGGCTGTGTCTCCTCCCAAATCTCATCTTGAATTGTAACTCCCACAATTTCCACATGTCATGGTAGGAACCCAGTGGGAGGTGATGGAATATTGGGATGGGTCTTTCCTGTGCTCTTCTCATGATAGTGAATGAGTCTCATGAGATCTGATGGTTTTAAAAACAGGAGTTTCCCTGCACAAGCTCTCTCTTTGCCTGCCACCATCCACATAAGACGTGACTTGCTCCTCCTTGCCTTCCACCATGATTGTGAGGCTTCCTCAGCCACATGGAACTGTGAGTCCAATTAAACCTCTTTCTTTTGTAAATTGCCCAGTCTCGGGTATGTCTTTATCAGCAGCATGAAAATGAACTGATACAGTGAGAAATATTTTGAAAAATGATAGTCATGGTGTCCTATATTTTGTTTCAGGAAAACAGGCTTTAAAAGGACCAAAAAAGGACACAAACTATGAGTTTTTGGGCAGACAGAACTGAATTTTACCTCTTACCTGCTACATAACCTGTTTTTTTGTTTTGTTTTGTTTTTTGTTTTTTTGGAATGGGGTCTCACTCTGTTGCCTAGGCTGGAGTGCAGTGGCGTGATCATAGCTGACTGCAGCCTGGAACTCCTAGGCTCAAGGGATCCTCCCATCTCAGCCTCCGGAGTAGCTGGGACTGCAGGCACATTCCACCATGCCCAGCTAATTGATAATTTTTTTTTTTTTTTTTTTGTAGAGATGGGGGTCCCACTATATTGCCCAGGCTGATCTTGAACTCCTGGCCTCAAGTGATGTTCCTGCCTCCGCCTTATTAGTTGTGAAATCTGTATATATTCATGTCACCAACACCCTATGAGACGCGGAACGTTTTCATCAATCCAGGAAGCTCCGTTTTGCCCTATCCCAATCAATGTACCACCCCTGGCAGTCATCACTTTTTTTTTTTTTTTTTTTTTTGAGATGGAATCTCACTCTGTTGCCCAGGCTGGAGTGCAGTGGTGTGATCTTGGCTCACTGCAACCTCTGCCTCCCGAATTCAAGAGATTCTCATGCCTCAGCCTCCCAAGTAGCTGGGATTACAGATGCTCACCACCATGCCCAGCTAATTTTTGTATTTTTAGTAAAGATAGGGTTTCACCATGTTGGCCAGGCTAGTCTTGAACTCCTGACCTCAAAGCGATCCACCTGCCTTGGCCTCCCAAAGTGCTGGGATTACAGGCGTGAGCCACGGCGCCCAGCCGGCAGCTATCATTCTAACGTCTGTCACTAGATTAGTTTTGCCTGTCCCAGAAGTTCATAAAAATAGAGTCATACTGCATGAATTCTTGTGAGCCTGGCTTTCTTAACACGGTGTCTTTGGGATTCACCTGTGTTTTGGAGTGAAGCAGTCGTTCATTCCTTTTTAACTTCTGAGCTCTGTTCCCTTGTATGCGCATACCACGAGTTATGTCCATTCAGCAGCTGCTGGACATTGGGGTGGTCCCCAGTTTGGGACTATTGTAAATAAAACTGCTTTGAACATTCATGTATAAGTCTTTGGTGATATGTTTCATTTCTCTTGGGATCAATACCAGGAGTGGAACCGATAGGTTGTATGGTAAGTATGCGTTTGACTTGGCAAGCGATTTCTCAAAGTGGCTGCTATGGACTGAATTGGGTTCCCTCAAAATTCAGATGTTGAAGTCCTAATTTCCAGTATCTCAGAATCTGACCATATTTGGGGATAGGGTCTTTATAGAGGTAATTAAGTTAAAATGAGGTCTTAGGTTGTGCCCTTATCCCATAGGACAATCCATAAATTGTCTTTAAAAAGACAATCCATAAATTGTCTTTTTAAAGAGGAGATGAGGATGCAGACACGCACAGAGGGGCGGCAACGTGAGGACACAGGGAGCAGACTTCATCTGCAAGTCACGCGAGAGGCCTCAGGGGAAGTCGCCCTTGACTTTGGACGTCCAGCCTCCAGAACTGTGAGAGAATGAATGTCTGTTGTTTCAGCTGCCCAGCCTGTGGTCCTTTTTGACGGTAGCCCTGATGACCTGGTACAGCACTTACGGATTTTCCACTCCTGCCAGGCATGTGTGAGCACAGCCTCCCCGTGCAATTGGTACCTGGTGAGAGCCCAAGCTCTCTTTCCCGCCTCCCACCGGCCCCGCCTCCCACCGGCCTTTGGTGCTGTCAGCCTTTTGCATTTTAGCCATTCTAGTGTGTCAAAGGGCATCGCAGTATGGTTTTTTCTCTCTCTCTTTTTGATTTACATATGTTTTTACTGAGATAGAATTTACACAGCAGAAAATTAACCATTTAAAAGTGTATGATTCAGTGGCATTGAGGACATCCACCATGTTGGTCAACCATCATTTCTATTTAGTTCCAAAACATCTTCATATCCCCAAAAGGAAATCCCACACCTTGTAAGCAGTCACTCCCCATTGCCCCACCCACCAGCCCCCGGCAAACACTAGTGTGCTTTCTGTTCGCGAGGACTTGCCTGTTCTGGACGTGTCACATCCGTGGAATCACGCAATACACGGCCGTGTGTGCGTGGCTTCTTCCGCGCAGCGTCGTGTTTCCGAGGCTCCTCCGTGCTTTAGCCTGTGCCAGCGCCTCGCCCCTCTTTATGGCTGAGTCTTACGCCACTGGACGGATGGAGTGCGGCCGATCTGTCCACGCGTCAGTGGTGGGCCTTCAATTGCTTCCACTGCCTCAGGGTGGTTTTCATTTCCACTTCTCTGATGATGCTGAGCAGCTTTTTGTGGGCTTCCTGGTCACCTGCAGCTGTGTCATGCTAACGAGGTCCCCGCCACCTCTCGGAGCCTCAAGATTCTCATCATCTCCAGCTGGTGTGATCCTGCCTTCCTTACGGAGTCAACGTGAGGGGAAGTGCCATCATGCACTTAAAGAGCCTGGCACAAGGTGGGCACACGTTGATGCCAGCTGCCCAGGCCAGCTCTCAGCCAGCTTCTGAATTCTCTTTTTACCGTTCACAGCCTTGCTGGAAAATATTTAAAGCATCACCTGGATCGACACGGCTCAACGCCGTACTTTTGTAGACCTGGTGTATATCAGGGCCCGAGCTAGGAGGAAAGCACCCTCTGGGTGTGGGGAGGTTGGTCCCAGCCCGGGACCCAGGCCCCTAACAGTGCTGCTTAACCACACTATCATTTCCCTGGCTGAGAGCAGAAGCGCCACCCAGATCAAAGGTAGCAGGAGGAGGTGAGTGAGCCAGTAGGCAGACGATGAAGGTGCCACATTGAGCAGCCAGCTGGGCTGGGCTTCTCCTCCTTCCTGTGGCGACTGGCCTGTCGGGTGGAGAAAGTCAAAACAATAGCATTTACTCCTCGTGTGGGCACCAAGAACCTGGGTAATTGAAAAAGCAAGGCCTTTTCTACCAGGTCTGTGTCCTTGACTTGAGAGACAGAAAGAGAGAAAGCTCTCTTCTTTTTTCTCAAACTCTCTCCCTCTCTCTCTCTCTCTCTCTCTCCTTCCAGGGACTCTAGAACTAATCTTGGGGATAAACTCACTCCTCTTTGGAATAACAACGTGGAGTGGCTTTTATTACTGACCCACACTCATGAATCAGTGAATATTTTATGCAAACACTCAGTAAACAAGCTGGGGCACAGAAGCAGCTTCCTGAGGATGGGTGATCTTCTGTGTGTTGAGCTGAGCGCTGGTGACACGGGCGTTCACGCTGTGAACATTTTTCAAGCTGCACAGGGAGGATATGCATGCATTTCCAGAATGAAAAGTTAATAAAAGTCTCCATAAAAAGTTAAACACACACGTGCAATTGGTACCTGGTGAGAGCCCAAGCTCTCTCTCCCGCTGTAAATGCAATTAACGCCAGGTAACAGGTATCTGAGCTGCCGAAGCGTGAGAGCGTGCGCGGCCCGCCTCTTTGTCAATTTATCTTCAGCCTCCAGATATTTGGGCCACTCGGTTTCTGTAGCTAAACTGTGACATCCAGGGCGGGAGCTGAGAATCATCCCTGGGAAGTTGTCCTGACTTCTGCAGCACCCTGATAGCTTTTTTTTTCCTAGTGGAGCCGGCCAGAACAGATGTGGGGAAGTTTGCTTTGCCAGAAAAAGACAAGCAGGCCTCTCACAGAGCCTTTGATCTCACCTCGGAAGAAAGTTATAATCTGTCCCCGTGAATCTCTGCAGTTTGGACATGAAAGACAAAGGCAGGAAAATGTGAGCAGCACAGGAAACGCACATAAAATAAAGCAAACGGCCTTTGAAAGCCAGTGAGCGAGCGAGGCAGAGGAGCACAGCCCCAGCTTTGACTGGGGGAGCAGCGAACGTCCTGTCCCTTCCCTTGGTGGCGAGGAAGGAAGTGAAGCTACATCTCATCCCTTAGCAAAATAGTAATGGGAAATTCGGGGCTCTGGGGTGGGGTGGGAGTGGGAGAACCTTCCCTGCTGTCTCCCCTGACTGCCCGGAAGATGTGGACAAGTGAAGAAGAGCAGAGAAAAGGGAAGACATGCTGGAAGCTTCTGCACCTTTGCTAGAAGGCTGGGATTTGGCCTCTTCTTTTCCTGGCTAGCCCAAGCTCTTCTTCTCGGCTGGGCAGGGCTGTCTGCTGTGATTCCTTTCTCTGCAGGGCTGGGTGACACATGCTGGCTTCCAATCACCTCCAAGGCACCCTCCTCTCATTGTCAAAGTGAAAACCCGGCACAGGTAGCCTGGAGCTGCCCCCAGGGCCACCCAGACCCTCCACAGAGGCCCCTGGGTCTGAGCAGCAATACCCCCTGGCCGCCTCAAAGCAGGTGGCCCTCCTGGGCTCTGGGCTTAGGTCTGACGTGCTCCGGAGTCTCCCGGCCTCTCCCCCTGCTTCCGGCAGGTGACCAGAGAGCAATGAGGCTCCTGGGGGCATTTGAGTGAAGGGGCGGGAGTCACCCCCTGCACCTCTGGGTGGAAGCAAAAAGCCCTCGTGCAGGGAAGCGTGGGGGCAGAGGGGAGGGCAGAGGGCCCTGCTAAAACCCCAAGCCGCCCTGGAGTCCCTTCTTTCAGCTCCATCTCCCTCCCTAATCTGATGACTGACTGTTAATGTTATGGAGTCTGACGTGCCAGGCTGTGTCCTAGCCAGACCCATGGACTCACACGCTCCCTCTGGCAACCACAGACAGCAGTGCCATTACTGTCCCATTTCACAGTTGAGAACACTAAGGTCCAAGACGAAAACTCAGGATCACACTGCTGGGAAGAGAAAGGCCAAAATAGAAGCCCACTCCATCTGGCTGCATAGCCCACGCCAGGGTGGTGATTCACACACTCTTAAGGGTGGGCTACAGGCTGGGCACCTGCCCATCGCATCCTGAGTCAGGGAGCAGTGAGGGAAGCAGGCCCAGCTGTCCTGGCGACCCATGTCTTTCTGCAGAACGGGGAATTCTCCAATGTTGGTGCTGAGTCATCAGGGCTGCGGATGGAGACCCGGACTGCAGCTCAGGTAGGCCCACAAGCCCTACTCTCTAAAACAATGCAATCGAATATAAGACCCAGAAATGCCAGGGAAAGAGTCTGCTTATCTTGTGTGTTCCCGAGCAGTAGTAGTGACAATGTCAATCCTGACCTTTCATGCAGCTGAGGGGTGCTTATGATCACCTGCAGCCGAGCCTTCGTTTCCAAGGACAAGGCTCTGTGCTGAAAACCAAGCTCCTCTCCCTTGCTCAAGAGCCCTCTCACCCTACCCCACCAGCTCAAAGAAATCACTAGCATTACCATTTAGGAATGGAAATCAGAGGCCTACATACGGCTGCCCAGGAAGCAGCCCTGGAAGAAGATGGCTTCCCAGGAGGCTGGCTTGCTGCATTCTCTTTCTCCAGAGTCTTCTCCCTGCTCTGCTGTGCTCACCACTGCACCACCTACCACCTCTCCTTCTCAGACCTGCTTGGGGCCCCATCTCCCTGCTACAGGCCTTCCCAGCACCTTCCCAGAAATGTAGACATTTCTCTACAAGCAAAGGGAGTTAGTTAAGTCCTCATAGGAAATGCAGGGCCGTGCTGTTTAAACATCCTTGTTTATAATGAGGATGGCGGCCCTGGCCTGATCGTCTTTCTCTGTGCCCCTCCTGGCCTGTCTCGTCCACACCCATGACTCAGCCTCCACTTGGCTCTTAACGATGCCCAGCCCTGCGTCCTGTGACCTTCTGCTGTGCATTTCTCCTGGAGGTCCCTGGCTCCTTGGGCTAGGGGTGCTGGCACCAGACCTGCCATCTTCCCTCCCGTGGAGGTTGGAGTTCTCTGGCTCCTGCCTAACGGCACCCCCTGACTTCCCACTGTCTGGAAAGGGCACTTGTCATACACCTTTTGCACACTCTTACTACATTTGAGAGCCTGCCAGCCTTGGGAGTCCCCTCTCCCCAAGAGAGTGCCTCCAACGCTGGAATACCCAGCTTCTCCTGCCGCTGGGGCATGGGGCTTACGACCGAGCACCCACCTATCCCATACGTCCATGACTCTGATTTGGAAGCGAGAGCAATCGGAGACAGGAGGCGTGGGCTGGGGGCAGTTTGCTGGCCAGGTGGCTGCAGAGGCAGCCGGCTTCCAGGGGCCATGACATTTGCCAGGCAGACTTCCTGGCAGCTGATGGTTTTCTTTAGTGCTCTTTGGGGCAGCACAGAGGTAGCGCCTTCTCATCCGGCCAGGTCAGCTGTGTGGCTTCGGGCATTGTTCTGGGAAGCTCAGTCTGAGGCCTGGGTTTCCAGCTCTACCAATATCATTTTAATGAGTAACTCTGACGCTTAGTCAGAGCCGGCCTCTGCTGCTTGCAGCTAGGAAACCCAGTCAATGGATGGACTCGCTGTCACCCTAGACCACTCCAGCTGTTCTCCTGCCTCCCAGTAGAATCTACTCCCCTGTCCTATACTCAGCGTTCTCAGGTCTTCAGCCTTTCTTCTGTCAATCTGTCTTTCACATGGCACAGAGTCATCTTTCTAAATGCACGTCTGTCGATTCTTTCTTCAAAATCCTCCCCATCTCCGCGTCCCTGCACCGCGCACCCATAACTCCCCATCTCCCCATCAAGACCCAGCCCCCAGCATTCTCAGACCTTCTCAGGTTCAGAAAATCCAAGCACAGGCCTCCCTGGGCACACCTCTGGGGTACTGAACAGAAGGGGTTGTTTCTGGGTCAGAGTGTGGGCGATTTACACCTGGAAATACACCGTGCGTTTGCTGGGACCCATCCCCGTGCCTGCGCGGCAGGAGTTCCCACGTACTCTCTCACACCGGGGGCTGTTCTTAGACGTTCACATCCTCCCCAATCTGAAAAGTGGAATACTGACTGGGCGCCTGTACTTTCTCCTCAGCGTTTTGCCTGTTTATACTCTTGCCTATTTTGGTTTGGGGTTGCTTTTCTTTTTCTTCCTGGTTCACTGGAGCACATTAGACATCTGTGTCCGAAGCCTTTGCCAGTGACACACCCTGCAAGCACTTTCTTCCTGTTCTAACTTGCCTTTTGTTCGTTGTCACTAGAGTTTTACAGAGTTTTACACTGGGTTGTATGAATGCTATGTCTTCCATATTTGGTTTCTGGTTTGGAGTGCTCTCTCGTGACAGTTTTACTCATTTTGAAAGTTTCAGCTCAAACATTATTGGTTCAGTGAATAAATGGTTACCACTACTATTGTCTACTTGACCTTGGTATATGTGTGTGTGTTATACACACACGTGCACACATGAAGGTACACACACATCCATTATACATTCATGCACACATACACATTCACAGGCCAGCCGTTTCTCTGATTTTCCCACAAGTTTTCAAAAAGATCTTGTGTCTCTGTGTTAGAGTGTCATGCATATACACACATGTGCACACATGTAGGTACATGCACACACAAATATTATACACCCATGCACACATACACATGCACCCATACATACACATATAAACACACATATATACACACATAGATAATACATGTAAAAATATTTTACAGAGGAGAAAACTGATTACATATAATATATAATCATATATGCATAATGAGTATCATATATAATCAGTTTTCTCCTCTGTAAAGAGAAAATACAGAAAAGATACCCGTTCTACCATCCTCATAGGGTTGTCATGAGCGATGAATAAAATAATTATGAAATTTCTTATGCATGTGTAAACAGCAATACTATAGAAAGCTGGTTAATCTGTATTTCTTTTCTGTCAGACTTTACCAGGCCAACCATAGACACTTCTCTACAAGCAAAGGGAGTTAGTTAACTAAGTTCTCATACGAAATGCAGCGGAATGCTGTTTAAACATCCTTGTTATAATGAGGATGGCAGCTCACAGTGATAAGCCCACAGTCAATGTGCCAGAAGCATCACAGTGTCTGTGAATTACTGTCTGCATTTTACAGGCTGGAAACTTGAGGCTCTGTGGCCGCCGGTGCCCAGCCCAGGGCAGGGCTGCCATGGAGCCAGAATGCCCTGTTTCCAAAGCACGGCTTTTCTGTATGATCAGTTTGCCCCTAGCTCAGCACAGTCGCTAAACTTGGGGCCACTGTTTTTTTTATTAATCTGGGTTTCTAAAGAGGATTGTTTTAAATATAATTTTTGACTTTATAATCTGTTGGCTAGTATTATTTATGAAAAGGAAGAAAGAAAGAAAACTCAGCCACCTTTTGATTCTGAATGACATTGTTAGCGACACTTCATGCCGTAACGCCGGTAACTCCCGATCCCCTTCCTTATCATTTCAGAAGCTCCCTTTGAGTTCTTATCACACAAGACACCTACCCTGTGTGGGGCTGGACTGTTCATTTTCGGGCATTTTAAATACACAGACTCCAACTTCTGTCAAAAAAGGTAAGTGAGAGGCTCATTCCTTTCAGTTTATCTGGTCATTTCTTACCGATGCGCAGAGTCGGCAATGACAAAACTTTGGAAAAGTAGGTAGAATTTGGGTTGTCTTCACAGCATGGTTTTCACGGCCCCCTGCCTCCATCACTGCGGTATTTGGGGGGGGGGGGGATTGTGTCTTTGGCAGGGAAGATTAAGTGGACTGCATCCCCCCCACAGAGGGTTTAATTGGCAACAGAGTCAGAACCCACTGATGTGTGCAAAATTCATTATAGTATTTGGGCTTGGAATGCTCGCACGGGCCAGCCGTTTCTCTTTCTGATTTTCCCACAAGCTTTCAAAAAGGTCTTGTGTCTCTGTGTCAGAGTGTCAGCTCCCCAGTGGGGCCAAGTTTCCTGAGTTATGTTTTTTTAGTAACCTCAAGGGCAAGGGAAAAGGTGTGTAAATCCTTTAGCTTCTGTTATCACTGGATTAGGCAAAATCATGTGCCCAGAGGAGAATCAGAATGCTTAGCCGAGATAACAGCCCCGTTAGTCAGGATTCACTAGAATTCACAGACCAGCTGGGGAGGTGGGGAGGATGTGGAAGAGAGAACCCAGTGATATCCGTAGTTAGCGCCTTTTAGGTTCATCTACCTGGGTTACATGTGACCTGCTACAGATGACACCTGAGAAGCTGGGTCTTCCAGCTCCCCAAATCGGACAAATTCTTCCTAACACAATGAACTACACGAAGCATGGTACTTTGATGCAAGTGAGTTTAAAGGTTCCCTTCCTCCCTCCCTCCCTCCCTCCCTCCCTCCCTTCCTTCCTTCCTTCCTTCCTCTCTCTCTCTCTCTTTCTCTCTTTCTTCCAACAGAGTTTGCTCTGGCGCCCAGCCTGGAGGGCAGTGGCATGATGTCAACTCACTGCAAGCTCTGCCTCCCTGGGTTCAAGCAATTCTCGTGCCTCAGCCTCCCGAGTAGCTGGGATTACAGGTGTGCGCCACCATGCCTGGCTAATTGTTATATTTTGAGTAGAGACAAGGTTTCACCATGTTGGCCAGGCTGATCTTGAACGCCCAACCTCAAGTCATCCACCTGCCTCGGCCTCCCAAACTGCTGGGATTACAGGCATGAGCCACCACGCCCGGCCTAAAGGTTCACTTTCGTTTCTTTTCTGTGAGTATAGTGGATACTTGCTGTTTTCTGGCCACTGAGCCACTGCTCACACGTATTTTAGTAACAGCATTTATTGCTTAAGGTAGATCAAGCTGCTATAACGAATGGGCCACAGAATCAATAGCTCAACTCCAAGGAGTTTGTGTCTCATTCATGCAATAGACAAGGCATGAGGAGGCGGAACGTTCTGCTCCACGTGGTCTTGTGGGGCCCCAGGCTAAGTGAGTCTCCTCCATCTTTAACATGTGCTTCCAAGATCACCTTGGGCATCCACCACTCCAGTCAGCTGAAAGGTGCAGAGTGCAGGGGGAAAGTGCAAAGGAGATGTTGCAACTTGCCCTGCCTCCTCTAACCAAGGCACAGGCACATGATACGAACTTGGCCAACTTTTCCTCCCATGACTTTTGAATCTGAGTGGTGTTGTCCAGGACAAATTAAAAAACTGGATTTGGCCAGGCGTGGTGGTGGCTCACACCTGTAATCCCAGCACTTTGAGGGGCAGAGGCGGGTGGACCCGAGGTCAGGAGTTCAAGATCAGCCTGGCCAACATGGCAAAACCCCGTATCTACTAAAAATACAAAAAAATTAGCCAGTTGTGGTGGGAGGCGCCTGTAATCCCAGCTACTCTGGAGGCTGAGACAGGAGAAATCACTTGAACCCAGGAGGCGGAGGTTGCAGCGAGCCGAGATCGCGCCACTGCACTCACTGCTCACTGCACTCCAGCCTGGGTGACAGAGCAAGACTCCGTCTCAAAAAAACAAAAACAAAAACAAAAAAAACTGCCTGGGCTGTGATGATGAAGGCTGACTTGATAAGGGTCATCCAGGGTAAACATCAGGGAGGGATACCAATTTTTCATGCTGATCCAACGAGGCATTATTAGAAGCAAGGGGATGAAAGGAAAGGAAACTTTAGGCTGAATGTCAGGATAATTTTCCCAAGAGTGAAATCAATTAGCCTCTGAAGACTTGCTTCTCGGCAGCAATCTACTTCAAACCCGACTCAGAGGGACATCTGAGAGAAGGAAACAGGCATTCGCCCCACGCAGAAGACCGAAAGCAGACTCCTGGGGCCTTTTTGCCCCATCACTCTAATTTCTTTAAATGAATTTCTGAAGCACAATGTGCTTTTTCTCTAGATCTGTTGCAACCAATCTGACCTGAGTTTGTTCCTGACTCATGAGTCATAAAAATATTTACTGTTTCTGCGTTTGTACTTTCTTGGCATTTCAGAGCTGGGCACTTAAGGGTGCCCCAGCCTCCCTTCCAACCTCATCTCACTCTTCTTAATTGCCTGACCTTCGAGTCCCGACTGCCACGAGCCTTGGTATGGATTTAACTGACAAAATGCAGCAAATATTTATTGAGCATGTACTATGTCTCAGGCACTGTTCAGGTCCCTAGAAAGCAGAGAAGGAAGCACAGGATTCCTGCTTCCATGGAGTTTAATTCTGATGGGATAAACTAGTAAAATAATGTTAAAGGACAAATCAACAATATTCAGTCTTTTTTTCCTCCTCCCAACAGAAGCTCAACTGGTTTGGGAGCACAATGTTACTTAAGTATTCAATTTCCCATAACTCCTTGCAGCTTAAGGAAGTCATGTGACTCAAATCTGACCAGCGAGATACAAGCAGATGTTTTGGGGTGGGGCTTTCAGGGAAACTCTTCTCAGGGGTGTAGGCTGATCGGGTTGTCTGTTTGACCTTGGACTTTCACCTTCTGAAACATGATTGCAATGCCCAGTCACCTTGCGACCATGAAGACAAAGTCAAATATAAGTACAGCTGTGCAAGGGGAGCAGAGGAGCTTGGTTCAGAGCAGCTGGAATAGTTCTGCCTCCAGAATTCTTGTAACGTGAGAAAAGTAAACTCATTAGGAGTTAAGTCACAATAATTAGTTCCAATGGCGCCAACTCTGACTGTGAGAACAGATTTTGTGGAAATATATATGTGTATATATGTACTTATATGTGTATGTGTGTGCGTGTGCGTGTGTACACATTTTTTTGTTTTGAGACCTGTTCACAGACTCCTGGGCTCAAGTGATCCTCCTGCCTCAGCCTCCCTATAAATACATTTTTAAATGATCATCTTGCTTTTTTCATTGCGTCTTGCTCAGGTGGTTATTAATATGCTGCTGAACTGAAAACGTTCTTGCTCTGAAACCTTTCACTGGAAGGCTGGGCTCAGCTGGGACTGTCTATCAGAGCATCTTCATGTGAAAGCTCCAGTTATGAGGCAGTTGAATATCTTACACAGCAGCCAAGGGCTCCGACCATGAATGTTCCAGCAAATGAGGTGGGAGCTACACCAGCTTTGTGGACCCAATCACAAGCTGGCTCAGATTCAAGGGTAGGAGAGGAAGACTCCATCTCTCAGTGGAAGAATATCAAAGGATTTCCTTCTGGTCCTAAGACCTCTCCATTCCCCAAAGCTAGATTCATGGCCACCTCCTCTAATAGGTCTTTCTTCTGTACCCCAAACCATATTGATCTCTCCCTCCTGGTAACTTTAGTAACTCATTCATTTGGCATTTTTTCACCTTCTGCCCAAGTTTACTGTGTAACTACCTGGTGTGTGGGGGTGACTCTTGTGCATTGAGACCATCAGCTTTTGTGCACAGATACATCTCTTGTCTTCTATGGTCATCTAACCCAAGAGGCATCCTATGCCTGTGTCTGTGTTGCCATCTCTCTCTCTTTTTGAATCGATCTCTGTCGTTTTTCTCTATTTGTCTCTTTTTCTCTTTATCTCATTGGAGGCAATATTTATATAAGTGATTAGGAGCTTGGGTTTGAGAATTGCAGAGACTAGTTACTGGATTTATGGCTCTTCCCAACTATGTGGCCTTAGGCAAAGGGCTCATGTCTCAGTTTCCTCATTTGAGAAAAAGGAAATCGTGATGACTCTTAAATAACCAAATGCATGCCAAACTCTGAACACTGCATGATGTTTTGGCTGTGTCCCCATCCAAATTTCATCTTGAGTTGTAGCTCCCACAATCCCCACATGTCATGGGAGGATCTGGTGGGAGGTAATTGAATCATGGGGGCAGTTGCCCTCATGCTGTTCTCATGATAGTGAGTGAGTTCTTAAGAGAGTTGATGGTTTTATAAGGAGCTTTTCCCCCCTTTGCTCAGCACTTCTCTCTCCTGCCGCCTTGTAAAGAAGGACATGTTTGCTTCCTCTTTTGCCGTGATTGTAAGTTTCCTGAGGTCTTTCCAGCCATACAGAACTGTGAGTCAATTAAACCACTTTTCTTTATAAATTATCCAGTCTTGGATATTTCTTCATAGCAGCGTGAGAATGGACTAGTGCATTGCACCTGGCATAGACTTGTGTTTGAAACTGGCATCTACCATGACCACCACCATCCTTATCACTATCACTTTCATTTTGTGTATTTTTATTTTGCTTTATATAGATCTAGCTCCACATTAAATAAAGCCCAATGGTGGACGGGGGAGTGTTCCTAAAGAGTGGGTGTTTCCTGGACCCATTTACTCAAGGAGAAGGACAGATGGATAAGCGTTTACAAAACAAACAGCCTACAGGAAGTCTGGAAACTGTTTCAAAAACAGTCTATAACAGCAACCAAAAAAAAAAAATGTGTAGATGGTGATGTAATCTCTCTGGTAAAAGAGGAAAAGCAAACGGATATTGTCTGCGTGTAGAGCCGTGGGGCCACTAGGGCAGGATTTCCATTCTTAGAGGGCTCCTGGGACTGCCTTTGTCTGGCACTGGCCAGGGCTCTCACACCTCATCAGGGTTTGCAAAGACAACTTCTCACTTCCTTGAGACGTGCTTTTCATGGGACACACACTATAATGTGTATTAAGTTACACGTGCAAAAACAAGCACTTATGCATGCTTTAGGGGAAAAAAGACTAGAAGGAAATACACCAAACTGTGAGTGGTGATTATTTCTAGGATGAATACATATTACTTTTATAATCGGGAACAAAACACAATAAAGTACTTTTAAAGCAGATCTACTTTACCAGAGATGGAAAGTATTACAAAAGAAAATGCAGGACATTCACAGAAAGGTCCTAGGGAACCTTCCAATAGGTTCTCGTTCTTCACTTTGCTGACTGATGATCTTAGGAACTGTTTTAAAATTATGAAAATGTGACTTCATCCTGCATTTACTCCACAGCATCTGGAGAAGGAATATTGTAGTCTCATTTTGTTAAATTTTGTTAGTAAATAGGATGACAGTGTATCCTTTAAATTTTTTTTTAAAGCTTGGGTGTCCTTCCCTGAGATACCTGCATGTGAGCCCTGGCTCTGCCACCTCCTGCTCTGTGACCATGAGCAAGTCACTTAACCTCTCTAGGACTCAGTGTCCTCATCTGGGAAATGGGTGCAATGGCAGGGCCGAGCTCATAGGATCATGGGGAGGAATGGATGAGCTACTGCACACTATAACTCTTCTTTCCTGTGACATCCCTTAAACCGTCTCAGTTCTGTCTTCCAGAAGTTGCTCCTACTACCCTGTGGCCCTGGATGATCCCAGCAGAGTCTGCACCCCCTGTCTTTTGTCTTTTGGATCGATCAGGAACTCCTGTCATCTTTTCCTGTAAACAGATCCCCGTTGAACCGAAGTCTCCCTCCACCTCTGTCTCCCCACCTCAGACTCATCCTCCTCTCTAGACCATACCCCCTTGCTGGTCTCCCTGCTCTCATTCTTGCCCTGAAAGCCAGTTCTCTGCTGGGAGCAATTCCTCTAAAACTTAGAACAGGTCCTGCTCCCTCTGCTCCTCCACCATTCCCAACCACGTTTACAACACAATTGAAGTCCCAGCGGGGGCCTGTGAGGTCCTCATCTGCCCCTGGGAGGCACCTAGCTGCTCCAGCCCTAACCCCCCACCCACCAGGCTTTTGCTTGTAGGCCTCCTCTGTGGCAAGGCTTTCCCTGGCCATCCCACCTGAAACACATTCTGTCACTTTCTGTCCCTTTACTCAACGCCCTTCCTTCACAGGATCCACTGCGACTATAGCTCCACGTGGGTGTTTCTGTCCCAGATCTCCTGGTTACTGTCTCTTATTACTTGTTCTTATTTCATTGCTCATAGGAGTTGCATGGTGCGGTTTTGTGGGTGAATGAAAGACATACATTGACTTGTAAGCAACTGTTCCAGAGCAACAGACTCTGGACGTCCCAGCCCATCTGCAACTATTCGACTTGGCCCACAAGCTTTCTGAGGCCAGGCTGCACACGTCATCTGACCCTCCCTTCGGAGGAGCAAGCAAGGATGCAGGAGAATTTGTGGCCCCTAGGAATATCTCTGACGGTGTCTTCATTCACATGCACACTAAAGGGAGCACACCAGCTCCTCCAGACTAGCAGGCCCTGGTGACCTAGTTTCTGTCTTGAGGCTCCCAGACTTCAGGAATATTTATGCTGCTGTGATTGCATTGCTTCCCCCAGTCTTGAGTGCCCTCTGAGCATGTGAGTCCACTGGGAGGTTTGTGTTCACATTACTAAGTGTTCATAGCAATGTGAGGATGACAAGGAAATGACTAGAAACTGCTAAAAGCACAGGGAGGAGGGAAAACACTATGGCCCCTGATCTCCATGGTGTCTCATGTCAAGTGGAGATGTGCACATCGTGTGACCTCGCTGAGTTTCCGCAGGTGCCTCCCGCCTCGGGGGTGGAGGGGGAGCCCTTCACCAGCTCACTAGCCCCACAGGCCAATGTGGAGCCCCATTTTCTAAAGAGATCTCTGGTGGCTTTAAAATATAATGCATTATTTGATGTTCCACCCTTCAAGAGGTGAAAACTAATTCCTCCCCCTTGAGTGTGGGCCAGACTCAGTGACTCACTCCTAAGAAATAAAGCATGGCAGAAGCAATGGTGTGTGACTTCTGTGACTAGGTCATGGAAGTCAGGGTAGTCTCCTTCTTGCTCTCTCTGGGGATCACTCCCTCTGGGAGAAGTCAGGGGCCATGTCACGAGGACATGCAAGCGTTCAGAGCCCAGTGAGCACACCATCTTGGAAGCAGATCCCCCTTCTCCTCCTTCAGTGGCGGTAGCCCATCCTTGGCCAACCTCAGAGAGACCCTAAACCAGAACCCCTGAGCTACGCTGCTCCCAAACTCCTGACCCACAGAAATAAGCAGTGAATGTTTGTTGTTTAAGATGCTCAGTTTGGGAGGTAATTTGTGACCCAGCAGTAGACAACCCGTACCAGATCTCTGCTTCCTGGGACCCCCGTGTTCATGACTGCTTGACAGTTTCCTTTGCTGCACTCACCACCTCTCTGCCCTTTTGGGATTCCG
Organism: Homo sapiens; assembly: GCF_000001405.40. Lineage (NCBI taxonomy): Eukaryota > Metazoa > Chordata > Mammalia > Primates > Hominidae > Homo > Homo sapiens. The sequence continues at coordinate 130,074,397 of NC_000012.12, read as the reverse complement.
TTGCCATAAAATGGAGACAATAACATCTATAGGGTCGTGGTGAGAAACAGCTTTAGAATAAAATATTTAAAGCCATCAGTGCAACGGTCAGCACATAGAAAGTAGCCGAAATTGGAGTTGTTTTCATTCCTGTGTAGATCCCCATGCCTGTCGGACAACATCATTCGTGCCGGTTATGACAGGCCTGACGGGCATGCACCCCACAGCCGCCTTCTTAACTGGCAAAAGGAGAGCCACTTTGCACCCCTCAGCAGTGCCCATAGGGCTCTCACACTGCCTCCATCCTCTAGTGCCCAGACACAGGCCCCTACAGCCACCTCTGGGAAGGGCATCCTGTTGCTTTCGCCAAACCTTCTGGGCACCAATGCAAAACTCTCATCTTCATTGCTTAAGTTTCTCCTAAAACTCCTTAAGGAAATGAATTCATTCTGGGCTCTGATGCTTTCTCAGGCCTGCCAGGACACACCTACATTCAAATGCAGGCTCTTGCTTACAGCTGATGATGCATGCGTTGATGACAAGTGTGCACACCCGTGCCAATGTGTACTGGCAAGATGGCCAGAGCTCTTACAGGAACATAAATCATTGAGTAAAATATTGATTTGGTACTTTCTTTCAGTTACTTTTTTTTTTTTTTGAGAAAGACCCTACTCTGTCACCCAGGCTGGAGTGCAGTGGCATGATCTAGGCTCACTGCAACCCCCGCCTCCCAGGTTCAAGCAATTCCCCTGCCTGGGCCTCCTGAGTAGCTGGGATTACAGGCACCTGCCACCATACCTAGCTAATTTTTGCATTTTTAGTAGAGATGAGGTTTCCCATGTTGGCCAGGCTGGTCTTGAACTCCTGACCTCAGGTGATCCACCCGAAAATCCAAGTTATCCCTTTCCCTTGCCTGCAACATTTGCTCTCACTTGGGACTGCAACGCTTAACAGATTAAGACTGTCTTCTTTAAGGGTGTGTGTCGAGGGTGTTTGGTTTTCACTCATTTCCCAACACTAAGCTGAGGTTCTATCATTTGGAAGTTTCTGTACTTTCGGCTCATTCACGAGCATGTACCTGGGACAGAGCCGATGTGTGGTGTCTGTTAAAAGTAGGACGGTGTCTGTTAAAAGTAGGACAGTGTTTGCCACTGTCATGCCTCTCCCCGGGAAAGCTGGCCCCATCTTCACAGTGCGTGCACGCGCGTGACCACATTTGATCCTCAGGGCTACACTCTGAGATCACTGGGCCACGTGTCAGGTTTACACTCTTTTTAGAGATAAGAAAAATACAGATACAGAGGGCTTAAGTGGCTTTCTACAGTCACCAAGCCAGTGGTTGCAAATCTGGGTTTGAACTCAGTTTCTGACTTCAATTTGGGGCCTTTTGTGCCAACTGGGTTTAGACCAATGCCTACGTGATGTTTGCTCTGTGATGCTGTCATTCTGATTGAGAGTGGAACCGCTTAAAATAACACTGAATATGCTAACACGAGGCACTGGGGCACAGTGTAGACAGCTGGGCCCTGGAGCCAAGCCCCTCGGCTTCAAAACCCGGCTCTGTCGTGGACCAGCAGGACCACCTGAGCAAGGTGCTGCACTCACTTTGCCTCGGTTTCCACATCTGTGAAATGCAGGAGCTGATAGCATCTGCCTCACAGGGTTGTTGTGTGGAGTCAGTGAGCTCACCCACGTGCCGTGTATACAGTACCTGCTCAAGGATAAACACTCAGTTCATATTAACTCTTTATTAAGGTCTCATTTTTGAAAGCCTTGAGACCACTGGCTGCATTTTCCAGCTTTTCTCTAGTACCTGGTGTATGTAAGTACCAAGGGTTGTCTGCCTAGACTTGTAGGCAACATGATTGTAAAAAAGAGGGTTGTTTACCATCTGGAAATAGCATCGCTTGGATTGCAATCATATGCCTTGAGGAAGCCACCTTCTTGTAGTAGAAAAGTCAAAAGCCCTATTATTTTCTTTATATTCAAATTTCGCTCTTAAAAATCATTTAGCTTCGTAATAAAAAAGCAATTAAGAGAAAAACAAACAACCATGTTCCTTATTGTTAACAATCCTGTATCACGCTCTTAAAAATGTGTTAAGAGGGCAGATCTTATGGTCAGTGTTCTTTCTATGAAACAAAACAAAAACCAAATTACTAAGGTCTTCTTCTCCATCAGAAACCTTAGATTTCAGCTGTGGTTATAGTCTTGGCTAACTAAATATGGACGATCCTTTGGAAACATCTTTTCTCCCATGCTTGTTTTATGTTGCTACGGTTTGGCTGTGTCCCCACCCAAATCTCATCTTGAATTTTAGCTCTCATTATTCCCATGTGTTGTGGGAGGGACCTGGTGGGAGATAATTGGATAATGGGGGTGGTCTCCCCCAAACTATTCTCGAGGTAGTGGATAAATCTCATGAGATCTGATGGTTTCATAAGGGAAAGCCCCTTTTGCTTGATTCTCATTCTCTCTCTTGCTGCCACCATGTAAGACATGGCTTTCGCCTTCCGCCATGATTGTGAGGCCTCCCCAGCCACATGGAACTGTGAGTTGATTAAACCTTTTTCTTTATAAATTACCCAGTCTCGGGTATGTCTTTCCAGGCAGCATGAAAACAGATTAATACAACTTGTATTTGTAAGGCCCATTTTCCACAACTGCAGTTTAGTGGTCCCAGAACATAATCTTGTGATTGGGAACTGGGGTTCATTTCACTTGTTGGGCTTATCTGCCTGCAGGGCAGGAATAAGGGAGAAGCTACTAAGTGGACTTACTGCTCAGCTGCAGCCCTCCGCAAACAATCTCCCTCCTATTTTCTCCCGTGTACTTCCTGCGGGGGGTATTCAATGGTTCAAGAGAAGAAACTGCAGTCCTCATTTATCAGCGTCCTATTTCCTGTGACTTAGCCCAAATGTCTTTATGGCCCAAGTGAAAACATAATTCTCAAGTATAAAGAGAAAAATGTAAGGGAGAAAAGCTGACGGTTTACTGTGGATGGCTACCTGCATGACAGGTGGAATAGCTGTAGCTGCACCCAGAAGACAACTGACTTTCACCCTCAACAGCCCCTGCTGCCTTTCAGAACCCTCTCTGTGTGTGATGTAATAATGGGGCCCTGCCAGGTGTGGTGGCTCATGCCTGTAATCCCAGCACTTTGGGATGCCAAGGTGGGTGGATTATTTGAGATCAGGAGTTCAAGACCAGCCTGGCCAACATGGTGAAACCCCATCGCTATTAAAAAATACAAAAATTAACCAGGTGTGGTGTCTCACACCTGTAATCCCAGCACTTTGGGAGGCCGAGGCAGGCAGATCATGAGGTCAGGAGATCGAGACCATCCTGGTTAACATGGCGCCTGTAATCCCAGCTACTCGGGAGGCTGAGGCAGGAGAATCGCTTGAACACGGGAGGCAGAGGTTGCAGGGAACCGAGATTACGCCACTGCACTCCAGCCTGGGCGACAGAGCGAGCCTCCGTCTCAAAAAAATAAACAAATAATGGAGTCCACATGACTTTCAGAAGTGACAGGGCAGTGACCAGCAAGTGAGGCTCAGGGAAATCCAACTTTTATTTAGTTAGCCTGATATTTTTCCAGTTCATCAAATATGCATTCCCATGGAACTTGTGGGAGTTTTCATTCTCATGCCCAGTTGGCTGGAGGAACGGCCAGGGTAGGTGGCAGGAGGTGAGGCATGTTTGTGGCAGGGCCGGGCTTGAGCAAAGCTGAGGTCTGCCCTGAGCTCACTGCGAAGACTGATCTGCGTGGGTCTGCAGGTGAGTTAGGGGCCTGTGACCCGGCTGCCCAGCAGGCTCATCCTGATTCTACTGAAACCCGAGTCTGGGGCGCAGCCAGTCCGCGGGAGCACGAGGCAGGGCGTCTGGATGGTGAGCTGCATTTTTTGCTTCCTGCCTTCCTGACCATGGCAATCACGTGGAGCATGAGGGAGCCCGGGAGGTCGGACTGCAGTCCAGATTAGCTCGCGGTGAAGCTGCTGACGGGCAGCAATCAGACGCTGTTGCCAGGCTCTCAGCCCTCAGTCCTCCGGGCTAAGGGAATCCAGGTCACGTTCTGACTCGGGGAGCCTGTGCTTGCGGGAGGTGAGGCCTTAACCCAGCCTCGGCTGGGGAAGAATTGAGTTAGTTAAGTCAATTATGGTTATTCACTTCCCTTTGCCGGTGATTGGCTTTGGAATGGGCACGTGACATCATTCTGACCAATGAGAGGACGTCTGCTGTGAGGCAGGCTCTCCTGAGAAAGAACTCTGCTGCACTTAAAGGGGCCAGTGATGGACATTCTACCTTTGGACCTGTGGGTGCTGCTGGTTGAGGTGATGATACTTGGGGGTGCTGCAGCCACCTTGCCACGTTGAGTAGACAAAGCTGAGGTCAAGGCCAACCTGCCAAGGATGCCAAGAGATGATGGGAAGAACCAGTTCCCAAGTGGTCACTGACCCACTGAGGTTATCAACCTGGGTTTGTCTATTTCTGGACTTTTGGTAATATGAGCTAATAAATATCCAAGTGGGTAAGCCTTTTTGAGCTGGGCGTTTTTTCTCATGGAGGCAGCTTCCTGTTATAGGGGGCAGTGAAGAAGTCAGAGTTCATGGCTGAAAGCACAGGATGCAGACTTAGACAGACCTGAGTTCAGGTCCTTGCTCTGCCACCTACTTGCTGTGTGACCTTGGGCTTAGCTTCTCTGACCTTGAGTTTCTTCATCTGCCTCCAAATAAGGGAGAGCCCTGGCAGAATCATGGGAGGAACAGCGTGTGGAGCCCTCAGCACAGAGCCCAGCCCAGTGAGCAGTCAATAAATGTTAGCTCTCCCAAAGTTGGCAACCAGTCTGAAAGACTTCATGCCCAGTCTCACAGCAGAGCTCCGTAGCCCAGGATCTTCCAAGCACACGTTGCTCGTAGCCATGAAGAAATAAAAACAACCCATGTTTGGCCCAATCTTCTACACATTAGGGCTTTTGAGCCTTTCCTAGGGATACCAATTATGCAGCATTTTGTGCTAGGTGGATCTGGGATTGTTTTAAGCTCTCTTTCAAATGAAAGCAACAGTCTTTTTTAAAAAGTAAAAATAAAATGGACTCATCACCCAACAGTAATGCACATGTATGTTCATCAAAGAAAATATAGAGGGATCCACCGCTGTATGATTGGTACCAGCCTGTTATGGGGTTGAATTTTGTCCCCCACCCAAAAAGCTGCGGTAAGTCCTGACCCCAGGACCTTGGAATTGGCCTTATTTGGATGGAGGGTCTTTCCAGAAGTAACAAAGCTGAAGTGAGGTCAGTAGGGTAGACCCTAGTCCTCATCAGAAGGGAGAACTTGGACACAAAGAAACCCACAAAGGGAAGGCGATGTGAAGACACAGAAAGAAACGCCCACCTACAAGCCACAGAGTGAGGCCTGGAACACGTCCTCCCTCCCCACACAGCCTCAGAGGGAACCAGCCCTGCTGTTGCTATGATCTCAGATTTGCAGCCTCCAGAGCCATGAGATAATACGTGTCCGTGCTTTAAGCCGCCCAGTCTGTGGCACTTTGTTATGGTAGCCTGAGCAGACTAACACAGGCCCCAGGCTGGACACAACACAAATGCCCGTCAGGAGGTGCGCAGGTAAGTAAGTGGCGGTGAATTTATACAAGGCAGCCGTGAAACCGAACTACCTCCAACTAGAGGCAACATGGAAAATTCTCAGACATGAAGTCCAGCCAAGAAACCAGAGGCAGGAGTCCATCCTGCAGGAGTCCACCCACTGAGATAAAATTAACACGTGGGCAAAACCAACTGAGGGTGCCAGAAGGCAGAATAGTGGGGACCCCGGGGGCCAGTGATGGCAGGGAGCTCGGGGGCTTCTGGGGAGCTCGGGGGCTTCTGGGGAGCTCAAGTTCTCTGTGTTGACGTGGGTGCTGGTTGTACAGATGCAGGCAGGTTATCAAATCTTATTATCTCAACAGATATTCTTAAGAGGCAGCAGATACCCACTGGAATCCCTCGAAGCCTGGCAGCCCCCCACGGAGCAGAGGGGGCCCTGTGCATGAGGGTGGGTAGTCTCTGAGCACCTCCCCTCCTGCCACGAGCCCCTCGGGTGCCTCAGTATCCTCAGACACTGGTTAAGCGCACCCACTGTGATGATGAAAGGTGACTTTTACTCTGTCAGTCTCCTTTTCAGCCTCAAAATCACCAACTTCTCATCATTAAAACTGAGAGAGAGAGAGAGAGAGAGAGAACACCAAAGCCTCACCGTGGAAACACATGAACACGAATGAGCAGGTTTGCTTCCAAATTAGACCACATCCCAGTGTGGCCAGGGACCCAGCCCCCTTCTGTGATGGACACGCGTGCCCTTTCCCCACTCTTTCTTGAAAATGACTGTCCTTGATGTACACCGTCTTTCCCTGTTGTGAAGATGTGGGTTGAAGCAGGTTCGAGGAGGCTGAGTGAGAAGCCCAGTGCTACGGTTTGAGTGTTTGTCTCCTCTAGCATAGAAACTTAATTCCCGATGTGGCAGAAGTGATAGGTGGGGGCTTTAAGAGGTGATTGGGCCAAGAGGGCTCCGCCCTCATGAATGGATTAATCTGCTCAGGGATTGATGGGTTATGGTGGCAGTGGGACTGGTGGCTTTATAAGAAAAGAGAGAAAGCTAAGCCGGCACACTCAGTCCCTCGCCATAGGATGTCCTACGCCACCTTGGGACACCATAGAGGCCCCACCAGCAGGAAGGACCTCACCAGGCTTGCCCCTCCAACCTTAGACTTCTCAGTCTCCATAACTGTAAGAGACAAATTCCTTTTTAAAAATAAATTAGCCAGTTTCATGTATTCTCTTATAAGCAGCAGAAAAATGACCAAGACCCTCAGGATCCTACACTTGGCAGCAGCCAAGCCCACGCTGGGTCCTGGGTCCTTCCACGCAGCTGACAGCCCTTGGCTGTGCTGCCAATGCCTGCACACACCTTGGCTTTGACTACTGTGTTCGTTCATTTTATGTTGCTGTAAAGGAATACCTGAGGCTGGACAATTAATAAAGAAAAGAGGTTTAATTGACTCACGGTTCTGCAGGCTGTAGCGGAAGCATGCCATCTACTGCCATCTGCTTCTGGTGAGGCCTCAGGGAGCTGCCAATCATGGCGGAAGGTGAAGGGGAGCCAGTGCATCACACGGCAAGAGCAGGAGCAAGAGAGGTGCCAGGCTCCTTCAAACAACCAGCTCTCCAGTGAACTAACAGAGCAAGATCTCACTCATCTCCAAGGGTAGGGCCAAGCCATTCGTGAGGGACGCACCCCCATGACCCAAACACTTCCCACCAGGCCCCACTAACAACCCTGGGCATCACAGCTCAACATGAGATTTGGAGGAGACTCATCCAAACCATATCAAGTACCCTCCTCTCCCAGCTGCCTGCAGCCTCCCTCCTTTACAGTTTTGGCAGGGCCAAGCAGTGTCAGAAAAGCTCCTGGGACTCTGGAAGGGGAGCAGAGGGAAGGCTGGGTGGCGGGGTGCTGGATGCTCCAGGAGGTAGTAGAACTGGCTTCAGGTCGGGCCATAGACATTGATTCATTTAGAAAAATGTGCTAGTCCATGGCTTGCAGGCTCGCTCCCAAGACATTCTGGGGATCTGTTCTTTAAAAACATTTTCTCTATCTTCCTTGCCATAAACCTTCAGGTTAAGAAAAAGAGAGAACACCGCCTTTGGTTTGCTTCTTACAATAATTCCATGTGATCAGTGGAATCAGTTATTTCTATTCCTATTTCAGAGCTTCACCCTGTCGCCCAGCTGGAGTGCAAGGCACGACCTCAGCTCACTGCAACTTCCACCTCTCAAGTTCAAGCAATTCTCCTGCCTCAGCCTCCCGAGTAGCTGGGATTACAGACACACATGACCACACCTGTCTAATTTTTGTATTTTTAGTAGATATGGGGTTTCACCATGTTGGCCAGGCTGGTCTCAAACTCCTGAACTCAGGTGATCTGCCTGCCTTGGCCTCCCAAAATGCTGGGATTACAGGTGTGAGCCACCACACCCAGCCTCTGTTCCTATTTTATAAAGATGAGGAAATGGAGGCCACCGTCATGATGGATGAGTGGCACAACTGAGTCTGGAACCCAGGTATTCCGAGCCCCCATCCTTATCCTGTCCCTGAGTCAGTGGTGTGCTGGCCAGTGCTTAACAACTAGCTCCCTAAAACCATATGCCCTGGTTTGTAGCACCTGCCAGTTTCCATGGTGTAAATACTTGCAGCATGGCCAAGTGCATCCTGCCAACCTGATGACAATAGACTCACACATTCCTGAAAATTTAACATTTGGCCCTCGTGAGCCAGTGTGAGCTATTTTGAGCAAATCGCTGCCCTTGAGACTTCTATGTTAGTTTATTTTCTCTCTGTCCTGTCTGTCACAAGGACAGCATTGCCCAAACTCCGGTCACGCGCTACGCAGAACAACGATATGGTCAACAACAGACCACATGTACAATGGTGGTCCCGTAAGATTACAATGGAGCTGAAAAATCCCTATCACCTAGTGACGTGGCAACAGTTGTAACGTCATGGCGCACTTTATTTTTTCTTAGATTCAGAGCATCTTAAGTGTACAGTGTTTACAGAGTCTACAGTCACGTACGGGAATGTCCTAGGCCTTCACATTCACTCACCACTCACTCACCCACCACAGCAACGTCCAGGCCTGCAAGCTCCATTCATGGTACATGCCCTATACAGATGCACCATTTTTAAACTTTTATATGGTATTTTTACTGTACATTTTCTCTATTTAGATGTGTTTAGATACAGAAATACTCACCATTGTGTTACAATCACCTACTGTGTTCAGTGCAGTAACATGTTGTGGGTTTGTAGCCCAGGAGCAATAGGCCACACTATACAGCCCAGGTGTGTGGTGTGTGACACCATCTAGGTTTGGGTAAATCCAGTCTATGACGTTCACACAACCACAAAATCGCCTAAGGACACACTTCTCAGAAAGTGTCTCCTCATAGTTAAGCAATGCATGATGAATTTTGTGCAAAACATTTGTTTTCGTTTTGATCAGTAACTCAGAGATTGAAACAAAATTATGAACTGAACCCATAATTGATTCCTTTAATGTTTTCACTGTTCAGCCAATCAAATTTTTAAGGAAAAGGGTCCCCTCTCCACACCTAACCCCTTCCTGGCATCCAGGGTCTCAGGCGCCTCCTGTGGGACACCTTGAGGCACCACAGTGTCGAGCAGGGAGGTTGTTCATAGGACAAGCCAGGCAGGATAGGCCAGAGGGCATCAGTCCTGTAGGGTGGGCAGTGGGCATGTGTGGTTGGCTGATTGCAGGGGACAGGCCTCTATGGATTTGAACAGGAAAGATGGGGCACTTAGCTCCCAACCCTAGAAAGGTATCGAGTTTGTGGTGGCTCCCAAGGAAGCTGCCTGCCTGTGGGGTCAACATTCCAGCCCCCATGGTCTCTCGGCTGTGGCGTCAGGGACATCTGTATGATGTAAAATTTAAAAGCCTCGTCTGAAGACAGGCTGCCTGACTTCAAAATCCACTTCTGCATTTATTCCCTGGGTAATTTGGGACAAATTATGTTGATTTCTAGTGCCCCGGTTTCCTCATCTGTAAAGCAATGGTCATAATAGTGCCTACTTCATAAAATGGTTGAGATAATTTAATGAAGATAAACTTGGAAGAGTGCCTGGTGAGCTATAATAATTATTGTTATTTCTCATTCCTGTGGCTCCCACATAACCCTTCAGGATTGATCTCCTCACTCTGTGCTCTAATAACATCGTCCCTCCCACATCCTAGAACAGAACCTCCCTGTTCCCTCTGTCCCTCATCTCTCTCCCATGCCAGGCTGTGGTCACCCTGGACCCAGCAGAGCTCCCAATCTTGGGTAGCAAGGGATGGAAGCTGGACAATATTGGAGTTGTGTCCATCACAGCTGCCCCACTTATAGGTTCGCTGCTGCTAAAGCCATAGCCTGGATGTCGTGGGGACAGTTTACCAGGCACTAGCTGTGTTTTCTAACTCCCACTGGCAACAGGAGGGTGGGAAGGGATGCACGGCCCCCACGTCCATGCTCTAGCCCTGGGAGAGGCTGCCAAGCTCCTGCATTGAGCTTCCTGCCCAGACACCCCTGGTCCCTGCCCAACACCTGAGCTGGACGCTAGGGTGGCCAGAAGCTGAGAGCCAGGCAGCAGTTGCTCCCGGTGGCCCCGGGAATTCACAGCTTGCTTTCCTGAGATGCTGGCAGCACTTCTGAGCATCTCAGGCCTGGTGATAACACTGGGGCGGCGAGCTGGGTGGGAGCAGGCCTCCGTGCTTGTCTGTTTGCAAACACAGATGCTTATCTGGGCCTGGCACATGTTCTGATTCTGCCTGAGAATCTGGGCAGGTCCAGACAACCAGCTGGAGCCACCGCACCCAGCTAGCAGTGGCCCTGGAGATCCGCACCCAGCTAGCAGTGGCCCTGGAGATGTGGGAGAAAGACAGAGTCAGCCAGGCCCTCCTGAGTTAAGAGGGGGCTCCCCGGGGCAGGGGGAGCCTTGCCGTTGAGGAGACCAGTGGAACGGAGTTGAGGGGTGCACTCAGCTAGGACACCCTGCTTGCTCTGCTCAGAGCCCTCCTATATTACTCCATTCTCATGCTGCTATGAAGAAATACCTGAGACGGGGTAATTTATAAAGAGAAGAGGTTTAATTGACTCACAGTTCTGCATGGCTGGGGAGACCTCAGGAAACTTACAATCATGGCGGAAGGGGAAGCAAACACGTCCTTCTTCACACGGCTGCAGCAAGGAGAAGTGCTGAGCAGGAGGGGGAAAAACCTCTTATCAAACCATCAGATCTCATGAGAATGCACTATCACGAGAACAGTATGGGGGTAACCACTCCCATGATTAAATTACCCCCACCAGGTCCCTCCCATGACATGTGGGGATTATGGTAGCTACAATTCAAGATGAGATTTCGGTGGGGATACAGCCAAACCATATCATTCCTCCCCTGGCCTCTCCCAAATCTCATGTCCTCACGTTTCAAAACCAATCGTGCCTTTCCAACAGTCCCTTAAAGTCCTAGCTCATTCCAGAATTAACCCAAAAGTCTAAGTCCAAAGTCTCATCTGAGGCAAGGCAAATCCCTTCTGCCTATAAGCCTGTAAAATAAAAAACAAGTTAGTTACTTCCTAGATAAAATGGGGGTACAAGCATTGGGTAAATACAGCCATTCCAAATGAGAGAAATTGGCCAAAACAAAGGGGCTGCAGGCCCCATGCAAGTCCAAAATCCAATAGGGCAGTCATTAAACTGTAAGGTTCCAAAATGATCTCCTTTGATTCCGTGTCTCACATTCAGGTCATGCTGATGCAAGAGGTGGGCTCCCATGGCCTTGGGCAGCTCTGCCTGTTTGGCTTTGCAAGGTATAGCCCCTCTCCTGGCTGCTTTCATGGCTGGCCTTGAGTGTCTGCAGCATTTCCAGGTGCATGGTGCAAACTGTTGGTGGATCTACCATTCTGGAATCTGGAGGATGGTGGCCCTCTTCTCACAGCTCCATTAGGCAGTGCCTCGGTGGGGACTCTCTGTGGGGGCTCTGACCCCACATTTTCCTTCCACACTGCCCTAGCAGAGGTTCTCCATGAGGTCCCTGCCCATGAAGCAAACTTGGCTGGACTGGACGCCCAGGCATTTCCATACATCCTCTGAAATCTAAGTGGAGGTTCCCAAACCTCAATTATTGACTTTTGGGCACCCACAGGCTCAACACCATGTAAAAGTCACCAAGGCTTGGGGCTGGTACCCTCTGAAGCAATAGCCTGAGCTGTACCTTTGCCCCTTTTAGCCAAGACGGGAGCTGAAGCAGCTGGGATGTAGGGCACCATGTCCCAAGGCTGCACAGAGCAGGGGGACCCTGAGCCCAGCCCAAGGAAACCATTTTTCCCTCCTAGGCCTTTGGGTCTGTGATGGGAGGGGCTGCCATGAAGGTCTCTGACATGCCCTGGAGACATTTTCCCCATTGTCTTTGGGATTAACATTAGGCTCCTCATTACTTATGCAAATTTCTGTAGCGGGCTTGAATTTCTCCCCCCAGTGGGTTTTCTTTTCTATTGCATGATCATGCTGCAAATTTTCCAAACTTTTGTGTTCTGTTTCCTCTTGAATGCTTTGTAGCTTAGGAATTTTTTCCACTACATACCCTAAATCATCTCTCTCAAGTTCAAAGTTCCACAGATCTATAGGGCAGGGGAAAAATGCCAGTCTCATTGCTGAAGCATAGCAAGAGTCACCTTTGCTTCAGTTCCCAAGAAGTTCCTCTTCTCCATCTGAGACCACCTCAGTCTGGACTTCATTGTTCATATCACTATCAGCATTTTGGTGAAAACCATTCAACAAGTCTCTAGGAAGTTCCAAACTTTCCCACATTTTCCTATTTTCTTCTGAACACTCTAAACTGTTCCAATCTGCCTGTCATCCAGCTCCAAAGTCACTTCCACATTTTCAGGTGTCTCTTCAGCAACGCCTCACTCTACTGGTAGCAATTCACTGTATTAGTCTGTTCTCACACTGCTATGAGGAAATACCAGAGACTGGGTAATTTATAAAGGAAAGAGGCTTAATTGACTCACAGTTCCACTTGGCTGGGGAGGCCTCAGGAAACTTACAGTCATGGTGGAAGGGGAAGCAAACATGTCCTTCTTCACATGGCAGCAGGAGAGAGAAGTGCCAAGCAAAGGGGGAAAAGCCCCTCATAAGACCATCATATCTCATGAAAACTCACTCTATCACTCTATCACTATCAAGAGTACAGCATGGGAGTAACTGCTCCCCATGATTCAATTACCTCCCACCAGTCCCCTTGTATGACACATGGGGATTATGGGAACTACAATTCAAGATGAGATTGTGGTGGGGATACAGCCAAATCATATCACCCCCCTGCATGGTGATGGGCCTGACTCTCTCCTCCTTATACAGCTGGAGGAAGAGGAAAAGAAGGACTATGAGACGAGACTGCCCCATCATGGCACAGTGTGTGCTGGCAGGAGGGGCCTGGGTAGAACATCCCACCAACACACCTGCCATCATCTGCAGGACTGCTCACAAGCACTTGCTCAATGCTGGGCAGTCCATCCACTCAGGGCTCACAGTGTCACATGTAACCTTTCAAACAATCCCATGCTGGGGACTATTTTTATGCCCACTTTATGGATGAGAAAATCAGGACTCAGCGTGATGAAGGCAGTGGCCCCACACCAAGGAGCTCATAAGTGGTGAAGTCAGGGTTTGACCTAGTCTTACACCAATGGTCCTGTTCATGGAACCGAGTGATTCTACATTTTCTCTGGAAGAAGGAGCAGACAAAAATGTAGACACAAAGAAGATAAACAGGAGGTGGATAGGTGGAGAGTTCTATGAGGACCAAACGCAAGATTATTGGCAGAGGAAATGCATACGTGTTAGACCAAGAGGATGCACTCATTCTCAGGGTGGCCATTGCAGACTACCATAGACTGAGTGGCTTAAAAAAACAGAAATTTATTCTTTCACAGTTCTGGTGGCCAGAAGTCTAAAATCAAGGTGTGGATAGGACCATGCTCCCTGCAGAGGCTCTAGGGCACAATCCTTCTTGCCTCTTCCAGCTCCTCGTGGCTCCAGGCATACTTGGCTTGTGGCCGCTTCACTCCAGTCGCTCCATCTGTCCTCATGTGGCTTCTTCCTTCTCTCTGTCTTTCAGTGTCCAAATCTCCTTCTCCTTTCCCTTATAAAGACACTCATCATTGGATCACCCTAATCCAACTGATCTCATCTAGAGACCCTTAACTAATCACATCTGCAAATACTCTATTTTGAAATAAGGTCATATTCACAGGCTTTGAGTGGACATGAATCTAGGGTGTGGGAATGACACTATTCAAGCCACTTCAGGGGACGTGGCTTTCTACAGTCTTACCACAAGGGGAAATGCTGGCTTTCTGTGAATCTCCCACCAATGTTTTTCTCTCTCAGCTTAAGTGGTAACACCCTGGACTCAGCTTTGGATGTCCTCAAATCGCATTCATATAGAGTCCAGGGCAGAGAGAAACAAATTTTTCATCTGTGTATTTCTTTTAAAATCGTCTTTAAATTATCTTGGCATGTGGCACCTCTGCTACGTTCATCTGGAGCTTGTTCAGATAAAAAAGCCACATCATCAAAACTTTTATCAGCAGGACAGACAGCAGCGGAAACGCAGCAGAGACTTCCCCCAGAATTTCCTAGAAAATATTATTGTTTTCTCTGCACATCTGAATCACCATTGCTGAAGTGCCTGTGGGAGTCCACTGCAAGGTTCAAGGGGAAAAGTTTTGATGTTTGAGGGCTGGTATGGACGTTTTGCCCCAGAAGACCTGCCTGTAATCTGTTCCCAGGCTAATATTCAAAGATGGTTGTGGATTTAGTTAATATTCTTGGGGGTGGTTCACAGTTCACCTCCAAGGGTATCCAGGAGGAATGTTAATCTACTGTCCCCATTTTTGTGTTTTTAAGAGGAAGATTCTGGCTGGGCACAGTGGCTTACAGTGCTTGCCTGCAGTCCCAGCACTTTGGGAGGCTGGAGTGGGAGGATGGCATGAGGCCCGGAGTTTGAGACCAGCCTGGGCAACATAGAGATCTCATCTCTACTAAAAATACTTTTTTTTTTAGATTAGCTGGACGTGATGGTGTGCACCTGTAGTCCCAGCTACTGGGGAGGCTGAGACAGGAGGACCACTTAAGCCTAGGAGGTTGAGTCTGCAGAGATCTGTGATTGTGCCACTGTTCTCCAGCCTGAGTGATGGAGTGAGGCTCCATCTGTGGAAAAAAAAAAAAAAAGGAAGAGGAAGATTCGGTGGGTTTTTATGGGGTATTGGCACGGGTGTCTCCTCCAGGATGACCTTTCTGTCTTCAGATCATTACGCATTCACTAAACGAGACCTGCGTCCTGGCCACAGCTGGGCTGCACCTGTATTCCCAATGGCCTCTGCACGTGGGCAGGCCAGGCAGGTGGTGTAAGCCAGACACACCAAGGGGAACCAGGTAGGTGGGGAAGCCAGGAGGATGGAACAACAAACACCAGATCGTGAGCAGGACGGTGAGTTGCACGGCTGGGCAGAGAAACCCGTGTGTCCAGTAAATCCTCCCCCGGAGCGCTTGACAGAAAACCGTCAAGGAGACTCCTTTTTACTTGTGTGCAGACTTTGCAGATTTCAGAAATAATATCTTTACACTGCCCATGTCAGCATTACATTATCCCTGCCTAGAAATTCTAGGCGGCCATCCATGACTTGGAAACAGTAGAAGCCCAATGCATCTGTGATGGTGAGTTAATCCATGAAGATTTAAGGCTTCTATTTTAACACAAAAACATAGAAATGTGCATTTATTTGCCAATAGTTCAAGAGACAAACAAGATCTTTTCTTTGAGTGTGCACATCCTGATTGATGTCCCGCTTTTCTTTCTTGCATAACCTCGTCCAAAAGGTATCTGTGTGACTTCACGTCTATTTATGTAACGTGGATTGAGGACGCAAAGGGATCTGTGAAGAAAAGCATGAGCACAGGGTTCTTGCATGCATTTCGTGATTTATCACTCAAATCTTTCACTTGTCTGGCCTACATGTACTTTGATGGCTTTTTTTTTTTGTTTTTGCAACCTGCTTTTATTAAATCTTTCCAAAGCATTGAAAGTATTTTTCCTAGAAATGATTTTTGCATTCATATCCCATTGGTTGAGATTATATTTCATTAAACCATACACTGCCAGTTGCAGATACAGCTGGCAAAAGCAGGTTTGGGAATGTAGACAGCCAAGTCTCAGAAACAGGTGGAAGGGGCGTGAGTGTACCACCACTCTCTGACATTCAGTGTGGTCAGGGTTAGTGCATTTCACAGGAGGAAAGAGGGACACCTTTACTTTTATTTCTTTTTTTAGGTTTTATTTTCAGTTCTTATTTTTCGAGATGGAGTCTTACTCTGTCATCTAGGCTGGAGTGCAGCGGCATGATCCTGGCTTACTGTAGCCTTGAACTTCTAAGCTCTAGGGATCCTCCCACTTCAGCCTCCCAAGTAGCTGGGACTACAGGCATGCATCACCACACCAGGCTAATTTTTAAACATTTTTGTAGAGACAAGGTCTCACTATGTTGCCCAGGCTGGTCTCGAGCTCCTGTGCTCAAGCCATCCTCCTGCCTTGGCCTCCCAAAGAGCTGGGATTACAGGTGCCAGCCACCACCCCCAACCAGGAATGCCATCAAACCCGGGAGTTGGAATATTCACTGCACAAGTCTCTCAGCAATGACTCCCTCACCACACTTCTGGAAGACGCCTGGCTACACAAAATCTAAATTCCTCAGAAAGAACTTCACCAGGTGGTTCCTGAATGCAGAATAGGTGCTCTTCAAAGATCTACTTCCTGGGCTACAGGCTTTCTGCCAGCAGAAGTTCTTTTTAGATGTTTCTTCATTCAGAAAATACATGTATCAGTTTCCCAGGCCTGCTGCAACAACTGTTCACAAACTGGATGGGTGAAAACAGCTAAAATTTATTTTTGCACAGTTCAAGAGGCCCGAAGTTAGACATGGAGGTGTTGGCAGCCCTGGTTCCCTCTGGAAAAGCATTCACCTCTCCCCGGCTTCTGGTGTCTGCGGACAGTGCTTGGCATTCTTGGGCCGAGGCAAGCATCCCTCCCGCCTCGGCTCTGTCTTCACAGTGCCTCCCCATTGCACCCCTGGGTCTCACGTCCTCCTTCCTTTTCTTTTATAAAGACACCAATCACTGGATTTAGGGCCCATCCTCAATTCAAGATAATCCTATTTCCAAATCTATAATTGGATTACACCTGCAAAGACCTATTTCTAAATAAGGTCGCTTCCTTGGACATATCTTTTTGGGAGACACTCCTCCACCCCTCCCAATGTGCCGTGTCTCCTGTCTCAGCAGCTGCGAGGCATTTGGCCAGGTGCTAGGGATATCATCATGAGTGAAACAGACGAGGTCTTGGTCCTCATGAAGTCAACAGACCAGTGGACAAGCCCGGCGCGACGGTGAATAACACGCATCACGAGGAATCGTGTGTAAATAGCATCCCGTGGTAGTCATCTGGGCTGCTGGAGATGCCTTCCTTGAAAAAGTTCCCTTGAAGAAGGTCCTTAATATGGACTTTGTTGCCTTTAAGCCAAGCCTCACTGTATTCATTTATTCTCGCATTGCTATAAAGAATTATCGGAGACTGAGTAACTTATAAAGGAAAAAGGTTTACTGGACTCACCGTTCTGCAGGCTGTACAGGAAGCACGGCTGGGGAGGCCTCAGGAAACTTACAATCATGGCAGAAGGCGAAGGGGAGGCAGGCACATCTGACATGATGGCAGGAGAGAGACAGAGCGAGAGAGAGCGCTCAAAGGGGAGGTGCTATGCACTTTTAAACAACTGGTACTCACCATCATGTGAACACCAAGGGGAAAATCCGCCCCCCATGATCCAATTATCTCCTACCAGGTCCCTCCCCAACACTGGGGATTATCAATCAACATGAGATTTGGGTGAGGACACAGACCCAAACCACATCACTCACCTTTGATGGGGAATCACAGAACAGTGGGCTGGATGGCTTTGGACCAGCCTGACAAGCTCCCCCGAGGGCCCAGGCATCTTACTGCCATGCAGGAGTCTTGGATCTGCTATTTTCTGGCTGCGTGACCTCCAGCAACTTACTTAATCCTTCTAAACCTCAGTTGAACTGTCCATAAAATGGGAGGATAATACAACCTGCCTGGCAGTGTGGATGCCCCCTAGGGCTTCCTTAGCCCAGTGCCTGGCCCCTAGTAAGTGCTCAAGAAACAGAAGTGGTTTTATGGTCAGAAAGACAAGTGTCCTTGTCAGAGCCTGGGATCTTCTCCAGGCTTCTTAGTTATATGTCTGAGGATGACAGTGCTCTTTTCTTCTCTTTCTCCTTTTCCTTTGTAACCTTTAAATTGTATGCCAGATGCGGTGGCTCACACCTGTAATCCCAGCACTTTGGGAGGCCTAGCCGGGAGGGATCACCTGAGGTCAGGAGATTGAGACCATCCTGGCTAACATGGTGAAATCCTGTCTCTACTAAAAATACAAAAAATTAGCCGGGCGTGGTAGCAGGCGCCTGTAGTCCCAGCTACTCGGGAGGCTGAGGCAGGAGAATTGCTTGAACTTGGGAGGCAGAGGTTGCAGTGAGCCGAGATCGTGCCACTGCACTCCAGCCTGGGCAACAGAGTGAGACTCTGTCTCAAAAAAAAAAAAAAAAAAAAAAAAAGTATGCCTTGCAGGACTGTAGGGGAGCATTTGGCCCCTTCTTTTCTGGCGGGTCCCACAACCTCTTGAGTCTGCGCCTCCTTACCCACCCTCACTGCTCTCACTGCTGCACCCTCCATGCCGGGAACAGTGAACAGATTCCAGTCCCCCTGCACTGTCGAGGACTCAAGCAGCCCCTGAGCAGCTGGGCAGGTGGCAGGGCTACTGAGCCAGTCCAGCCGGCTCCACAGCCTGGCTACCCTTGAGCAGCTCTCAGACCTTAGGAAGTGACTTGACCACTCAGTGCCTCAGTTTCCCCATCTGCAAAAGGAGGCTGATCATAATGGTGCTCACTGCTGGGACTGGTGAGAGAATGAGAGGGGCCGATGCATGGAGACTCCCATGGGTACGTCCTGGCAGGTAGGGGCGCTCAGGATCGGCTACCTTTGCTTTCCCAGCTCAGGATCTGCTCTGAAGTGAGTGGTTGGTTGTCTGTGTGTGGTTGTGTGTGTGGTTGTGGTTGTGGGTGGTGGTGGTGTGTGTGGGGTTGTGTGTGGTTGTGGTGATGTGTATGTGGCTGTGTGTGGTTGTGGGTGGTGGTGGTGTGTGTGGGGTTGTGTGTGGTTGTGGTGATGTGTATGTGGCTGTGTGTGGTTGTGGTTGTCTGCATGTGTGTGGTTGTGTGTGTTTGTGGCTGTTGTGTGTGTGACTGTGTGTATGGTTGTGTGTGTGGTTCTGGTGGTGTGTTGTGTTTTGTTGTGTGTGTGGTTGGGTGTGTGGCTGTGGCAGTTTGTGTGTGGTTTTTTTTGGTTGTGGTGGTGTGTGTGTGGTTGTGTGTGTGGATGTGGTGGTGTGTATGTTTGGTTGTGTGTGTGGATGTGTGTGGTTGTATCTGTGTTTTTTTGTGATTGTGGTGGTGTGTGTGGTGTGTGTTTTGGTTGTGTGTGTGGTTGTGGTGGTGTGTGTGCAGTGTTTTGTTTGGTTGTGGTGTGTGTGTGTGGTTGTGGTTGGGTGTGTGTGTTTGTGTGTGTTTGTGGTGGTGTGTGTTTGTGGTGGTGTGTGGTGTGCGGCTTTGTGGGGTTTGTGTGTGTGGTTGTGGTATGGTGGTGTGTGGTTGTGTGTGTAGTTGTGTTTGTGGTTGTGTGTGGTTGTGTATGTTCTTGTGTGTGGTTGTATGTGTATGTGGTTGTGTGTGGTTGTGGTTGTGTGTGTGGTTGTGGTTTTGTGTGTGGTGTGTTTATATGTGTGCGGTTGTGTGTGTGGTCATTTGTGTATGCGTGTGGTTGTGCGTGTGGTTGTGTGTGTTTGTGGTTGCGGTGGTGTATGTGTGGTGTGTGTGTGGTGGTGGTGGTGGTGTGGGTGTGTGTGTGTCTCCTGCATGTGACATTTCCCCACAGGCCTCACGAGTTGGAGTCCTGGGTGTCCACACGTGTGTATGCCTGTACGGAGTCCACACACAGACTGCAGTGTGATTTATGCAGAAGTTGTAAATTAGCAGTTCTTAGGCCAAACCTGGTCCATAGATGTTTTCTGTTTCCCCAGAATTTGAGTCTTTACATTTTTTTTTAAATCTAGATTTCCAACACCAATGAAAAGTCATATGTCCCAGCATACGTTCACCAAATGGCGACATTCAGCGGAACGGAGCAGCGGCTTCCCCTTTTCAGATGAGGCCTGCAGTCCCAATTTGCCCCAGTCTCCACTACTCCCTATTGTACACACCTGGTCTCACTGAATCATGTACCTGTTTCAACCCAGCTGACACGCATACTGGTTTCCAGCCTTTTCAAGGTTTGGGCCACTTTGCACTACGTGAATGTGGGTTCCCAGGAATCCTCACAATGCCCAGTGCTGAGCAGGTACCACCAGGGTCCTCATGAAGTGGAAAACAGCACTGGAGTGGGTAGCTCCCCACCTCTCCAGGTAGCACTTGACACCGTGGCCTCTGAACTGTTCAGCAGTTCTAAATTTGAGCTAAATTTTTCTTATGATCAAGCTGAAGAGGGTGAATTCCAGGCTGGCCATTGACAAATTAGTTAGTAAACGCTTTGCTCCGGCAAGAGGCAGCTGTCTGCCTTGAAGCACCAGTGTGATGGCCAGGGATGAAGGCCGCCTCTGTCTCGGGGACTGTCAGCCCGGAAGCCGGGGACTGGGCTCCCTGCCGGAGCTCTGGGGTGCAGTTGTAGCCCACTCACAGCTCCCGACCCCTCTTCTGTGGCAGGAGAAAGGGCAGCAGGCCAAGAAAGCATTCTTCTCTACCTCCTTAATGAAAACCCTGGGCCGGCTGTCTTTCACCCAGGGGCCAGGACCAGCCTGCCTGTGTTTGAATTAGAGGCTGCCACGCCCTTTCGACAGCAGGAGGCCAGGCGGCTGTGCTTCCTCCCTGTTCTGTGTGGCTCACAAAGCCACCTCCAACTCTCCTCCTGAGCCTGGGGAATGACAGACTGTGGCAGGTGGCTGATAAATGGAGAAATGCAGAGGAAAGTGGGGCGCTAGATCCTCAGCAGGTGCAGCCCCGGGAGCCTGCCGCGTGCACACGCTCCTGCCTCAAGCTTGCCCTTCTCTGAGCATCTCAGTTTGTGAAACAGGATCCTGCAGTCCACACGTGGGCTGCCTGTCTCCTGCCACCGCTGGCATTCTTGGGGTGCAGATAAGAACATTTTCCTATCCTCATGTCTTTAAGCATCTACAGGGATCCCTCCTGTGCCCAGGGCTCGCCCTAGCCACAGGATTGCCAGAGAAAATATAAAAATACAGTTAAATTTGAAATCCAGATAAACAATGAAACAATTTTTAGTATAAGTATGCCTCAAATATTTTATAGGACATACTTATACTAAAATATCATTTATTGCTTATCTGAAATTCATATTAACATGAAGTCCTGAATTATTATTATTATTATTATTATTATTATTATTATTATTTTGAGACAGAGTCTCACTCTATCCCCCAGGCTGGAGTGCAATGGTGTGATCTTGGCTCACTGCAACCTCCACCTCCCAGGTCCAAGAGATTCTCCCACCTCAGCCTCCTGAGTAGCTGGGATTACAGGCACCCACCACCACGCTCGTCTAATTTTTGTATTTTTAGTAGAGATGGGGTTTCACCACGTTGGCCAGGCTGGTTTCGAACTCCTGATCCCAGGTGATCCACCCACCTCTGCCTCCCAAAGTGCTGGGATTACAGGCATGAGCCACCATGCCCGGCCCTGAATTTTTATTTGCTATGGCAAGCCCGCCTTGTCCCATGAATGGGGGAAGGGTGTTGGAGCCCATTGCCTGGGTTTGAATCCCAGCTTGGCCACCGACAGGCTGTGTGACCCTGGGCAAGTTACTCAACCTCTCTGTGACCCAATTTCTACATCTGTCTATTGAGATAATAGTGGTGCCCACCTAACAGGAGTGTTGACAGGGAGCAGTGACTGTGGTGGCGCGTGGGAAAGTCCCCACACGGACCAGCCCTGGCTCAGCCTTGGTCGTTATTACCCAGTGTTGTTCAACAATGTCCACGCACAGAGGGTCCTCGCGACCCTGCTAATGCTAGTCCTCAACCTCAGCACTTGGCTTTCTCCACTCCAGCTGCCCTGAGCTTCCTTCAAGCACCAGAAAGGGCCACCTTCCCCTCCGCACCTGTACCTGTCCCATGCCGCCCCCTCTGTCTGGATGGTTATTTCTCTCCGTCATCTGATCAATTCTCTCTTATCTCACATTTAAGATCCAAGGTCATGTTCCCCACTCAGTCAGCAAATATTCATTGAGCACCTATTACAGGCAGGCTAGGGGGCAGCCAACGACGGCTCTGGGACTGAACCCAGATCTAGTCTGCCTGCGAATAACTATTTTTACATTTTCAAATAATTAGAAAAAATCAAAAGAAGACTACTTCGTGACACATGAAACTCAGAGGAAAGTCAACTTTCAGTGTCTACAAATAAGGCTTTATGGGAACACGGCTGCGCTCCCTCACCGAGATATCATCTGTGGCTGCTGTGTGCCCTGGCGGCAGGGTGGAATGCTTGCCACAGAGACCGCAGGGTCTGCAAAGGTTGAAGTATCTGTTACCTAACCAGGGACAGAGAATGCAGAGAATGCATATGCCGACCCTGATCTAGACGCCGGGCATAGGGTGATTAAAGCAAACAGAGAAAAGCAACCCCAAAACCCACACAAAACTCTTTGGTCTCAGAGAAGCAATATTTGGGTGGGAAAAGAGACAGGGGTGTGTGCGAGAGAGAAACAGAGAGAGAGAGAGAGAGAGGCGCGAGTCAGATGATTCAGAAGCTTGGGGCTGTGCTATCAGGAGGATGGGTGTTAACTGTTCTGGTGGGGACAAGTGTGGAAGGAGATGGTGTGTGGAGGAAGACTAAGAGTTTGTTTGGGGACTTGAAGATTTTGAGAGGCCTCTCGGGCATGCCCATGGCGATACTGATGGGGCAGGTGTGCAGGTGCATCTGAAGAAATAACTTTAGAGTCATCAGTTTATAGATGGTCTTGACCCGGGGCATGAGTCTAAAGAGAGAAAATCCTTTCCTGACCTCAAGCCTAAGTCACGTTCCCCTGGAAGATAACAGATGTTCGCTATGCTTCTCTGATGAACAGACTCTGGTTTTTAATTGTTTCAGACCATGGGTTCTGTAGCTTGACTGCCTGGATTCAAATCTCAGCTTGATGACTGAAAAGCGGTGTGGCTTTGAGCAAGTGGCTCACCCTCTCTGTGCCTCTGTCTTCATCTGCAAACTGGGAAGAATAATGGTACTGCCTGATGGGCTTGCTTCCACGATTTAGTAAGCACATCTGTGTAAAGTGCTTTGAACAGTATCTGAAGCATAATCAGTAGCATATAAAGATGCTATCTACCATGATTATTCCGTAATGAGACTCTGAGCTCCCTGAGGACAGGATCTGGTCTCGCCTTCTCATCACTGCATCTCCCACTGCCCAGCACAGTCTCTGCACACACATGGCCGTGGGATCATTGCATCAATGGCTTTGGAAGGACAGAGGGGCAGTTGTCCCCTCCTCTAGGGAGTGACCTGAGTGTGAAGGGGCTGTGGAGGGGAGGGGCGGCCAGGGCTGTAGGAGGAAGGCTACCCAGAGTCCACCGAGGGAACAACGTGCTCAGGGGACAGAGAGGAGAGGTGGGCAGGGCACAGCAGCCCTTGGGCCAGGAGGGCAGGTTGCGGCTGAGCCACGGAAGATCCTCAACATCGAAGTATGGAGACTGATCTTTATTTTTTGAGAAGCAGGGAGTTACAAATTTGTCTTGGCAGGGACAGAGCATCTTGGAGGTTGAGAGGGTGAGGCCAATTCAATTTGGGGAACTCCTAGTATATTAATAAAACAAACAACTGCCAAGACAGGGTTCTGAAAATCTGGGGCTTATTTAAATGTTAACCCTGCCTGGGTGTGGCTCTATTATAAACCTCAAAGAGAGGCAGGCAGGCAGATAGAGTGAGTGACCCGTTAGTGGTTGTGAGATCATTTTAGACTTCAAACCAGAGTTTCTTATCTGAACCATAACATGTAGAAAATGATCTAAGCAAATACTTTCTCAATTCTCACAAAAATGGATTATAACTAGTACCCCTCTAGGTGCCTAGGATAAAGGTTGATGATTGATATACAATGAATGGCTGAGAACGTTCAAGCTTAATTCTCTCTGGATCCTGGTTGAGAAAAAAAGTCTAGAAAAGCAAAGCTAAGGTGGAAGGATGAGTAGGGAATAAGGTAAGTTAGAATCTGGGATAGGACAGGGTGAAATTGAGTAGAGTAAGATTGGTAGAAAGGAATAGGATAGAATAGAATAGAGTAGAGTAGAGTAGAGTAGAGTAGAGTAGAGTAGAGTAGAGTAGAGTAGAGTAGAGTAGAATAGAATAGAATAGAATAGAATAGAATAGAATAGAATAGAATAGAATAGGCTAGGCTGGCATGGAACAGAATTGCCCAGACTGAAATAAACTAGAATGGGAAATATCACAGGGCTGATGCATGGCACGTGTGTAGGTTCCTGACCCTGTGTCACTGGATGTGTGCAGATTGTGATAGAAAGTGAATCCCTTTCTCTGAGAAGCAGCCAAAAGTGCTTTTGAGGTAAAATGAAACTGACGGGTCTCGACTCTCAGGGCCCTCCATTACCAAATACACGTGAGATCCAACCACACGCCCCCTCTCCAACCCCGACTCCTCAGAAGAGGAGTGATCAACTTGTACCTCCCTCAGGATGTCCTTAGGACAAGACATGGCAAACCTTTACGAGAAAGCCCGACACCCAGTGGCCAACGCGTCAGCTGTCAGGCTTAGGAGATAAGGTTGGCCTTTTATAGTGTTAAGTCTTTGTGAATTGGATCCTATTCCCCAGCAAGATTGAACCCACCCAGGGAGGGATGCAACAGGGTTTGCGAGGTGGGATTGGAGAGGTGAAAAACCTGGAGCCACAGTGAATCAAAAGAGCGTTGCCTTGCGATTTCCAGGGAGGAGCCGTGCAGACCTGAATTAAGGCAGAGACCTTGCCAATGGGAAAGGGGTGAAGTTAAGACGTGTGTCAGCAAGACTGGGATTCTGGAGGTGAGAGAGGAAATGTAGCAGTCAAGATTCAGTTACATGAATAGAAGTCACTCCAGCTACCTTACACAGGAAGGGATTGAATGCAGGGGATTGGGTGCTCACACTCGCTGGAAGGCCTGGTTGCATAGGGCCCCTGAATCCTGCAGAACTGGCCCCTCAAGAGACCTCTCCCACAGCAGGGTCTGCTCACATGAGGAAGACACTTTGGCTATGACCCGAGGGTCAGGAAGAATCCACCACCGACTCACAAACATCAGCTCTAAATTCATGGTATGTGCAAACTCACATGCCCTGGATGGATGTTCGCACGACTCCACCACTTATGAGCTGTGTGGTCTCTGAAAGCTTATGTAACCTCTCTGACTCTATTTGCTCGATTTAAACATGAAGATGAAAATAATAGTGCTTAATTTATGGTTTTAAGGGTTTTTTGTAATGAAGTAAGTTATGTTCGTAACGCGTAAATGTCACTTAGCTATTATTAGAAAAGCTTGCATTTTGTGGAAGATTTCAGAGTTTTTAACAGAATAGGGCTCACACATGTGACTTTGTTGTTTATTCAGTGAATAGGCATGAGGATTTGTGCTGTTGGGGGCCCAAAATATAGGAGGGTGGTGATGAAGACAAGGATATCTGACATGGATGGGCCACTGCAGTCCATGACACACCTCTGTGGATTAGTCATAAGGTGTTTTCCTGCCTACAGACTCGACACTTCAGTCCCTGCTTTCTGCTCAGCCAAGGTTTGTGCAGTGCACAACCTGCTCAACTGTACTGAGGCCTTGAACCCAGGAGCTTGTATTTTAATGAGAAATACACAGCACATGCAGGGATACCAAGATAACAGGGCTTGGCCCTTGCCCTTTGGGTCCTCAAAAGTCAGGTGAAAGAATAAGCAAATCCCCCTGGGTTCCAGAGCCAGGTTCTTGGGAAGTTACTTGGCCACGATGGGCCTTGAGCTAGCCTCGAGGGTCAAGTGCAGACCTTGACAAGTCGAGAGGGTGACATATTCTTTCAGGAGGAGGAGGGAGCAAAGTCAGAGCAGAAGAGGGAACAGCTGGTGGTCCAGCGTGGCAGGGTTTCAGCAGAGGAGATGTCCAGTAGTCTGGCATGGTAGGGTCTCAGCAGAGGAGGGAACATCCCATGGTCTGGTGTGGCAGGGTCTCAGAGGAGGGAATGAATAGCAGTGGTCTGGCGTGGCATGGTGTTGGCAGAGGAGGGGACGTCCAGTGGTCCGGCATGGTAGGGTCTTGGCTGTGGGATGCTGGACTGTCACCCGTGGGGGTACCGATTGCCAGGATGTGGATTTGGGGCTTTATTCTTGTGGCGGTAGGGAACCAGGAAAGGTACTCAGCAGGGGCGGCACCAGTGCTATGGTGTAGTGTGATCATGAGATCTGAGACAGACATTCCCCAAAACCTTCTCAGTCCACCAGCACCTTCGTGTCTTAGTGATGTTTTCATAGTGCCCTAGGAGAAAGAAACACCTGTTTCATTTATGAAGTCCTCAGGTCCAAATAACTTAACAGAAGTAATTTGCAAGGTGTCTGACAGATGTTCCTGTTTTCCTTAAAAAAAGAAAACATTTGCATGTGCTATGATGAGTTGGCTGCACGCCCCGTGGTACCTCAGGAACACACTTTGGGAACAAAGAGGCCGTCTAACCTCAAGTTGTGGCTCAGAGTCACCACATTGCTGTTTCAGCTTCCTCTTTGGTAATTTGCATAGAGGAAAATTGCATCCCTGCCGTGGGGTGGGTATGAGTCCCGACCTCCTAGGGTTGTAAGCTGGAATAAATGAAATGATGCATTCAAAGCGGTGAGCAGAGAGCATTGCGGTCATCTCCATTATCAGGGGCCTGGGTGCAGCAGGACCTGCTCAAGGCAGGTGGGGTTGGGGCCCCGTTTGGAGGCCCTGTGTTGGTTTGTGGTCAGTGGGGACTTGGGCTTAATCAAGGAGCTCTGCAAAGTTCCCCACAAACACGAAGAACAGCACCCAGGATAGTAGCAGTGCCGGGGCAGTGAAATGACCCAGTGAGGTTTTCCGTGTTTTTTTCTTTTTTTACCCAAGTCTTGCTCACTCATGCCACCTGCAGGCCAATGGGGAAACTTTCTTTTTATTTTTTATTTTGTTTTGAGGAGTCTTGCTCTGTCGCCCAGGCTGGAGTGCAGTGGCGTGATCTCCGCTCACTGCAAGCTCCGCCTCCCGGGTTCACGCCATTCTCCTGCCTCAGCCTCCCAAGTAGCTGGGACTACAGGCACCCGCCACCACGCCCGGCTAATTTTTTGTATTTTTTGTAGAGACGGGGTTTCACTGTGTTAGCCAGGATGGTCTTGATCTCTTGACCTCGTGATCCACCCACCTCGGCCTCCCAAAGTGCTGGGATTACAGATGTGAGCCACTGCACCCGGCCAGGAAACTTTCTGTTGGCATCATATGGGAGCCATTTCTGCCAGGGGACCTCAGTGGTTCTGTCCCAGCTGACGATTAAAATCATTAAGGAACTTAAAAAAAATACTGATGCCTGAATCCTATCCCAGACCAAATTAATAAAAAGTAAAATCTAAGGATGTGAACTGGGTGTCTCGGTTTTTGTTGTTGTTTTTGTTTTGTTTTCTTTCTTTTTTTTTTTTTTGAGATGGAGTCTTGCTCTGTCGCCCAGGCTGGAGTGCAGTGGCACGATCTTGGCTCACTACAACCTCTGCCTCCTGGGTTCAAGAGATTCTCGTGCCTCAGCCACCCAAGTAGGTGGAATTACAGGCATGTGGTACCATGCCCAGCTAATTTTTTTTTTTTTAATAGAGGCGGGGTTTCACCATGTTGGCCAGGCTGGTGTCGAACTCCTGACGTCAAGTGATCCACCTGCCTCAGCATCCCAAAGTGCTGGGATTACAGGCGTGCGCCACCGCACCCGGCTGTTTTGTTGTTTTTTTAAAGAAACCTTCATGGGAATCTGACGTTGGGAACTATGGTTGATGGTATTCCCCAACTGCAGAGATGTCCCTGGTCACCCCCTACCGAGGTGCATTCCAGCTTCCAACTCTTTGCTCCAGCCCCACCGTGGGCAAGCTCGCTGCGTGCCTCCATGTGCCCACGCCCGCCCACTGGAGGGATCTCATTTAGATCCAGATACCTGGAACCGCTGGGTCGTAGTGAGTGCACTGTGAGTTTTAAAATGTGTGCCAAATTGCCCTAAAGTGGCTCCAATTTACACCCCCACCAATGAGAACCTTTCCTTAACACCTTTCCCCGTACATGATAATGTCAAACTTTAATATTTTTGCCAATCTGATGAGTAAAACATTTTTAATGGCACCAGCTAAAAAAGAATGGCAGAGACTTTACATACGAGTTTGGTGAGATCTCTGAGATAAGTTGCTGAGGGAGAGATCTAAGTTGCAGGATATATAAAAACACATTGGCAGACAGGCGGAAAATGTGTCACAGGAGATGGGGCAGAGATTCCAGCTCTGAGTTCCACCCTGCGGTCACTCCATGGGGCACACATCCATGCAGGAAAATGAAAAGCGAAGGATTCTTTAGGTAGAGTCAGTGGGATGTTCTCCTTGTCTGGAAGGGTTTAATGTTTTACAAGGAGAATGAGTTTAATTATATCATTAGAGGTTAAATTTTAAAACACTTAAGGAAAAATTTTATGTGTGTGTGTGTGTGTAGGCGTGTGTGTGTGTGTGTATAAAGAGAAAGGGTGTGAAACAGAGAGGGAGAGAGTAAATGTAGTTAAATGTAGTAAGGTGTTCCTTCTTGGGGTATTTGAATGAAAGGATCCAGGAATGCTCTCTGCCAGTCTTACAACTTTTCTGTAAGTGTGTCAGAAGAAATTACCCAAAAAATCCCCCCAAAACAACCCTCAAAACTCAAAGGAATAAACGAGGTCGGGTTGCCGACCGCCTGTGGTCTAGGTCAGCTCCTGCCCTGAAGCCTGTGAACCCTGGGAAGTGGAGCCTTTGAAAGGAGCCCCGGAGGGCAGCCCAGGCGGACAGGCTGCCCCGGCGCGAAGGAGGACAGGCTGGCAAATCTGCAGCACAGTCACGCCTGGATCCGTACTCTGTCCCGCCGCCGACAGAGGACAGAGAGCAACTTCCTCTTCAAAGACCATCCTGCATAAGCCAAAATGCCTCCTGGGACTGAAGTTCAAAGTGATTTCGGAGGAGATCTGTTTGGTGCCACTGTTTGGCCTGGGGATTTGAGCGGATTACTAAAGCCCTGTGTTCCAGGCAGCAGTAACTCGGGGCCTCAGGTGCGAAACGGCCTTTGATAAACGTGAGCTCTTTAGAGGCCCAAACAAATTGAGGACAAAGCAGCTGGGCTGCTCAGGAGGGGGCCGGCTGTTGACCCTTTCTTTCCAGTCTTAGGAAAACAAATACTTGATATTCCAAAGGCTGAGTAAACTCATTAAAAGGATCTTGGACTTCCTGCCTTTGCGCACAGCCCTTGGAAGCTTCTCCGCCAACCCCCGGAGAGCAGGAGTGGGGAGGGTTGGAGGCAGCTCCCTCAGTCCTGCATGCAGACCGCAGCCACTGACTGTTCCCGAGTCACCAGGCCACTCTTCTCTCCTGCCTCATCGTCTTATTCAGGGTCCACGTCATTCTGCCACCTATTTGAGGACACCAGGCCTTGGCTGTTTCTGCTTCTTGTACCTCCTGAGTCAGGTGGCGGTGGGGGAGGGCAGACGCCACACACACCTGGGTCCACTGGCCGCACGGCTCCTGGAAATGCTAGTGTGACTTTCCTAAGGGTTCTTTCAAAGGACACTTTTAGACCTGCCTTTTGTCCCAAGGATTCTAGTTGCTTCATCTTTAGTACCACAGACTGGTGGCTAAACAACGAACATTTACTCTGCCAGGACAACCTCGCTGCCCTCGTGGTTCCCAGCACCCGCCCGGACCTCCACACCAGGCTACTGTTTCCCCAAACGAGTGAGTGTCCTACTCCCTTCCGGCAGCCCTGACCTTCTCCTGCCTCGGATTCTTTCATTCTCTTCTCGGCTCCTAAATTCAAGCTCCCCTTATAAAGCTCAGCCCAGATTCCCATGATAACGTGCTCTGCGATTATTTGCCGATTCCATCAACATTTTTTGAGTACCTGTTGTGTGCCTGACACCTACGGCACTCAGAGCTGGAAGTGGATCCAGCTGTGAGCAGAACACAGACCCTCGGGGATCCCCCAGCCTGCTGGTAGAGACGACCCCCATCCAGGGAGATGCGGGAGCACCGAGGAGAAGCCCCAACCCTGGGGTTCATGGATGGCTTCCTGGAAGAGGAAGCAAGGTGAAGTCAGAGGCTAAAAATGCACACATTTGCAGGTGTTGAGCAAGTAGTGTGGACGCGTGAGCGATGAGGCACAATAGAGCATGAAGGCGCGGGCGGTGGCAAAGGGAACTTCGCCATCTGGGGAGGCATCCTCTGCCCAGCTTTGATCACTCCCTGGGATGTGAATAGGAGTTTATCTTGCCAGATATATGATCTTCCAAGGTCACAGGATTTTGCGAATTTGTATCAGATTTCTCAGTTTTTAAATGTTGCCAACTTGTAACTTTTTAAAATAGTCAGTGGACCATACAAGACACAACTGTAGGCCAGGTGTGTTCTGCAGGCCCTTGTTGCAACATCTTGTCTAAGTGGAATTCAGCCAGGTGAGAAAACAGTAAACAGGCAGAGGACTGGCAGGTCCAAAGGCCCTGTGGGGGAGAGGGCCTCCCCTGTGATGTCCATGTGTACTTTCACCTATTTGGCAAATATTTATCCATCCCCACCAGATGTCAGCCACTGTTTGGGAGGTGTGTGTGCACACATACAAACACATATGCAGGCATGTGCGTATGTGTGCATTTGGAGCAATGTATGTGCTACACATTTGTATGTGTGTATATGTTTGCAGGTGTATTATGCATGTACACATGTGTGTACATGTATTCAGGGGTATATGTGTGTATATATGTGCATGTGTTTTTATGTATGCACGTATATAGTGCATGTGTGCATGTGTGTATATGTATGCAGGTGTACATATGCACACGCGTGCATGTGTGTATACGTGGGTGTATTGTGTGCATGTGTGTATATGTATGCAGCTATATGCGTGTGTGCATGTGTGTATGTAGTGTATGTATATGCACCATGCATATGTGCATGCCTGTGTAAGTCCATATATATGTGTGCACATGCATGCACGCGTGCATGTGTATGTACATGTGTTCATGTATGTGCGTGTAGGTGTGGGTAAATGTATGCGTGTGTGTGCATGTGTTCATGTATGTGCATGCAGGTATGGATAAATGTATGCTTATGTGTGTGCGTGTGTTCATGTATGTGCATGCAGGTATGGGTAAATGTATGCATATGTGTGTGTGTGTTCATGTATGTGCGTGTAGGTATGGATAAATGTATGCATGTGTGTGCGCACACATTCATGTATGTGCGTGTAGGTATGGGTAAATGTATGCATGTGTGTGCACGTGTGTTCATGTATGTGCGTGTAGGTATGGGTAAATGTATGCATATGTGTGCGTGTGTTCATGTATGTGCGTGTAGGTATGGATAAATGTATGCATGTGTGTGCACGTGTGTTCATGTATGTGCGTGTAGGTGTGGGTAAATGTATGCATGTGTGCATGTGTGTTCATGTATGTGCGTGTAGGTGTGGGTAAATGTATGCATGTGTGTGCGTGCATATGCCACATGCATGTTTGCACATGGGCTTGCATGAACATGTGTATGAGTGTGTGTATGCATGTGTGTATGCATTTGCACCAGTGTGTTTGTGTGTGGATGATATCCGCTCCTGGCAGGTCGTGTTTTCTGGGCCTCATTCGGCCCAGCGGGAGCTCCTCGGCTGAGGCCGTACTGGAGGGGGCTGGAATCCTCCCTGGGGAAGCGCGTGGCTCGGGGTGTTGGCCTGGAGTGAGCTCAGCAGGAATTTGGGTCAGAGGAGCTCCTTGGGGGTGGGGACAAAAGGATCCACACAAGCCCTTGAGGAGTGCGGTGGGGCTCGCGTGTCGGGGCTCGCGCGGGGGGCGTGGGGCACCTGGGGACATCTCTGAGGTGGGAGCCGCGGGAGCGCCCAGGCGCTGTTTCCAGCCAGTGCAGCCTCCCCGCGCGGGTCCCGGCTTCGAGAGACGCGCGTACGCCGCCCCCTAGTGGAGACAGCGGGCCCTGCAAGCTGCCGCGGAGATGCTCTCCCGGTGTCTGATGGGAGAATCCTGTGCCCGCAGCCCTGCGCTTCCCCAGGTGAACCGGGCAGGAGCCTGTTGGGAAGGCAGCGACCCACATCTGTGTGCACCTTTGTGGATTTCAGGTTCCGGACGCAGGCGACCAAGCCAGAGCCAGTAAGCAGCCTTGCCTCCAGGATAATACCGCTTATCAGGCTTGACTCTGTGCGCCTCTGAGCCAGGGGTGTGCCCAGCAGCTGGGAGCAGACTCTGCGGTCGGAGCGTGGACGCGTTCTGTGCAGCTCTGCGCCCTGGGGTCAGGCTGTGCTCGCCTCCCTCTGCCGCTGCTTCCCCATTCCAGAGGGATGGGTAGATATTAGGGGTATTTTGAGGATTCAGAGAGAATGCATGTAGAATGCCTAGCTCAGGGTCAGCCCTTAGAACCAACATATTTTAGCGACTATTAATCTTCATGACAACTCTCATTCCTCTTGTGTCCCCTACTTTACAGATAAACAAACTGAGTCTTCCTGAGATTAAATATAATAGAGATAATAGATAATAGATCTAGATAATAGATCGCCTAAACTCACGCTATTGGGTAAATGAAAGCCTAGGTTGGTCCCCAACACTAAATGCTTTTTTCTCAAAGGATGGTCTCTTTAACTTCCTTCTTTGGGCTTATATTCAGACAGTTTTCTTCTTTAGGTTGAATTTGTTCTGTGATCCCTACATTGCTCACCCTGGAGACTGACAGGAGAATGAAAATTCCATGAGTAGGGAATAGTTTTGCTAGAAAATGTTTAATAACAAGTTCCAGGCTGGGGGTGGGATGTGCATATGATATATACATCTGTGTGTTGCATACCTACATCTATATACACATATATAATAAATTTTACTAATATAAAAACTGTGTAGTACACAAATTACAAACAGTAAAAAGTATACAATCATATTTAGTATACATTCCATGAGAGACAGTTAATCTTCATGGAATGCTTCTGGTTATGTTTGCCAAACTCGTGAATCTTTAGCCAATCTCAGTTGCAATCGGTGCAAAAGTGTTGTTCCAAATTGAACTATAGTTAGTATTTGCATTTGATCAGAGGGCTTTTCACAGCCTGCAAGGAGGCTTTTTTTGGCAATTAGTTCATCATCTGTGCCCACCCTTCAGAATAGAAGCACCTCAAGAGCAGGCACCCAGTGATCAGTGTGAATTTCTAGTGCCAAAGGTTACTGGTGCAGGACCCCTGGTTGTTTAGATGCCTGGGTCTGTGCTGGCTCTGCCTCTTATTATATTGGGAAACTTGGGCAATTTATTAACTTTCTGTGTCTCAATTTTCTCATCTGCAAGTGAGACTAATAGTCCCTATCTGGCAGGGTTGCTGGGAGGATTAACTGAGTTGATCTGAGACCAGTGATGATAATGGAGGCTGGCATATAGAAGTGCTCAGTAAATGTCAGCGATTGTCATTTTATTGTAAAGAAACTCTGCATTTAAAAAAGTTAAATTGACATTCATAGAACATAGTTAATCATTTTAAAGCGAACAGCTCAGTGGCATTTAGTGCATTTACAATGTTGTACAGCCCCCTCCTCTACCTATTTCCAAAACATTCTCATTACCCCGAAAGGAGACTCTGTACCCGCTAGTGGTCCTTCTCCATTTCTCCCTGTTCTCTGTCCCTGGCAACAATGAATCCACTTCCTGCCGCTGTGGCTTTATTTAATTCAGGACATTTCATATCAATGGCATTATACTCCATGTGGCCTTTTGTGACTGGCTTCTTTCACTTAGCGTGGTGTTTTCAAGGCCCCTACATCTTGTAGTACATATCAGAGCCTCATTCCTTTATACAGCTGAATAATCTTCTACTTTACGGATATATCACAATTGTTTATCCATTCATCCATTGTTTCTACTTTTTTAAAAGCTTTTTAATTGATGCATAATAGGTGTACATAGTTTTGAGACATATGTGGTAATTTGATACATTCAAATAATTTGTAAAGATCAAATCTATGTACTTGGGATCTCCATCATCTTAAATATTGTCTTCATGCTGGTACCATTCTATTTCTTCTCTTCTAGCTATTTTGAAATATGCAAGAGATTATTGGAAACTGTAGTCACGCTACTGATCTACCAAACACTAGGTCCCATTTCTTCTATCAAACTCCATATTCGTACCCACTAATCCATCATTTTACTATTGTGAATAGTGTTGCTATGAATGCGTTGTGAATATGTTGTGTTTGAGTATCTGTTTTCCATTCTGTTTGATCTAAGCCTAGGATTGGAACTGCTGGGTCATGTGGTAATTCTACATTGAACTTTTTGAGGAACCACCAAACTGCTGTTCACAGTGGCTGCACTATTGTCCACTCCCACCGGTCGTGCAGGAGGGCCCCACTTTCTCCACATCCTTCTTGATACTTGTTGTTCTCCGCCTTTTTGAGTAGCGTCATCCTAGGAGATGTGAAGTGGTATCTCATTGTGGTTTTGATTTGCATTTCTCTCGTGACTTAATGGTGTTGAGCACTGAAATGGTTTGTCCGTGTCCCCACCCAAATCTTGTCTTGAATTGCAATCCCATAATACCCATGTGTTGTGGGAGGGACCCAGTGGGAGGTAATTTAATCACGGGGGCAGTTACCCCCATGCTGCTTTTCTTGTGATAGTGAGTGAGTTCTCACAAGATCTGATGGTTTTATAAGGGGCTTTCCCCTCTTTTGTTCGGCACTTCTCCTTGCTGCTGCCATGTGAAGAAGGATGTGTTTGCTTCTGCTTCCACCATGATCGTAAGTTTCCTGAGGCCTCCCCAGCCCTGGGGAACTGTGAGTCAATTAAACCTCTTTCCTTTATAAATTATCCAGTATCCGGTATGTCTTTATTAGCAGTGTGAGAACAGACTAATACAAGCATCTTTGCCTGTGATTATTGGCCATTTGTATATCTTCTTTGGAGAAATGTCTGCTCAAGTCATTTGACCACTTTTTTTTCCCACTGGATTGTCTTTTTGTGCAGTGCATTCTCGTGGAGTGAATGGACTGCCTTTGTCCTGCTGGTCTGCATGTGAACTCCCAGGCTCTGATTCCTCTTCATTCAGTTGTGACTCCAACCTCCTGAGTCCCTGCCAACCTGAAGCACCCACGATGTCACTGGCCTCTATGGCACTCCTGAGGCAGGGAGTAGGTGGCAATGTTATCAGCCCTGCCTGGCTCTCACTCCCCCACATCTGGGAAACAGGCTAATAGCACCTTGCTTACAGGGCTGTCATTATAATGGACCAGAGTAAGCCCATTCCCAGATGGGAACCTGAGATACCGGCTGCTTTGGAATGGCTTTGCGTCCCAGTGACACCCATTAAATCCTTAATATTTCTAAGAGCTCCGAGATGCTAAGATGAAAGGAATGGTGTCAGGCAAGCATGTTATTATCTGGATTATTACTTCCCGAGGGAGGACACTTCCTCATTTTCTTCCATGCAGGTGGGACAGGTATAGAGAGATGCCCAATTTGAAGGCTGATTTGTCTCTTCAGTTCTCATCTAGAAAGACTTTTTTTTTTTTTCCTGATCCAAACCATCAAAGCTCCCTAGCAGGATTGAGGAGGTCTGAGAAGCTGGGGTCACTCACCAGTTTACATGAAAACCGACCTGAGAAGCTGGGATCGTTCACTAGTTTACATGAAAACAGACCTGGAGGCCCTCAGCTGCTGGGAGCCCAGGCTCCTGCCTGCTCTCGGGGCCCCAGATCAACCCACCTCCTAGGGCGGGCTCTTTATGGAGACCTCACAACCACTCCTCATTCGGGCTGGCTTTGTTTTGATTCTCCTGACAACCTTCTCTTTTTGGACTTTAACAAGGCATATATACTAGTTTGTTGATTTCATAGGTAAACTTATGGGTGTAATAACCATCTTCTCTGCATATATATTTGAGATGGAAACTAGTTAAGGTTCAGTTTAAAAAATATTATTGAACAGCTGCTATGATCAGGCTCTGGAGCCAGCAACAGTGATAAGTCAGACATGGCTTGTGTTCTCAGAAAGCTTATGATCTGGAGGGAGGAGACACGGGATACAGAGCAAACACATGAGGACATCTGTAAAAAGTGGTAGTGATGAGTGCTACCAGGAAACATGGAACAGGGCCGGTGACAGGGGAACATGGAGGGGAACAATTAGACGGAGACATTGGGGAGGGCTCCTGGAGGAGGAGATGTGAGAGCTGGCACCAAAATCAACCCAGGAGGCCAGCCACGGTGGGATGCAGGAGAATGGTGAGATGCGGGAGAATGGTGGTATGCGGGAGAGGGATTCCTGGGAGGATGGAAGAGCCAGTTCACAGATCCTGAAGCAGGAACAGGTTTGATGATTGAGGCTGCAGACAGCAGGTCTGTGTTGTCATACACAGTGAGTTGAAGAGGTAGACAGGGCCCACATCACGCAGGGCCTTGTTGAAGAGACACGATTTTGCTCTAAGATACATCAGTCAGCCCTTGCTGTTGTTAATAGAAAAACTTTAGCCAAATTAAATTTAAAGGAGATTAATTGAGCAAAGAACGATTCACAAATCAGGCAGTCTCCTGAGCCAGGCTAGGCCCAGAAACTCCAGCACAGCCATGGGGCGGAAGAAGATTTATCAACAGAGAAAGGAAAGTGAAGTACAGAAAACAGAAGTAAGGGACAGAAACAGCCAGATTTGTCAGAGGCATTTGAACCAGAGCAACTCCCTTTTGAATAGGGGCTGGGTAAAATGAGGCTGAGACCTGGTGGGCTGCATTCCCAGGAGGTTAAGCATTCTAAGTCACAGGATGAGATGGGAAGTCAGCACAAGATAGCAGTCATAAAGACCTTGCTGATAAAACAGGTTGCAGTAAAGAAGCGGCTAAAACCCACCAAAACCAAGATGGCGATGAGAGTGACCTCTGGCTGTCCTCACTGCTACACTCCCGCCAGCGCCATGACAGTTTAGGAATGCCATGGCAACATCAGGAAGTTACCCTATATGCTCTAGAAAGGGGAGGCAGGAATAATCCACCCCTTGTTTAACAATTCGTCAAGAAATAACCATAAAAATAGGCATGATAAGAGATTAGTTACAGCTCTGTGTTTGCATGATTTGGACAGTTTGAACAGTTGGCTACCTTTCCCTGGCCAAACTCCTCATCCCAGTGCCCTCCCAGGAGCTGCCCGATGAAGATGCCATCAGCATTGGGAGCCGTGCCGGGTGCTCTCTGGGCCGCAGAAAGAAACGGGGCATTAATTGACATTCTTAGCAAGCAAGTAGGGTCTCCCCTAAAGTGGGGCCCATCTTGAGGTGGGGCCTGCATGGACTGTGTCCAGCTTGCAATGCACGTCATCTCCCATTTCTCCCAGGCGCTGTCATACGCAGAGCACCTGCCGAGCCATGTGACGTGCTGCTCTCTGCCAGCCCTGATCGCCTTCCTTTCCAGCAGGACTTGCGCTTCACACTGGACCTTGAGGCCCCATGGAGATCTGCCATTTTGGGCAGGTTCTGCTCACAGTGCCAGTAACTTCACCTAGGAGAAGAGCGACAACTTCAAGGCCGCATGACCCATCTGATTGTCATCACACAGGTCCCCGCAGGAGAATTTCCATGGCGTTTCTCACTCTTTGTTTGCAAAGAATTTCTTTTTTTATCGTTTTCTTTTTCTTTTTCTATTTTCTTTTTTCTTTTTTTTTTGAGACAGAGTCTCTCTCTGTTGCCCAGGCTGGAGTGCAGTGGCATGACCTCGGCTCACTGCAACCTCGGCCTCCTGGGTTCAAGCAATTCTCCTGCCTCAGCCTCCCGAGTAGCTGGGATTACGGGCACACACCACAACGCTCAGCTAATTTTTGTATTTTTAGAAAAGACAGGGTTTTACCATGTTGGCCAGGCTGGTCTCGATCTTCTGAGCTCGTGATCCACCTGCCTCGGCCTCCAAAGTGCTGGGATTACAGGCGTGAGCCACCACACCCAGCCTAAGAATTTCTTAGAATTAATATCTGCACTTGGCCCCACATCCTCTGAGTGATAACTTAGAACTGTCACTTTAATTGTTGAGAGAGGATATTCAGAGAATAGTGGGTGATTTTACAAGCAAGGATATGTTTGGGGAGCATGTTCCCGGTGCATTCTCAGGGTCTCGTGCATTCTTTTAGACATTGAAGACATCCTGATCTCCAGTGGAAGCAGAGCCCCAGTCATACACTTATCCACCGGGGACGAGTTCCAAGACCCCCAGGGAATGCCTGAAAGCTCGGGTAGTGCTTACCTCTATGGATGTTGTGCACAAATTTATTTTTCCCTCTTTACAACTTCATAGATTGAAGGTTCGTTCTTACCAAAGATCTTAGCAACCTTAGCTTATCATTCCTTTTATTTCCTGATTAAGTGGAGAACTTTCACCTTTTCACTAAAAAAAAAAAGTGCTTTACGGCTGCCTTTGCCACGTGCACATGGTCTTTTGGGACCATCCTTAAGTCAAATAAGGGTGACCTGGATGCAAGCACTGTGATACAGAGAAAGTCCAGCTCACCACCAAGATGGCTGCTGAGCCGCTGGTGGGCGCGGAGTGTCGTGTCTGCAGCGTGAACATGCCGGGCAAAGGAATAATGCATGTCAGGGATAGGGTGGAGAAGGACTGTGCCAGGCTTCATCACACTACTCAGAATGGCACACAGTTTAGAACTTATAAATGATTTATTTCTGGAGTGATCCACTGCATATTTTCAGACGGTGGTTGATCGTGGGTAACTGAAAGCAAAACCTGACTGAAAGGGGCTGCTGTGTTCATGTCAGCAACGCTGATGCCCTCGAGGCCAGAAGAGTAACCACCAATCTGGTACCTGAGCACCTGGCTGTAAGTCCACCCTCCATTTCTGGCCAGGGCCGAGGAATTCTCTCTTTTTCTCTTTATTTTCCTCTTGATTTGAGAAGGTCAACTCTGAGCATGCTCTAAACACAAATCAGCATCTCTACACTTCTTCGGCACCAGGTGTTGCTACTGTCTTTCTGATTAGAAAAAAAGAAATATCCAGGAATTCTGGAAGACAGTGATTGATTTGCAGCTATGCTGCAATGGAGCTAAGAATCATTAGCACAACCCGTGCTGGTGTTCGACAAGATGCCCAATCAATTCATCCGATGACAGGTGCGCTGTGTCTGCGAAGCGCGAAGCCACGGAGTGAGGTGCTGACCAGGCTCCACCAGGAGCAAGGAACAAGACTCCCCAGGGGCTCCTGGTCCACAGAAGGCAGGGACGCCCACAAACATACCATGAGTAAATAGTTCCAATGTGAAGAAGACTGAAAATGCCACAGAAGTGTGAGCCCACTGTTTTGAAATTCTTTCTGCTGAAGGGATTGAGAAGTAAGTGGACTCCTAGATTTTCTTTGGAAATGCCACCGAAAGGGATAAAAGTAGGGGAAACATTATTTTAAATACACTTTTTCTAAGCATTTTCTCCATTTCTTTTAAAAGGAACTCTTCCATAAAGGAGCATGACCGAGCCATGAGTTATAATATATACATGCATATAGAAAGAGGATGTGAATACAGTTGCAGAAGGGCGTCAAAGCCAAAAACACACAGGGAATGACTTGAGGAAGCTGAGGACCAAGAGCAGTGCTAGCCATGCCAGTGACTGTGGTCGCTGAGAACTGGATGATGGATGTTTGAGTGACCGTCAGGAGGATCAGCATGGGACCAGGAGGATCAGCATGGGACCAGGAGGATCAGCATGGGACCAGGAGGATCAGCATGGGACCAGGAAACAGCAGGCGAGTGAATGTGAACTCCACTCTCAACAGGGAGATGACGTGGGTCTCGGAAACCTACAGATCTGAGTGCTTGCTGTCAGGTCATGGCAGGGCTCTGACTGCACTGTGGAGGGAACATCTGTGTTTTTGTCCTCCTGGAACCTAGTGCCCCTTTCCTGGAGGCAGCATCCTATTTGACCTGTGTGGGTCCAACCCCACCTCTCTCCTGTAGCAGTGGCATGGGACCCGGGGCTGGGCCATTCGCAGCATTGCCACAGGCAGCAATGGTGATTGATCTAGGAGTTGATCATTGATCCTAACTGGGTGCTCAGGCCAAGGGGATTGATTCTTGGTATTTTTTAATCTCTTTTTTCCACTGGAATTATAGCTAATATGATGAAGCCTAGATATACTGCGTATCTGGCTTTTAGACAGGGCAAACCTGCCTAGAAATGAAAATGAAGTCACCACCTGTGAAAGCAGAAACAAGAGCTTGAGAGAGACTGAGTCCTGGTGAGAATTTCTGAACCCCTTGATCCAGCGATGCCTGAAGCCAGAACTACTTGTAAACTTTTCAGTCATGCAATCCTGTCACTTCTGTTTGTTCTTAAGTGCATTTTGTATGGTTTCTGCCGCTGACCACGGAAACGTCCTTCACTAACAGGGAAGCAGAGTTACCCCATTTGAGAGCCTCAGAAGGAAGATGGCATTCATGCAAAGGAAGCATGCGTTTGCTCTCACTTCCTGAGAGAAAGCCTGAAAATGAAGCCAATCTCATTTTCTTTCAGAGATGAGTCTCTTGATCAGAGAATGCCTCAGTTCCCTGTATCTAAATTTTAGCAAGTGAGAGAATGCCTCAGTCCCCTGTATCTGAATTTTAGCAAGCGAGAGAATGCATTTAGGACAAGCAACAGCGATGGCTCCCGTGTGTTCTTGGCTGCTCTGTTTCTAAATGAAGATTCACCTGGAGGCAGCCTTTGCTGCAGGGACACCCAGATCTCACCTTGTTCTTGTTCTTTTCAATCATTTTAGCAAAGGCTCAGCCTACTGATCCGATTTAGAGATGAGCCATGAAAGCAGATATTTAGATAATATTTTCCCAACTGCCTGGAGCATTAGGTTAGAACTAGTGAGATAAAAATATAATGAAAATAATAGAAAGCTTTGACCCTCAGATTTAAGAAAAAAATCAATGGTGAGGAAGTTCAACAGAGAATGTGGTTCAGGGCAGAGAGGTTGATGTCTAAACCCACACCTCTTAGGAGTGTGATATGGCTGCAAAGTCCATCCAAGAGCCCCTTAGACAGCTCCCAGGTCTGCCAGAAAAAAGCAATTCATCTTTCCTATACAGGAGTTTAAGGTCATTTTGAAGTGGATGAATTGGGAAACATTATTTTTGTGAATTGAATATATTGTAGGAAATCTTGTATGCTCTAATCTGCTAGTTAATATACTAATCAAGAAAAGGTAATAAAACCACATAGCTAAAAAGAAACATATTGATTTCAGCGACTTCTGCTAAAGCCAGATTATGTGAAGATTAAATCTAAAATGTCAGCAAAATAATACTGAATCGATCTTTCATCATCTGTGTGGCCTGTTTTATTGACTCATTTCTTTATTGTTATTATACCAATGAAGCATGGAAATGCTGTCATGGAAAAATCCAAATGGCTTATTGTGTTGCCAAGCATTTTATTAGAGTCCCTTGTCAATTTTTCCTTGAAAATAAAGTTATTTTTCAGGAAGAATGCCTTGGCTATGTCCATAATTCTAACCATATCAACATCGTTTTTAGGTTGATTGATTTTAACAGTGTTAGATCAATGAGGCATAGCTCATAAGTTAATGATCACAAGGTTGGGGAAAATTGATCTCTTCTGAAAAACGTGTTATCACACCTAGTGATTGATTAGTGTTCTACAACAATCTTCCATGCAGCATAATCTTCTGTGAGAAGATTCCGAGTTTGGAGACCACGGGGAAAGTGAGTAACGCACTTGCCTCAGGGGCAAAATTTAAAATGAATGAAAAAACCTAAGATGCTCAAAATCTAACATTTTGAATAAGGGCTGATTGAGAGCTGTGCCAGGCCGGAACCTCAGGCAGCAAGAAAGACAGGGAAGCAAACTCACCACAAATATCTTCAGAGACGACTTCTCTGCTTGTCTCACTTTCGATGGGGACAGCAGTCATGTTTGACAGTTTCTCTTGACTGGGGGTGATCTTAAATGGTTTTAAATTAATCTAAGTGAAGTAAAATGATAATGAATTCTATCTTGGTATAAAACTATATTTACGTTTTTTCTGTAAGTGTTCATATATCTGCTTTTCAAGTTTTCAATATTTTTAACTACTTTAATGTTCTGGAAAAAAATTAAAAACATATAAAATTATGTTTAGGAAGCTCATTTTTTCTTTCCCCTTCAGGCAAATTCATGACAGTGAGACTGAAGGTTGTAAGTGCATGCTTCATGGAATAAATAAATCTTTCAAGAGAAGGAGAAAGTTCTTCGTCTCCTAAGTAACATTTGATGCCAAAACCCAGAAAAAGTATATATTGACCTTAAATGTTACGCTAACTGATATGCAAACATTTACTAACCTTCTAATCTTACAAATAGGGCTTTGCGTTTTCAAAGCCTGTGCCAACTGACAAAAAAGCTACATCGATTGCTTTTTACTCCCTCAAGTGATTAGTAACTGTGGCCAGGAGTTTTGACCTTAATTTGAATCAAGGTTAAGCCAAAGATATTTGTGGCGTTTTTGATCATCTAATTTTCCCACCAGCAGTGAGGTAAGAAACAGCATTCGCTCTCCGAGTGCCCGTTCCGAGAATCGCCACTAGAGGGCAGCAGCAGCGGCTGTTTCTCAAAGTTGACCTGCAGGTGGACCCAGAGACCCTGATGGGAAAAGCCCCTGGTGTTCAGCCTGGAGGTGGACAGAGGTGTGGTTCTGCTACCCTGTTCTCTCACAGCCTATGACGCTAAGCTCAAATCTATTATTACACTTATTAGTATAGCACTCTGTTGCTTGAGAGCCATGCATTATGATGGTAATAAATTTAAACCCAAAACATCAGGAGTGTAACCTCATCCCCACCTCTGCTTGCTGTGGGGTCTATAGTTTGTCAGTTTTGTTAACAAAAATAGGAAAAGGATGCAAAACTTGCCCCTCTGCCGCAACCTTTGGTGTTGCCAACACCACTCTGAGAAGACACTATGATCCATTATTTTTTGGTTTTGGCACTGAACTTTCTATTGCAAAGTGGGCACGGAGCAATTTTCGGAGGCTTTTTTGGGGGGAGATGCGGGAAGGGAGGGTGCTGCCTAACGACCTCCTATGTTAACCTGGGCGTCTTCTCCCCAGAGCCCCTGCGCGACGCTTGGCTTCACCAGCATTGTGATCGGTATTCCGATGAGCTCTCAGGACTCCCGGTGATGCCAGGGAGCCGTCCTGAGCAACAGCTGAAATCTCCTTCTGCAGCCTTCACATAGGAGAAAGCCGTCCTTGTGATGCTTCTGTTCGCCGTGGAAGGGATCTGAGTCTGCAGCAACCTCAAGTCTTGCCTCCCCAGAAAAAAGAATCTGAGGAGGGGCACAAGATGGGAGAGAGAGAGGCAAGTTTTAGAGCAGGAGTGGAAGTTGATCAAAACACTTTAGTGCAAGAAGGAAAGGAAAGTACACTTGGAAGAGGGCCAAGCAGGTGACTCAAAAGACCAGTGTGCAGCTTGACTGTTTGACTTGGGTTTTATTCGTTGGCTACTCCCGGGGTCTGGTGTCTCTTCCCCCACTCCCAGGATCTTATTGGGAAACTGCTGATGAGTTTCACCTGTTTTCTATCTATTAGGAGCCTGCCTTTCCCTGGTGTTGGCTGTGATCAGTTATTACTTTCGAGAGACAGTTAACAACCTCCTGACCACCACCTGATGGCCCCCAACACTCCTGGTGTATGTGTGTCTGTGTGGCGGGGAGCCCTCTCCTGCCTGCTCATGCCCGACTAGCTACCCACTGTAATGTTCCTACAGGCAACATCATTAGAGAGGGGATGGAAATTGTTTTTGCATTTGAGGCCAGTGCACAGTTTCTAAATCCACAGGTGCCCAGAGGCAGTTATGGGGACCATAGGCGTGGCTTCCTGGTCCCAGAGTGTAGTATGTACTGTTTCCCTCACCCCTAAGGGGAGGCACTCCCTGCCTTGCCTGGTTCTGTGGGGTTGTTCTAGGAGCTATTTCTGGAGGTCTTGGGTGCTGTCCTCAACTACAGTCCTTCCACTGCTTTTATAAACTGCCAATTCCCTTTATTAAATTCCCTTTCTCCCTAAAATAACTAAGGTGGCTTCCGTTTCCAGCTGTTAAACAATGACAGTAATAGGTATTTAGCATAGATCAGGGGTTGGCAAACTTTTTCTGTATACAGCCAGACAGTAAATACTTTAGGCTTTTGGGGACTTACAGTCTCTGTCACAGCAAGTTAATTCCGCCACTATAACACATTAGATGAAGGGGCATGGCCGCTTTCCAATAAAACTTTATTTACAAAAGCACGCAGCTGGCCCATGGGTTGTAATCTGCCAACTTGTTGCATAGAATACTGAGTGTTTTACTTTCTAATGTCAATGTGCTGTTGTTACCATGTTTGCATAGGTGATACAGCCAACTTTATCTTGTTCTACCCCCAAGTGATTCCAGACTAGCCAATAGGAAATTTAAAATCCACGAGCAAGCATCTTCTCATGGGTTCTGTCATTTATTTCTTCATTTATATATTCATGTGATCAACGGCAGTTTCGGTCACCGACCTCACAATCCGTACAGTGGTAACTTGCCCAGATTCATCAGTCAGGGTGGTCTTTTCTGGTGGTGAAAGGTCATGACAGGTTCCCAAATTCTGCAACGAAGGAGCAGAAGTCAAAAGATTGTTGTTTGATGGTTTGTGTATCCATCTCCAGCAACCATAAGAAAGTGCACAGTGCATCGGAGGCTTGCGATAGACAGGTGTTGAAGAGCGAGTGATTTGCAACCTAAGCCTTTGGACGGGCATTTGCAGACTCAGAGTGGTGTGGGGTCAAGCGTCGTGTGCTGG
Source organism: Homo sapiens (assembly GCF_000001405.40). NCBI lineage: Eukaryota > Metazoa > Chordata > Mammalia > Primates > Hominidae > Homo > Homo sapiens. The sequence goes on along the minus strand of NC_000012.12, from coordinate 130,029,548 downwards.
TGTGCCGGCACACCTTATTTCCTCTTTGAAAGGGCCTCCCCCATGGTCAGTTCCCCACCACACCCTTCCCAACAAAGGGAGCGCTGTTGGAAAGAGTGAGGAGGGGAGGGGCCGGGTGGAAAATTGACCACGGGCAGGCCCTTCCTCCTTTGTGTCCAGACAGCCAGATGGACACAGGCCTGCCTTGGCTGCAGGGGCCACGACAGGTGTGGAGATGCCTGCGGGTGAGTGGACGGTGGGTGGGCTGCCTTGTCATTTTCCACGATCTCTGATTTGGGGAGAAAGTGGTCCTCCTTTGGGATTATTAGCACCTCCGCCTTTGAAACGCAGGCCGGCCTCACATGGGGCTCGCTTCCTGAGTCAGGTCTAGGAACCGTGGGGCTATGGGACCTCTGCCTCCTGTGTGACCCTTGTCATCCCTAACACCCATGAGCGTGGGCCCTTCAGCCAGCAGCCCACGTGCCCACACTCTGCTGTGCCCCCACTGAGCCCTGCACAGAGACGCCGTGCAAGCCACCTCCCCTGGGGTCCACTGAGGGTCCCCTGATGACAGCAGCCAGGATTTTGCTTGTGGAGCATCTACCAGGAGTGACACCCCAGCCTCTAGGAGTTTTAGCCAGTGCAGGCCACCCTAGCCTGTATCCTTCAATATCATGAGAGAAAAACATAAGCCCCAGAGAGCCAGATTCGAGGACTGGATGTGTGGGGATGGTGGGGGAGAGAATCCTTGTTCCAGAATTTGAGATGGTACCAAATGGAGCCAGCGCCCCATTCCCAGTGATCTGGGATGTCAGTAACCTCCCCAACTGCGCTAATTGTTAGTGTTCCCTGTATATCGTGTGTTAAAAGATAATTCTCAAAAAAGGTAAAATCGTGACTGTCATGCAGATTTACAAATGAATGCATGTTAATGATTACATTCTATTCTGCTCACTAGTAAATGATGAAACCCGACAGATGTTACCACCAGTTCTAAAGAGAATCCTAAGAACAGACACATTTATAGATCAGGAATGCTGAAATGTCTGCTCAAATGAAGGCAAGCTTGATTCTTTCAGAGGAAGGAGGTCAACTGGACGTCTACCGACCGTCCTCCTCTTATAGGATCTCTAGCCTTTATAGGATTTGCATTTCTATATGAATGATTTTTGCATTTCTGCCGGTTATCTTCAACTTAAAGATTTGTAATATAGCTCAAAGACAATGAAAGACTATAATCAGATGGGTGTCCTCTGTGACAAATAATAGTTTTCCATTGAAGCACAAACTTTTTTCTACATACAACAATTAGACAGCTAGTATTTAATAAATACTAAATTAATCCATGTGAACTTCTTAGGATAGATCCGAACTCATTTTCTGTCATAAAATTGCTGAACACAGAGCTGGCCTCATAGGTACTCAGGAAATAGTGAATTAACAAACAGATAAATGAATAAATGAATGGTGACCGTCCTTGACTTCCTGTCCAGCTCATGCTGACTTCCAGATGACCAGTTAGTTGTTACCAAGACTAATGAAGCCATCTCCAAGAGGACAAGGAGCCTTTCATAGAAACACAGCCTAGGGATGTAGAGGAAGAATAAACTATGCATTTATTGAAAATATTTCAGAGATGGTTAAGGCTAATGAACACTGCTGGCTGTTGCCCAAAGCCCCTTGGCCTGCATTGCTGACATTTGCTGATAATTAATACTTTATCAAATAAGGAAGTGAACAACTTTTTAAAAAGTTTCTGAGTATATTCACTATTAGTTACTGTCCACACACGGCAACATGGCTCTGGAGTTTCTGTGCCAAGTCAGACATCCTGATTTTTTTAAATGAACTTTATTGATGTATAGCTTATATACAATAAATCTCACCTACTTCAGGTGAGTCTCACCTGAACTCATTAATTGCAATGATTTCATGAGTTTTGATTAACATATACAACTCAGGTAACCATCCTAATAAAGACATAGAAGAACATTAGCATCACCCTTAAAGTTCTCTGTGCCCCTCCATCACCCCCGTTCCCAACTGTAGATAACTCCCTATCTCTTTTCTGCCATTATAGATTAGATTTGCCTTTGCCAGAATTTTAAATACATGACATCATAGAATACACACCCACTTCTTGGTCTGGTATCTTTTGCTCAGAATAATGTTTGGGGCTCCATCGATGTTGGTGTATGTCACTTCTTTCTTTGTTTACGCTGCCCCAAGTAGACAACTTTGGCATGACTTAGCTCCCATTGATGAAGTCACTTGAAGATGTCACTTATTCGGTTTTATGTTAATTTTCCCTGCAGACATGCTACAGGCAGCTCCCCTTGGCCAAGCTCATGAACTCCGGAGGGACTAGAGTATACAATCTGCACAGAGAAGTTCTTGTCTGGCTCCGAGTGTCCGTATCGCGTGGCTGTATCATTTCAGAAAGCGTATTCAAGGAGCGGTAAATCCAGCATTTATTCTAATTCCTTCACATTTTATGGCAGGGCTGAACCAACCATAAAACAGATTGACAGATATAGGGAGAACGAAATCCTGTATTTTACAAGCTAACGACTTTATTTCATTTCATGTCAACGCCAAGGGTTGATGAATGGTTCTGGAATTTCTGAACTGAGACGTTCCCCCCAGCTCCAGAGATGGAGCATTGCGAGAGCAATGGTAGGAGTCCCAGCCCAAGCCATCTAATCTCCCCAAATTACTCCCTATTCATTTTTCTTTGAGATGGTTTATTTAATGAAGGCTGGATACTCAGGTCTCCGGCTCTGCAGTGCCACCTAGAGGCTAAGCTGCTCCAGGTAAGTTATACGAGGATGAGACGAGTTGCTCTGAAACCTCAACTTCTTGTAGGATGAGTTTAGATATGAAATTAACTTATATGACAAATATTTACCCAGCACCAATTATACCCGGGGGACTGAACTAAATGCTTAACCTCCAAAGATGCATTGCACCTGAAGGGCTAAAAGTGCAGCCAGAAATCTTTACTTTTACAAAGGAGATGAGAAGCATCTTGATTGGAAGCTGTGGTTTGCAAGTAACAGAAAGTACACGCCATCGCCCCCTCAAGTTATTCTATGGGTTCAATAGAATCCTAGTGAAAATCCATTGAGGAAATGGATAAGCTTACTTTAAAAGTTGTGTGGCTTGAGCCCAGGAGTTTGAGACCAACCTGGGCAACATCAGGAAACCCTACTTCTACAAAAAAACAAAAAACAAAAAAATTAGACAGGTGTGGTGCCACGTGCATGTAGTCCCAGCTGCTCAGGAGGCTGAGGCAGGAGGGTCGCCTGAGCCTGGGAGTCCGAGGCTGCAGTGAGCCATGACCCCACCACTGCACTCCAGCTTGGGCAACAGAGCAAGACCCTGTCTCAAAAACAAAAACAAAAATGCATGGAAGAATACACGTCCACAGATGACCAAGGAAGAGTAAACAGGGTGAGGAGAGGGCGTTGAAAGGAGAGACACAGTGAGGGGAAGCAGTGAGAGGCCTAAGATGAAATATTAAACTATTACCCTGCCATACGATGCAAATCCCTTTCTTATTTCTCCCTCAAATTGCCCTTAAAACACCATTTCCGTGTTAATCTTTCTGGAGTTGGTTTTTACTTCTCGGGAAGTAGGTGGGTAGGGGATTAAGGTTATGATAAAGCTCTGAACCTGGTCTCAAGGTGGTGTCTTTGAGACCAGCTTTTGAATTTTTTAAATTGTAAATTAAAAACAAAACCAAAAACACACAAAAAGCAACTTCTCCTTTAATCTTCCATGTTCATTTTACAAACCTCATTAGTCTACATGTGAATCTAGCCAACTTTCACATTATGCTTGAAGAAAACATTAGCAACTTTGTTAATTAACTTTCATCAAATGTTTTCAACAGCATATGTTAATGGAATAATCTCATCTTTCAAAAACACTTCCGTTTTTCTTACTACTTAACATACTTAACTCTTAAAAGTTGAATAAATCTTAAATTCTGTTAAACATCTCAAATCATGTAACCAGTTTTAAACTTCACATTTTCTTAAACTTTTCAGCTTAAAATTACTAACCCCAAATCAAATGCTCACTCACATATTTTCAGCTGGAGTCAGAAGACTATTGTCAGAAACTCTATACCAAATATAGAGCTGTTCGTTCATTATTTCTTTCTCTTTCTTTTTCTTTTTTTTTTTTTTTTTTTTTGAGACAGAGTCTCGCTCTTTTGCCCAGGCTGGAATACAATGGCATGATCTCAGCTCATGGCAACCTCCGCCTCCCGGGTTCAAATGATTCTTCTGCCTCAGCCTCCCGAGTAGCTGGTATTACAGGCGCCCACCACCATGCCCAGATAATTTTTGTATTTTAGTAGAGATGGAGTATCGCCATGTTGGCCAGGCTGGTCTCAAACTCCTGACCTCAGGTGATCTCACCTCAGCCTCCCAAAGTGCTGGGATTATAGGCATGAGCCACCACACCTGGCCTTATTTTTCTTTTAAGAGACAGGATCCCACTCTTCGCTCAGGCTGGACTGTAGTGGTGCAATTATGGCTCACTGCAGCCTCAACTTTCTGGGCTCAGGTGATCCTCCCATCTCAGCCTCCTGAGAAGCTGAAACCACAGGCGTGCACCACCAGGCCAGGCCAAGTTTTTGTATCTTATTTTTAGGGACGGGGTCTCACTATGTTGCTCAGGCTGGTCTCTAACTCCTGGGCTCACACGATCCTCCTATGTTGGCCTCCAAAGTGTTGGGATTGCAGGCGTGAGTCGCCACGCCTGGCCATAGAGCTGTTCTTATAGGTAACATGACATGATACTATGATTTCAATAGTTGCCTCTGTTCCACATATAATTCTAAACTTTCCTAAGGTTAAAAAATACTTCCACGACAAGGAGACAACAGTAAGCCCCAAAATGAAGTTGGAGTTGTCTTTTCATCAGAGGTTGAAGTCATGATCTTTGGAGCTGCAGATATTCCGGGAGGCCTTTTCCACGCCTGGGAGAGACGAGTAGAGACTCCGTGCAACCGGCTGCCAATGAGGACCCAGGGCCGTGCCCTCCAAGGGGCATCTTGCACCCTCTTCCCGTGACTCAGGTCTCTGCGTTACCCAGTTCTGGCCAAGGTGGGGAGGGTAGTGGACCGGCTTCTTCCCTAGATTAACACAACCGATTCACTCACTGCTTCATTGTCCTCGGATTTTTTTTCTTTTGCATCTTCCTGTCTGGCTGGGCCAGGATGCTTAGGGGTCCTTAATGAAAGCAGAATGAATCCTGCATGTCCCCAGTAGCTTTGACCAGCCCGATAGCGGCAGCTTCCGGGTGCTGCCCATGACAGGTGAGTGGGGGTGACTCCGGAAGCTCAGCTTACAGGAGGGAAAAGAAAATCGTCCGGGGCACCGTTTCCCTCCTCTCTCTTCCACCTCTCTCTGCAATGCCAAGCCCCCACTTGCCAAAAGAGGAAAATCCAATCTGATCAGATTCAGTTCCAGATAGAATTTGGTTTTCTTTTCTAGCATATGGGTGAGCTACTTCCGTGGGGAGGGGGGGCTTCCTTCTTTCCATTTCCTGTAGCTCAGTCACAGAAGTTGCCTTTCCTTCTTTGCATACACACCTGAATATTCTGAATCCAGGATTCAGATTTGGAGCCTAGGGGCAGGTGGTTGGGCTGCTCTGTAAGCCTTGGTCCTGACCCCTGTGCTGTGCTGTCACTCAGCCTAGGTGGAGTTAAAATGGTATTCTTTGGTAACAGGTTCTTGTTAAGAATTTAGGAGTAAGGAGTTTTAAAATAGGAGGGCAATAGGTGAGCTAGGATTTGCAAATGCTTGGGGGGTCCTGCCTGTGACAGTCACTCATGAGTCCTTCCATCTCTCCCCCCTCCCTTCCTCTTCGTCTCTCTTTCTGTCTCTCTCCTCCCTCCCTCTTCAGGAATGCCCCCCATTCACAAGTCAACAGACACGGTATCTTTTTCATCCCAACCAAGAGCAAATAATTAGAAACAGTTTAAGAGTGTGTGTGTGTGTGTGTGTGTGTCCTCCCTAATCTCTCCAATCCATCCAACTCTCTCCCTGCCAGAGTGACCATCCTGGAAAGGAGACCCGATAAGGGCAGTGTCCCATCCAATGCCACAACATGGCCCCCGCAGTTTCATTGGTCCAAGTGTGTCCAGAATTGGTGGGTTCTTGGTCTCACTGACTTCAAGAATGAAGCCATGGACCCTCGCGGTGAGTGTTACAGCTCTTCAGGTGGCGTGTCTGGAGTCTGTCCCTTCTGATGTTCAGATGTGTTCAGAGTTTCTTCCTTCTGGTGGGTTCGTGGTCTCGCTGGCTCAGGAGTGAAGCTGCAGACCTTCACGGTGAGTGTTACAGCTCTTAAGGCAGTGCGTCTGGAGTTGTTCGTTCCTCCCGGTGGGCTCGTGGTCTCGCTGGGCTCAGGAGTGAAGCTGCAGACCTTCGGGGTGAGTATTACAGCTCATAAAAGCAGCGTGGACCCAAAGAGTGAGCAGTAGCAAGATTTATTGCAAAGAGCGAAAGAACAAAGCTTCCACGCTGTGGAAGGGGGCCCGAGCGGGTTGCCACTGCTGGCTCGGGCAGCCTGCTTTTATTCTCCTATCTGGCCCCACCCACATCCTGCTGATTGGTAGAGCCGAGCGGCCTGTTTTGTCAGGGCGCTGATTGGTGCGTTTACAATCCCTGAGCTAGATACAAAGGTTCTCCATGTCCCCATCAGATTAGTTAGATACAGAGTTTCCACACACAGGTTCTCCAAGGCCCCACCAGAGCAGCTAGATACAGTGTTGATTCCTGCATTTACAAACCTTGAGCTAAACACAGGGTGCTAATTGGTGTGTTTACAAACCTTGAGCTAGATACAGAGTGCCGATTGGTGTATTTACAATCCTTGAGCTAGACATAAAGGTTCTCCACGTCCTCACCAGAGCAGCTAGATACAGAGTGTCGACTGGTGCACTCACAAACCTTGAGCTAAACACAGGGTGCTGATTGGTGTGTTTACAATCCCTGAGCTAGATATAATGACTCTCCACGTCCCCACCAGACTCAAGAGCCCAGCTGGCTTCACCTAGTGGATCCCGCACCGGGGCTGCAGGTGGAGTTGCCTGCCAGTCCTGCCCCCTGCCCTCGCATTCCTCAGCCCTTGGGTGGTCGACGGGACTGGGCGCCGTGGAGCAGGGGGTGGCACTCGTCGGGGAGGCTCGGGCTGCACAGGAGCCCATGGAGTGGGTGGGAGGCTCAGGCATGGCGGGCTGCAGGTCCCAAGCCCTGCCGCGTGGGAAGGCAGCTAAGGCCCGGCGAGAAATCGAGCGCAGCGCCGGTGGGCCAGCACTGCTGGGGGACTCAGTACACCCTCCGCAGCCACTGGCCCGGGTGCTAAGTCCCTCATTGCCCGGGGCCAGCAGGGCTGGCTGGCTGCTCCGAGTGCGGGGCCCACCAAGCCCACCCCCACCCGGAACTCCAGCTGGCCCGCAAGCGCCACACGCAGCCCCGGTTCCCGCTCGTGCTTCTTCCTCCACACCTCCCTGCAAGCTGAGGGAGTGGGCTCCGGCCTTGGCCAGCCCAGAAAGGGGCTCCCACAGTGCAGTGGAGGACTGAAGGGCTCCTCAAATGCCACCAAAGTGGGAGCCCAGGCAGGGGAGGTGCCGAGAGCAAGCGAGGGCTCTGAGGACTGCCAGCACGCTGTCACCTCTCACAAGCTAGGGTTTCCCAACCTCAGCACTATGGACATGTAGGCTGGATCATTTTTTGGTTGTGGGGCTGTCTTGTGCATTATAGGACATTAACAGAATAGAATCCCTGTCCTCTACCCATTAGATGCCATAGCAACCTCTCCCCCAAGTTGTGACAATCAAAAATGTCTTCAGACATTGCCCAGTCTGGCAAGGAGAGTGGGAGTTGGTTGCCTGTAGTCCAGTGTCACAGGTAGAGTGGGAGTTGGTTGCCTGTAGTCCAGTGTCACAGGTGGAGTGGGAGTTGGTTGCCTGTAGCCCAGAACCACTGATCTATTGGTTGCTAAATCAGTAGGCCTCTGTAATTCTGGCACTTTGGGAGGCCAAGGTGGGAGGATCGCTTAAGACCAGGAGTTTAAGACCAGCCTAAGCAATATAGTGAGACCTCATCCCTACAAAAATATAACAAGCTAGCCAAGTGTGGTGGTGTGGATCTGTAGTCCCAGCTACTCAAGAGAGAGGCTGAGATGAGAGGATCGCTTGAGCTGCGGAGGTGAAGGCTTCAGTGAGCCAGGATCGGGCCACTGCACTCTAGTCTGGGTGACAGAGTGACACCCTGCATCAAAATCCAATCAATCAATAATTTATCAATCAACATGGGGGTGCAAAATAAATCATAAATAAATAAGAGAACAGGTACAAAATAATATGCAATACACTTATTATGAGCAAGAGGGAGCTCTGTATGAATACATGCAGTCATATGCTTGGAATATTTCCACAAGTCTATGTAAGGATCTGGTAGTCTTTGAGAGGAGAAAGAGCGATGAAAAGTTTGGAGAGAGTCACTTTCTTTTCACTGTCTGCTTTTTGTATAAATCAATTGTTCTTACACCATGGGCTTATATTCTTTTTTTTTTTTTAAGAGACAGGGTTTCACTCTGTCACCCAGGCTGGAATGCAGTGGTGATGGGATCACAGCTCACTGAAGCCTCAACCTCCTGGGCTCAAGTGATCCTCCCACCTCAGCCTACTGAGTAGCTGGGACTACAGGCGTTTGCCACCATGCTCAGCTAATTTTTATTTTTAAAGTTTTTGTAGGCTGGGTGAGGTGGCTCATGTCTATAATCCCAGCACTTTGGGAGGCTGAGGTGGGCAGATCACCTGAGGGCAGAAGTTTCAGACCAGCCTGGTCAACATGGAGAAACCCCTTCTCTACTAAAAACACAAAAGTTAGTGGGCATGGTGGTGGGCACCTGTAATCCCAGGCTGAGGCAGGAGACCGAGGCAGAAGAATCGCCTGAACCTGGGAGGCGGAGGTTGCAGTGAGCCAAGATTACGCCACTGTACTCCAGCCTTAGTAACACAGTGAGACTGTCTCAAAAACAAACAAAAAAAAGTTTTTGTAGAGATGGGGTCTCACTATATTGTCCAGGCTGATCACAAACTCCTGGGCTGGAGCAGTCTTCCTGCCGCAGCCTCCAAGTAGCTGGGATTACAGGCATGAGCCACCATACCCAGCACTGCATCATTTTAAAAGGAAAGTTTCCTTTAACCTTCTCTCCAGATACCCGCCCTCTAAGCCAAAGCTGGCTGATCACATTAATTTGAAATTATATTTTATAACTTTGGTTAAATTACAGTTTACAAAATTTTGTTCTTTGCAAATTAATTTCAAAGATTTTCATTTCCAAGGAGCTAATGTCCTCTATAATTTAATGAGATTGATTATTGTATTTTTAAAAAAGTATTTACTTATTTTTAAGTGACAAATACAAGTTATGTTTATCATGTACAAGATTGATAATTATAATTTAACCAAAGAGCTGATGACTGTTTCACCGGTCTTCTCTCCTAATTGCACATATGTGAATAAGTTCTTGCTAAAAATTCCTTGAATGTATGTTTCCGGAAGAGTGTTAAATTGAATGGAAGCTCCTGAGGCCCTGGAACCTCATCTCCCGTCCATGTCAATGCTCAAGCGGAGCTGGGCTGCCTTACAGTTCCTCAGTGTGGAGCTTCCCCTCCCATATTCCAACCAAGGATTTGGTGAACAATGCGTGTGAGGAGTCCAACTAGGGCTCTGTTTCTTTCTTTCTTTGTTTGTTTGTTTTTTGAGACGGAGTCTTGCTCTGTCGCCCAGGCTGGAGTGCAGTGGCGCGATCTCGGCTCACTGCAAGCTCCGCCTCCCAGGTGCAAGCAATTCTCCTGCCTCAGCCTCATGAGTAGCTGGGATTACAGGCGCTCGCTACCACACCCAGCTAATTTTTGTATTTTTAGTAGAGACAGGATTTCACCATGTTGGCCGGGATGGTCTCAATCTCCTGACCTTGTGATCCACCCGCCTCGGCCTCCCAAAGTGCTGGGATTACAGGCGTGGGTGCCCGACATAGCTAGGGCTCTTAATACAGAACCAGAAAGGCCATGGATAACCTGTCTAACCTTGTGGATAGGATGGCCGAGGGGACACTTGTCATTCTTGGCAGGTCAGCATCTATTTCCTCTTGGTAACAGCCCCCTAGTTTCTTTTTGGGGACCCACGGCTCCATCATAGTATACGGCTCTATGGCTGGGTCATTCCTGCTGCCGACTTCCCACTCTGGTCCTTAAAGGAGCTAGATCCTCCCTCTCCCCGCAAGACCCAGGAGGATGCTGGTGAGGATGCCCTTTCACTGTGGATCTTGAATAAATAACACGGGCATATAAGGGAATGGGAAGGCTGCCGATGGCCAGGAAGGCACCTGTGCATAGGTGACAGTGTCCTATACAGGTATTAAATGATGCTGTCACCTGTCCAGGTGAGAGGCAGCCTCTTCCTCCTCGTCAGCATCCTGAACCTCCCTTAGTCCTTTCATATCTTGTCGATTTCAGGGCCTCCAAATCCTTCCTGGTTGTCTTCAGCTGCCTTCCCAGAGTCAGGTCTGTGGCTTGCCCCTATCTGCAGTGGATGGACAGTGTTTATGGGCTCATGATCAGAAGACAGTGAAAAGGCCACAAGGAACGGAAAAGCAAAGTGGACACGAAGACAGGTGCATGCTCGGATGGCCTGGGCTTGCCCCTGGAGTTCCGTTCCGCGGGGCCTCTGATTGGCCGCCCTCCTTGCCTGGAAACACCACCAGCTAGCCGAATCCCTTCCCTGGGGAGGTGTAAGGACCATCACACGGGCTTCCGAGGAAGATGCCCAGGTTCAGATCCCAGCTCTGCCATTTACCAACTGAGCGATTTTAGAAAAGCCACATCACTTCTCTTTTCCTCAGTTTTCTCATCTGTAAAATGGGAAAAATAATAGTACCTGCCTTCTAAGGTAGCTATGAGAATTACATGAATTAATACCCACACATTTCCCCAGCACAAAGTAAGCATTGTATAATAATTATTATTATTACACTGGTAAAATATTTGGGATGTGTCTGGTACATCTTTACCTTCAGTATATTTTATGATTCTGATTATTATCATCATCATGATCGCCACCATTACCATTAGCTCCAGGGCAAGGCCCGTGACGGTGTTGCTTTATTTGCATCACTGATCACTCATATATTTTGTTTTTTCCATCTCAACAGATTCCCTTGTCAGATGAGTCAGATGACTCATAACTCATTTCACAGAGAAAACATCAAGCCTGTCATTGTGTCTGGCTGCGCACACATTAAGAAGTGCTAAGCTTTTCTTTTTCTTGTTTTTCATAGACTCGGCTGGAGAATCACGCCTGGCATTCTCTGTAATTTGAATAAACCTGAAAGTGCACCGGTAGAAAAGTAGATTTTTAGATACTTTGTGTCTCTCATCTCACTTGATTCTCAGACAGACTGCGCGAAGCAGGCACCGTCACTCTCCACGGGATGATACCGAAGCCTGGAGCCTTTTGTTTGTAGCCCAAGGTCGTTTAGCCAGGAAATAGCAACGCTGGGACGTAAAGTGCCTTTGTTAGACTCCCCAGAAGAGGTCCCAAATCCACGGCCCGTGGCGCTGAATACAAACTGCAGATGTGTTTTGCTTGGCTCATACGGTGTTTAAAAACATGTCAGGCCAAGATTCGAAAACCAGGGTATTTTAAACGAAAACCCATTTCCAGCTTCTTTTGAAAAATGGGAAGAGCTGGCAGCCCCAGGCTTGTGTCATTCCGCGGAGCTGAGTCTCAGCTGCTCCATTCGCAGGGCCCGGTCCCCGCCACGCCCCGCGGTCTTCCTGGCACCAAAGCCGAGTATCCGCAGCTGTTCATCCTTGTGCTTCGGCCGCAGCTCCTCTTAGAAGAGAAGAAGCTTTCTTTATGTCCCTGTTTCTATCAACAACGAGAAAAAGAGATGCAGTTCGAGACAGCTAGGTGTTACCAGAAAAATGCGAGACAGCAAAGTTCTTTCTCTGTGGAAGGGAAGAGTATTCCTGCGTGTTTAATACGCAGACGGAGGGTGTCTGTGCAGAAACCACCATCCGGTTCCTTCATCTGTTTACGTTGCTTGCCTGCCCCTACGGGCATGTATGATTTTTCCTCTTATTGTGAATCCTTTAAATTAATTACTGACTCAGAGAGGTGGCTTTGCAAAAGGGCAAGGGTGGGAGAGGCATTTTACAGTGGATCAAATATGAGAACCCATGTCCTATTAATATTCAAACACTGACCAGCTGCTGTGGCCAAGCATGAGCCCGTCAGAGCCCGCTCGTAAGAACCGAAGCTGGCGGCTGAAATCTGGCACCACTGTGACAGGGCGGACGGAGTGGAGATCATCCCCGATGGCGATGGCGGTGGCGAAGGCTTTACAGAAACTCTGCGACCGGCCCACGGCCTGCCTTGGTGTCTTCACAGGTGGCTCATCTGTTAGCCCCGATGAGTTTTGGGCGAGTCTTGGCGTGGAGATCATACTGGGTATGGCCTGCTTTGGTCAGAAGAACCAAACAGGTTCTACTGCGCAGCAGTCTGTCGTTTTAGGTTGGTTTTCTTTCCCAGGAGTCCCGTGATGCAAGCTGACGTGTGGCCTCCCTGGACTCAGCGGGTTTATCCTGCGACACTGCTTCATAGCAGTAACCCACAACTATCAGGAGCTTGAAACCAAAAGAATTTATGGTTGGGCTCAGTGCTCACGCCTGTCATCCCAGTAGTTTGGGAGGCCGAGGCGGGCAGATCATTTGAGTTCAGGAGTTTGAGACCAGCCTGACCAACATGGTGAAGCCCCGTCTCTACTAAAAACACAAAAATAGCTGGACGTGGTGGCGCACACCTGTAATCCCAGGTACTCAGGAGGCTGAGGCAGGAGAATCGCTTGAACCCAGGACACAGTGAGCCGAGATCACGCCATGCACTCCGGCTAGGTGACAGAGCAAGACTCTGTCTCAAAAACAAAACAAAACACCAAAAAGAATTTATTTCTTGCTCACAGCTCTGTGGGTTGGCTGCACTTGAGCTGGCTTGGTTTCAGACCCTGAGGGGCTTATCAAGCTGAAACAGGCCCAGAACCCACACTGAAGGAGCAGCCACTCCCTGGGGGGGGTGGGATAGCGCACTGTCCTGGTGCCTGCATTCCATCCGCCAAGGTCCATCCCCTGGGCAGTCCAGGGGCAATGGAGTGGGAGGTGCATTCTACCCACGGAGAAGCCAGGGAGGGGGAGAGGGCTGGAGGAGCTGGGATCCAGTTATATAATCCACCACACACCCTTTCAAGGCAGGAATCAGAGGAAGACAGAATCAGCTCCGGACCCTGGGGGACACACATAGCTCTGTCTCCATCGAAGGCTGTCCAGCCTCCACCTTGGCTCCCTCTCTCACTCCTCACACCTCTTGTTGGCCATGGCTGTAGTGCCAGGGCACCCCGAGCCTGTGCAGGCATCTTTCAGCAGACGGGCACTAACACATAGCGGCTAAGCGCATAAATGCTGGGTGCTGGGTTCAAATCCCAGGTTATCTGGGTGGTTTTGAGCAAGTTATTGGACCTCTCTGAGCGTTGGTATCTTTGTCTGTATAATGGGAATGATAACAGCATCTACCTCATAGTGTGTTTGCACAGATTAGATGAGTTGGTATGAGTAAAACACTTAGAACGGTGCCTAATGTATTGCCAGCACCATGGAAGTGCTGATGCTGTGCAAGCCAAGCCCCCTTCAAACTTATGTCTCAGTTTAAAATGTGGGTGTCCCACCCGAAGGCTCCCGAGAGATGGCTGGTCTCCCTTTCCAGGGATGTTACTGCACTACAGAGATTGCAAATTGGCAGGCCAGAGGCCAAAACCAACACGCACACAGCTTGTTTGGTCTGTCTAGGATTTGAGAAAAATTGGAATTCATTCATAACATTTAAAACTTCGAGACGTCCCAGATTCATTTAGAAAGACGGGAAGAGGTGGCCAGGTGCTGTGGCTCTCGCCTATAATCCCAGCACTTTGGGAGGATGAGGCAGACAGATCACGAGGTCAGGAGTTCAAGACCAGCCTGGCCAATATGGTGACACCCCATCTCTACTAAAACTACAAAAATTAGCCAGGTGTGGTGGCGCATGCCTGTAATCCCAGCTACTCGGGATGCTGAAGCAGGAGAATTGCTTGAACCCAGGAGGTAGAGGTTGCAGTGAGCCGAGGTCATGCCACTGCACTCCAGCCTTGGGCAACAGAGTGAGACTCCCTCTCACGAAAAAAAAAAAAAAAAAAAAAAAAAAAGGGAAAGAAAGATGGAAAGAGGCTCATGCCTGTAATCCCAGCACTTTGGGAGGCTGAGGTGGGAAGACTGCTTGAGGCCAGGACTTCAAGAAAAATGGGAAGATCCCACAAAACTGGGCCCTCCCATCCCATATGTGGAGACAGAGAAGCAGCTGCCTGTTTAGATGGGGCACTGCCCCCCTTTCACCCCCGCCCTCCCCGCTCCCTAGGCACGCTGGAGGGTAACACCTGGGATCTCCTGGGCTAAGGACAACACAATTCAGGTTAATTTCACCTGCCTCTCTTTACTTTTTAAAATGTGGCTGCTGGAAAATTTAGCATCATGTATGTGGCTCGCGTTGTGTTTCTGTCAGACAGGGCTGGTCTCCAGTGACAGGTGACGCAGAGGTGGAGGGTGACTGGTGACAGGCTGGCTTCAGCTTAGGTCATTGGGGTGCGTGGTCTAGGGCATGTTAGGGGTCGTGTCTGAGCTCTACTGTTGACATCTGGAGAAAGGGCTCCTTATGACACACCTCGCAGGATTGCAGTGTTGATGAAGTGACTTTGATTTTAAGAGCCCGTCGCTGTGTAAACGCCAGCTCAGTCTAAGGGTGGCTGGGGTTCGTGGCACGAGAAGGACGTAACAGCGCCACCTGGCATCCTCTCTCTCCTTGGCTTGAGTTGTTACTGAATTCCTAATTTCTGATGGGTGAAATTAACCTGAATTGTGTGTTGCCCTTAGGCCGGGGGATCCCAGGTGTTACCCTCCAGCGTGCCTAGGGAGCGGGGAGGGCGGGGGTGAACGGGAAGCGGTGCCCCATCTAAACAGGCAGTCTAGCTATCTCCACATGTGGGATGCTCCCAGTTTTGTGGGATCTTCGCATTTATCTTGAACTCCCGGCTTCAAGCAATCTTCCCATCTCAGCCTCCCAAAGTTCTGGGATTACAGGCGTGAGCCTCTTCCCATCTTTCTAAGTGAATCCAGGACGTCTCGAAGTTTTAAATGTGATGCATCTCTTTACCACCCGGAGAGCTATTCGCAGAGAAGGTCTGAGCTGATGGAGGGATGGACGAGGTCTTGAGCACAGAAAGCTTCCCGCAGCAATATCGTCGAAGGACACAGGGGGGCAGCATCGCATCGCATCGCATCGCATCAGAGCTCCTGCCCGCACCGCTGCCGCTGCAGCCTCCTCCGCAGCGCCCCGCTCGCACCCCGCCACTCTCCTTGCCCTCTTTCCGGAGGCTTCCCTGCTTTGGCTTGACCTTGACCTGTCCTTGTCCTTCAAGGCACCATCCTCTTCCTTCTCTCTTTAATTTCCTCTCCCCTAATCCTGCCACTCCCAGCCCCCGTCCCAAGCAGTTTATTTCAGGACCAGCAGAGCCAAGGACACAAGGACCGTCTGTCAGAGTCTAGAACGCTCAAGATGATCTTCTACCCGCGTGCCCGTCCTGGCCCTGACCTCATGCACAGAAAGCCCGGTGTTTCCACGGAAGACTTCCCAGGCTGTAAATCACGTCCTAGTCTGACTTGCTCCGCCTTGAAGCCGACTGGAGAAAATGTCAAGTTTTGATACTTATTAATTTTTGCATAGTTT
The DNA here is from genome assembly GCF_000001405.40 of Homo sapiens. Classification (NCBI taxonomy): domain Eukaryota; kingdom Metazoa; phylum Chordata; class Mammalia; order Primates; family Hominidae; genus Homo; species Homo sapiens. The sequence continues at coordinate 130,013,673 of NC_000012.12, read as the reverse complement.
GCACCACAGCCAATCTTAGGAACTGACAGTGCTATGGAGTGTATAAGGGTAGTCGATTTTGCACGTTAACTTCGCGAGTCTGTGGTGCCTGGTTGTTGGCCCAATACTATTTAGATGTGAAGATATTTTGCAGATGTGATTAATATTTATAATCAGTTGACTTTAAGTAAAGGAGGTTACCCTTGTAATGTGAACGAGCCTCTCCCAATCTGTTAGAGAAGAAACGGAGGACAGACCACTTTAAACGCACGGGCATTAAAGGGATTTTTGTAGAAGTTTAGGATTTTACAAAATAAATTGTGCATGCACCGTTTGTTAGCGACTGCTGGAAAATTCACCTGTGCACCAGCCCTTTGTGTCTATTATGGGGCACAGAGGCAGCCCCTTGAGTGGGTATAGAAGGACAAGCTGCTGTAACAAACAGGCCCCTACGTTTTAAAGAAGAAATTCTGCCTCAAGATTATAACATAGAAATTCTGCCTGGGTTTTTAGCCTGCTGGCGTCCCCTGCAAGTCACCACTACAAGAAGGCCTCCACAGTCAGGAACCAGTTCCTTAAAATCTCTCTTCACTTAGCCATTTATCTCCGTCTATCATCTATTCATCAATTACCTATCCACCTGTCTATCTATCTACCTGTCTCTCGATCGATAGCTCTATCTAATCTACCTACCTATCCTACCTATACCTCTGTCTATTATCTATCTACCTATTCCTCTATCATCTATCTACCCACCTACCTATATATCTCTATCCGTCTATTATCTACCTACCTCCCTATACCTGTATCTGTTGATCCATCTATCTAATCTATCATCATTATCATTATATCTTTCTTCCCCCGAACACACACACACACTCACACACACTCTCACATACACTCTCACAACACACACTCACAAACTCAGACACACTCACGCTGTCACACTCACACACACTCACTCTCACACTCACACACTCGCTCTCACACACTCATACACTCTCACACATTCTCACACACACAGTCACACACACTGACACAAACACACACTTTCACATACACACACACACACATTCACACAAACTCACACACACATTCGCCGCCTGTGGGTTCTATTTCTCTGGAGAACCCTGCCTGATACAGGCGTCATGCCATGTTCCCAAGAGGAAGCCTGAGGCTGGAGGACCCTGAGCTTTGAGCCCACCGCTGCATGGTTCACTTCCTACAAAACTGCTCTCCCCCCTTGGAAGAGTACTTTCAAACAGGACGTATCACTTTAAACACACGGGCATGAGAGCGGTGTCTGTAGAAGTTGAGGGTTTTTATAAACCAATTGTGCATGTCCTGTTAGAGCCTGCTGGAAAACTCACCCATACAGGGGCCCTTTGTGTGTACTGTGGGACGCAGAGCAACCCTGGTGTGGGCACGGAGGGACCAGCTTCTGTAACCAACAGGCCCCTACGTTTCAAAGGCGCCTCACCATAGTCACGCGCTTTCCAACTCACATCCGCAGCACACACAGGGGCCCCTGGATGGCAAAGCTGGCAAGAGGAGAGAAAGTAGAGAAAAGACAGATTCCTAGATACCTCAGCCCATTTCACAGTAAGAGGGAAACACCAGTGGGGGCCAGGAAGAGGCACTGCCGGCGGGGCTCATGGTGGATGGGGCAGGACAGTTGTGTTAGACCTCAGCATTTCTGCCTTAGCCTCTACCCAATTTCTTTTCTTTAATGGGTTCTTCTTACACTTCTACCACAAAATTCCAGCCAAGGTGATACGGTTTGGCTCTGTGTCTCCACCCAAAGCTCCTGTTGAGTTGTAATCCCCTGTGTTAGCGGAGGGGCCTGCTGGCAGGTGATTGAATTAAAGGGGTGGACTTCTCCCCTGCTGTTCTCAATAGTGAGTGAGTGGTCATGAGAGACCTGCTTGTTTTAAAGTGGATGTTGCCTCCTCCTGCTCTCTCTTCCTCCTGCTCCAGACACGTAGGACGTGTTTGCTTCCCCTTCCTCCATGATGGTGAGTTTCCTGAGGCCTCCCCAGCCATGCAGAACTGTGAGTCAATCAAACCTCTTTCCTTTGTAAATTACCTGGTCTCAGGCCGTTCTTTACAGCAGCGTGAGAACAGAGTCATACAAGGGGGATTCTGCGTTCGTTACTGCGATTACTGTAACTAGAGCCAGCTTTCCAAACAGATCCATCCTTAAAAGTCCAGTGCTTAACCTGAGTGTGTGCACGGAGGGTGGGAGGTGGGAGTGAAGCATAGGAAGTCAGGAGGGGGCTTTCATCTTTTTCTTTTTATGCTTCTGGTTAGTTTGAACATTTTACCAATGTTTCTTCAATAATTACAAGGCACCAGTTCTGAATCATTTGGGGGAAGTATCTCCCATATCTTGGATCAATAGTTTGTTGATATGATTTAAATCCTGTAAAATATTTTACATAATAAGCAAAAGAATCAAGTGTGTCACATTCCTAAGGAAATGATGCCGAGGGGCCGTTGTGCAGCGTTGGGAGCTCATTGAGTAATTGTATGACACGGATAGAAATGTTCCGCTGTGGCTGGGCGCAGTGGTTCACGCCTGTAATCCCAGCACTTTGAGAGGCCGAGGCGGGCAGATCACCTGAGGTCAGGAGTTAGAGACCAGCCTGGCCAACATGGTGAAACCCTGTCTCTACTAAAAATACAAAATTAGCTGGGCGTGGTGGCATGTGCCTGTCATCCCAGCTACTGGGGAGGCTGAGGCAGGAGAATCGCCTGAACCTGGGAGGCGGAGTTTGTGAGCTGAGATCGGGCCACTGCACTCCAGCCTGGGCGACAGAGCGAGACTCCATCTCTAAATAAATAAACAAACAAACGAACTGTTCTGCTGCTTCCTAACAATGCTCAGGAAGGAGAAAGAGGTGCTCGTTCCCTCCTAACAATGCTCAGGAAGGAGAAAGAGGTGCTCGTTCCCTCCTAACAATGCTCAGGAAGGAGAAAGAGGTGCTCGTTCCCTCCTAACAATGCTCAGGAAGGAGAAAGAGGTGCTCGTTTCCTCCTGCCTCAGCTCTTGCCAGGCTGTCTCTACGTCCCCTGCTTTCTCCCTCATGCCCTCGCTTGGGCTTGACCTGGAAGCAGGGCAGATCAGCCGTGAGACGGCGTTTTAAGGTTCGCCTCTCCTCTCCTTTCCTTTAGAAAGAAAACCATTGGCTGGTGGCCTAAGCTTTTTTGGAGGAGAGAGATGAATATTGGTTTGCAGCCCATTTCTGCAAAGCCCTATTTATCTCACACAGATGCAGGAAGTTAAATTTTGATGATGCGCGTAGCTGTGAAGGAGGGTGTGGGAGATGATCCCCACTCCACGAAAAGGGAGAAAATGAAGCATTATTACCTCAAGAAAGGGCTCTGATTGGGCCGTCCTTGGAAGTCAGATGCTGCTGCCAAGTTATGGAAAACCTGGTGTTCAGGAGAGAGGAGGCACCGAGGCAGAGCTTCTCCAACTGCAGCTCCTTTGCACCTTGAAACAAATCCAACAGGCGGCAGCCCGCCCAGGCTTCAGGGGCGTGTGGGTGCAGGGCGAGGGCTGAGCAGACACCGGGGGGATGGTGGGGCTCTGCAGGGTGGGCACCCCCAGCACAGGCGCTGCGTGGTGGTGATGCCGGGGAGCCCGTTGCGAGCACCTCCAGGGTGAGGCGTGCAACCCCCGAATCCATCTCTGTATCCGTCATCACAGTGCTAATCACCCTTTCCTTTACAAATGCAGAAATTCAATGAAATCGAGTTGGAAAAAATACACAGCTCCATTAAATGACACAGAAAGCGGAAAAGGTCAGGAGTTGATGACTTGAGGCAACGCTGCCTATCGGGGCAGAAGTCTCTGCCATCTTCTTGAGCCCTTTGCCTCTGTTGGCTTCAGGGCAGGGCCGGCCTTTTCTGTGCCATGCCTGAGCAGATGAAAAGGCTGACTGGACCAGCCTGTCTCGTGCACACATCCCTGGAGCCCAGACATCTACACCTGAATCACAGCCTGAGCTTGGTGGATGTTGCTTCCTAAAGGAAAACCAGGGTGTGTGTTCTCCTGTATAAAATGGGGGTAGTAATTACAACGACAACACAGGATTTATCCTGAGCAGAACACCACTCCTGAGAGGCCAAGGGGGCATTCTTGTTAATCACAGGGAGACCACAGGTGTGCGGTGGGCAAACGGGAGGTCTGGCCCCCCTGACAATAATGGCACCTCATCCAGCAGAGGCTGTGGAGCTGAGGACCATGGTCCAGAGAGGGGGCTCAGCAAACTCGAGGAACGGAGGGAGGGCTCAAAAGCGCCTTTTGAGCAATGTTCTTTAGAACTTAGCCTGGAGGTGGGTGGTGGGTGCCAGAAAGGTGCTCCCAGCGCAGGCCGTGGGGTCCCTCAGATGTTCACATGCCTGAGAGCATTTTCAGTCCCAAGGCATCTCTAGAAACAACACTCCCGTGTCGCTCCTTGGTTTTCAGTCTCCAGCTGTCTCTAAGAGTGGCCCCCTGGTCTGGCTACGTGGCCACTGACCTGGAACGTTCCAGAGAAGGTTCATATTGCCATGTCTTAGTTTCTCCCCCTCCATCTGACTGAGTCGGGGGTAGAGGGGGTAATTGTACCAAAGGACTGCCGGGTTTGAATGTGGAGGACTCAACCCTCCAGGCGGAATCAGGACTCAGAGGTGCTGGTCTCTGGGCAGCGGGGTCCCTCCAGGGAAGGCCGAGGGTAGCCGCACCTGCTGCTATACCCACTGCTTGCCCACCCCAGCCCCTCTCGTGATGGGAACTGGGCAAAGGGACAAGGGGAGTTCTGGACTCCTGTCCTGCCGCGGGAGACACGGTGCAGCTCCAGGTGGTGGTGCTGGCCGGAGCTTAGTTCCTTTAGGACGTTTTTAAGAAAAAGCGATCATTTGACTGCTTGGTTATTGTTAGACCATTCCCATAGAAATAAAACGTGCTTCCTCAACTTTTCAAAGGCAGAGCAAATGCGGCTGCCTAGCTTCCCAGAACACTGTCCTTAAAGACACGTGGCTTCTCAATCTTCTGAAACAGAGTGCGGTTTTGAGGCACGAGGTAAGTGGTCCCCAAGGCCATGTTCTCTTCCCTGGCAGCTCTCAGCCAAAACCTCACTCCCTCCTGCCCGGCTTGCCTGCCCCCCTCCCTTTCCGGCAGCTGGAGGGGGTGGCCCTGGGAGGTCCCCTGCATTTCCTATGGTCTTCTCTGCAATCGTCCGCTCCGTCTCTCCTCCTCCAGCCTATGTGGTCTGAGACGCAGGGCCCGGCCCTTCCTGGTTCATATCACAGCTTAAACAGCTATTGAATGAATGAGTGGGGAAAATGGGCCTCATCAATGCATGTGACCAAGGCTGATGCATATGGACGGGAGAAATAGCCCTCCCAGGAGAGAAGGCAGTGGAGGTGGGGGCAGAAAATACGTTGAATCAGCCATTTGTTCTACTCACTGAGTAGACTTTGAATCAACCATTTGGTCTACTCAGACTCTGATGGGAAGAAAGAAGCGGGGATGGTGATGGTTATTAAGTGGTAAACCAACAAGACATGCCCTGGAGACATTCGTGCTTCATGCTTCATGCCTGCCTCCTGGTGCCTGTATTCTACCCTGGGCCCGCTCTGCAGCCATAGATTTGGGGGGCGATTGTGTGTGAGCACAGCCTGGCTCGGAGCCGCAAGCCTCCCACCAGGCACCTGCCAAGGCCCTTGCCCAGCACGGGGTATTCAGCCTGCTGCACCCACGTGCGATGTGGGGTGCGTCCCGGGAGTGAGGGGCGAGACACCCATGGTGGCCACTCAGCCAGCGGGGCGGGAGCTGCAGGAGAGATGCTCTGATACCCTGCCCTTGGTGCGGGCAGTGCTGGCAGGCATTCCACATGCTCCTGAGACGCTCCTGCAGAATCAAGACCTGTTGCTCAGAGCACGGCTAGGACCTGAGCGTCTGTGTCTCTCCAAGTTTGTGTGTTGAAATCCTGCCTTCCACGGTGATGGTGTTAGCAGGTGGAAACTTTGGGAGGTGATGAGGCCATGAGGGTGGAGCCTCATGCATGTGATTAGTGCCTGCATATAGGAATCCAGATTGAGATTAGTGCCTGCATATAGGGATTCAGAATGAGATCAGGGATCCAGAATGAGATCAGGAATCCAGAATGAGGTTAGCGCCTGCATACAGGAATCCAGAATGAGACTGGCGCCTGCATGTAGGAATCCAGATTGAGATTGGCACCTGCATGTAGGAATCCAGAATGAGATTGGCGCCTGCATATAGGAATCCAGATTGAGATTAGTGCCTGCATATAGGAATCCAGGGCTCCAATGTCAGCAGCAGGGTCCAGGTTCCCTCTCTCCATCCCCTGGCTTTGCTTTCCTTGGGGGAGAGGCCCTTCTCAGGGAGGTTCCGCCCCAACTCATGGCATCATCCAAGGTGGCTGCCAGCAGTCCCTGGGCCACCAGGCTTCCAGGAAGAGGTTCACATATAGGAAGGAAGCAGATCACGTCAATAAAGGCCCCGTCCCCCTATATCTAGTAAAAGTTTTGTTAGCTTTGTATTGTGTGGCGTTTGCTCCTGTGTGAACTGTGACCAGTCAGACGAATCCACTGCTTCTCTTAAGCCAGTCGTGGCTCAGTTCCGGCGCTGGAGATGGGTAGCCCCACAAAGCTGCATAGGGGAAAATGTGTAGCATTAGAAATGGAGACTGCGTGATGCTGCTTAAGAGACTGCTGGGGCATCAGCTGAAAATGGCTGCCACCCTCTGCGTAAAATCGTGCACCAGAGCTCTGCTGTGTCTATCATCTTAGCCTCCTGAAGAAGGGGAAGGACACAAAGACTGGAGGGAGGAGCTGGGTTTGGGGGATGAGCCAGAAGTGGCGGAGTAGAGAGAAGGCACTTCCAGGAATATTTCTGGGAGAGTGGGTGGGGAAGGTCTCCCCCTCCACCCTCAAGGGGAGGCTCCCCCTCTCAGCCTCAAGGCAGCAGAGAGCTGCCCCTCTGTTTGCTGCAGCGGCAGACAGGAGACGGGAAGGCCCCAGCGACCAGCCCTGATCACTGCATTTGATGAGCCGTTCCAGGTGAGCTTTGGAGAGTGGCTCTGGAGCTTCGATTGGAGAAGAGCATTCCTTAGCACCACTGGTACGGCTAACTTTCTGGTATTAAAAGCTTCTTACCTTTTCTTTTTGTGCAAAATACATGGAGATCTAAAATACTCAGCAAGTGCTCCATGTCCCACACAATTTTCTGACATACTGCTGCTTGCAAGGAGCTTTAAGGAGTCCCCTCTCTACCTTCTTGTTTTTGTTTTAATTGAGGTTACAAAAGGTCTCTCTGGTGGCCTTCAGCTGTCGGTCCCCCTCCTTGCTTCTAGCTATAGGCTCCCTGCCACTTCTGACAGCTCTGTCTGTTTCTGAAGGCCATGGACACTGGCAACTCAAGGGAACTTGGACCAGAGCCACCCACAGTCCAGAGCAGCAGATCTGGCTACCAAAGACCTACTGAGGACCCTCGAGGGTGGTGAGGCTTTGAGGATGAGGATGGGAACGCAAAGGTGGGGTGAGGCATCCCACCACCAAGTGGAGTTTGAGCCTGGAACAGCTAAAGCGATTAATAGAACCATGTCACCGAAAGACACCACCTCCTGGTGATAATTATGTGAAATCTGGATCCAGCCACTGTAATCTGGCCATCCCCTGGGCTTCACGGTTATCTGAGTTAATAAGTTAGCTTTTGGGTTAGGTGAGGCTGGGTTGGGTTTTGTCGGTTGAAATGGAAAGTGTCACATCTTGTAAGGTGAAGATGTGACATTTCCTCGGTGTAGGGAGAGCTGTCTCTGTACACTGTTCCTAACCGGGTGGACAGGTGCATCCTACAGGACTGTGGTGTCTCAAGGCCGTGGGCAGCAAACCCGCCTTGCAAGACATTGCCAGGTGCCCTGAGGTTCAGATGGGAACATTCTTTGCATAGACATTGAGACTATAATGGCAGAGGAATGACAAATCCCTGGGTCACTTGTACATTTCCAGATCCATAATAGTCCTTGAAAACACTTCAACTCATCAATTCTTCCTCAAGGGGGTTTTGAATAGAGCATGCAACACTACAAAGACAAGTTCTTAGCAGTGCCACAAAAACAGTTGACTAAGGGAAAAAGAATGATCTTACGTCAGCTATCTAAGAGTCTAAGACTGATTACAATATCAGGCTGCACCAAAATATTTGGAAGATAGAACATGGGAGGTAAGTCTAAGACTTGCCTTGTTTCTAGAAATAAGTTTCCAAACCCACCTGGAATTATCTTTATGTTCTACTCTTTCCAAATGCCATCAGTCTACTCGTAATAAAAACATCTAAAGTTGATGAAGCACCTCCAATATTTCGGATATTGGTCTACACAGATTATCTCATTTAATCTTCTGATTGGTCTACACAGATTATCTCATTTAATCTTCAAAATGGCTCCATGAGGCAAGGGTTATTCTTATTTCCTGTTACAAATAAGGAAACTGAGGCTTAGAAAATGGTTCTCTGCCAAGCCTTTTCTCGTCAAGTAAAAACACTATATAGCTTACGTGTAAGCCAGATTCAAAGACAGGGAGGCAAGGGCCAGTTTCCAGAAGAAAGGGGTTACTGTTCTTGGGCAAAGGGGATTGTTAAGGAGACAAAAACAAATATCCAACAACACTTTCTGCCAAGCAGACTGTTTTGTGGGTGGTGGATTATAGTGGAAAACAGTCGTCTGGTTTTCTGATATCCGTTTACTCTTCTCCAGGCCGGAGGGATTGATTTGCCTTGGCAAAGGTCACCCCTTCTCTCACTCAGCTCATGTGCTTCAGGTGGAGCTGAACCCAGCTCCTGTTCCAGAAGTGGTTATAAGATTCAGGCCTGATCAATCAGAGGATCACATTCCCCTAAGGATATTGGTTCAGGAGTGGTCATGTGACTCAGGCCTGATCAATCAAAGGATCTCATTCCCCTAAGGATATTGGCTCAAGAGTGGTCACGTGACATGGGCCTGATCAATCAGAGGATCACATTCCCCTAAGGATATTGGTTCAGGAGTGGTCATGTGACTCAGGCCTGATCAATCAAAGGATCTCATTCCCCTAAGGATATTGGCTCAGGAGTGGTCACATGACTCAGGCCTGATCAATCAGAGCTTCACATTCCCCTAAGGATATTGGTTCAGGAATGGTCACGTGACTCAGGCCGGATCAATCAAAGGATCTCATTCCCCTAAGGATATTGGCTCAAGAGTGGTCACGTGACACAGGCCTGATCAATCAGAGCTTCACATTCCCTTAAGGATATTGGTTCAGGAGTAGTCATGTGACTCAGGCCTGATCAATCAGCATCTCCTGCCCCTAAGGATATTGGTTCAGGGATAAGCATGTAATCAATTAGAACCTATGGGACTGAAAGAAGCTAAGTTGATTTTGTTGTTTTATTTACCTATTGCAAAAGAAACACTCCCTCACACTTTCCCCCAGGCTTGACCTGAATGGCATTTGGTTTGGAGCTGTTGGCTGCCATCTGCCCACCGTGTGGGATCTGGGGAAAAAGCTCATGTGGAGACAGGAACACTGAGTCCCTGAGACACTGTGGGTGTTCCTGGATCAAGCGGCTCCTGAAACCCATCTATCCCTCGAGTTTTCAAATAATTGACTCCTAGATAAGTTTGAGCTATTTTTAGCCATTATAACTAAAATAATTATGACAACGATTTAGTTATGGAGAGAGGTTTATAATTCAACTCACATTATTAAGCACCTGCTGCATGCCTGGCTCTGCACACATGTTATCACATGGAATTCATGCGATCATCCTGTGGCCTGTTTTGCTTGATTTTTCAACAGATGCGGGAATGGGGCTTACAGAGGTCAGGTTTTCCCATGTCCTCAGTCCCATTTTTCCCCATCCAAACCACTGTAGCTGCTATTTCCAGTCCTTAAAAGTCCTAGTTTTTTTCCTTCATTTTGAGATATCTTTCCAGAAATGTCTCCTTTATACTACACAGAATGACCCAGGCATATAAGAACAAAATAGGCATGTGAGTGTTGGAGGGGAGTTGGTGGTAAGGATGAAGCTTTCTCCAATCATTGATGTGAAGCAGTCCAGGGACGTGTTGTCATTCTAGCTATTTATGTAAAACAGTTTTCCAAGGAGGGGGGATTTGGACAATGCTCGTAGATCCCTCTCCATGTTTAAGCACAGTAATAAAACTCAGAGCAGCGGGCAAAGCAGGGCCTTGGGGGAAATTTTCTTTGTGGGACTGTAGGGGCAAACTGTGGAACTTCTTCTGACTGTTCCTGTAAATCGGCATGGTGCTGGGAGCTCAGGATGAACCAGATTCTCCCAACAGAATAAAGAATGCCCTTTCCTTTGAACATCATTTCATCATGAGGATTCCGGGTTCAACTGAAAAATGAATTTTCAGTGGCTGCAATTCTCCAAGCTTTGAGCTGCTGGGCACTGGTTTTCCAAGCAGCACCTGGAGCTCGGTCTCTTCTTTGCCATGAACCTCTGCCCAGGTTCGTTATTATGCTTTGATTGAACCGATAATACCCATTCCTGTCAGCAGAATGAGGCAATACACAGTGCTAAGAGGAATCTCCCAGCCTCACACCTCCCAAAGGAAAATACTGCAAGGAAACAGACCCCACTCTTGGAGAGTTCATTGGAGCAAGCTGCATGAAGGAACTGTGTCCAGAGGAGCAAGTAGAGTTAATGAATCCCAGAAGGACAAGGAGGCACCCACAGAGTAAAGGGGAGTGACCATCCCCCAGGCTGAAAGGGCTGGGGAGGCAGCCTATTTCTGGAGCCCAGTGACTGTGAGCTGCAGGAGATGGTGTGCTGAGAGAATGTGGCTGGCAGCAAGGGCGGGAGGAAAATACCTAATCTCTTTTTCCTCTGATCTATCAGCCTCATGTCAGGTACATCCATGGGCTAAACTTCCATTGAATGCAGCTTCCTGGGACCTGCAATAGGCAGAGGGGTAAAGAATGGGTCTAGAGGGATAAAGGGAGGCTGAGAAGCTGAGTTTATATCTGTGTCGGTGTCACCTGTCACTAGAGTCTGTTACGTCTGGAAGAATATGATGGTGCCATCTGTCACCTCAAAGCATGAACTTATTGTAACCGTTCACTGTCTTGGAGTCCAGACAGAAGACCTAAACTCTGGATAATGTATCCTTTTAGTCTATGAAGACAGACGTGGGTGGACTCTCTGACGTGTCTCTTCCAACCTTATTTGTATGCACACAATTTTAAAAAAATCAGTGTCATTCTTGAACTCTCTAAGAAATTTAGCAACATAAATTTTAACATTTAGTAATATCACTTTAACATTTAAGTGCTTCTGTCCAACTCTGCTAAAAGACAAAAAAAAATCTTCCTTCATTCAACGAAAATTTCCAAGATAGAAGGTGGCTGTAGTGTCCTGTGTGTGAGTCACTTGGCTAAACCAATCTTGTTCCTGTTTTCCTCGTCAGGATGGATATTTGACCAAGTTCATGTCCCAAACAATGAGACATGAGGGGATGCATGTGAGTGTCTGGGAAAGGTAGCCTCTCTCGTAAAAGGGTAAACAAGGAAGACATAGCTGCATCTTCTTCTGCCGATGGTGTTGTTTCTGGACATACACTGGAACTGCAGCCACTATGCTGTGTGACCATGGGGTCACTAAAATAAAGGGAGGATCAGGATGGCGGGTGGGAAAATGGAAAGAACACGAGTCCTTGATGATGCTACTGGGCTGTGAATTCACCAAGCATAGAGCCTGCGCTAGCAGTGAGCTTCTTATGATATGTGACAATACAGTTTCTTTTTATTCCCTAAGCCGTTTTTATCCCTGTTGCTTACAGCCAAAGTCATCCTACGTAGATAAGCCTCTTCTTGCCAATATGCATTGCTTCCCTTAGCATGCCTACATTTCTATATCATGCTAAAGAATTGTCTTTTTCAGGGGTGATGAGCACAGGAGTGGAGCTCTGTGACTTCTGGTATCTTTGCACTGGTCTTGAGCATTTCTGAGTCTTCTGTTAGAGGCAGACAATAATCTCAGTGGCAGATTAGGCGAATGTTGGCTTTGAGATGGGCAGTTCCTTGGGTCCATGATGTGCATTCCACGTGATTTCTGAAGTTCATAAACATATGGACACCAGGTCCTGATCAAGTATGATGTGGATCTGTGCTCTTCCAGCAGGAGCCTCCTAAGAGGAGGGTACATCTGAGGGCATCAGCTGTGAAAGGAAGACTCTGCCTCTGGAGCAGTTACTGACTCAGTTGAGAGATAATTTCTGGGTTTTCTTTCTTTTTCTTCAACCTTTATCTTGAGTTCAGGGCTACATGTGGAGGATGTGCAGGTTTATTACATAGGTAAACATGAGCCGTGGTGGTTTGCTGCCCAGATCATCCCATCACCAAGGTATGAAGCCCAACATCCATTAGCTTTTCTTCCTGATGCTCTCTCTCCCCCCACCACCCACCTCTGATGGGTCCCAGTGTGTGCTGTTCCCCCCAGTGTGTCCGTGTGTCCTCATCATTCAGCTCCTACTTATAAGTGAGAACATGTGGCGTTTGGTTTTCTGTGCCTGCATTAGTTTGCTGAGGATAATGGCTTCTAACTCCATCCGTGTTCCTGCAAAGGACATGATGTCATTCCATTTCATGGCTGCATGGTATTCCACGGTGTATATGTACCAGATTGTCTTTATCCAGTCTATCATTGATGAATCCCCAGTTTTTATGGATGGCAAATGCCAGCACTCTCTTCTGGTCTCTCACCTATTCCAGAGAACCAGTGTTGTCCCGGTTTGGAAAGGCAGCTTGTGGGAGGTGGGCTTCATGTCTCCCACATGCATCACGTAAGCAGAACGCAGATGATTCCTCCTTATTATTAACAGGGTGAGGATGGAAAGGAATGAGAGCAAGTGACCCACATGCCCCCACCACCCATGCATCACTCTTCGTGCTCAGGTCTTCTCGTCCTTTAGTTCTTAGGTTATATTTTCCAGAGAGGGCTCCTTGGAACCCAGGAACCAGACAATTCCTCTTACTCAATAGCTCCAAGTTAACCCCTCGCATCCCCTTCCTGACTCTCATCCTTCCTTTTGTTTTTATTTTCAGTTATTTATTTATTTCCTGTAGTTTAATTTCACTAAAGATAATGTCAAAGAGAACAGGCTAATTTCTCTAGGAAAAGGAAGAACGTCTCAGGTCACTATAAAAAAAAATCACAATTTTCTTCTGATTCAGCACCACTGCTATTATCAACTTTATGCCAGTTATCTATCAATTCAAGTAAAGTTTTATGAACCTTAAAATACGTAAGCACTCCTTGTGTTTTATAGAACAAAGCGTTATTGACATTTCAATATTTTATATGTAGAGGATAAATGCATATTGATAATTGTGGAGCTGTTCGAAATGATAGGGGGATGCAGATTGATTTTGGGTCCTATAAAAGACTATGGGCAAGGAGGTGGAGGGCGGTTTCCTAGGTAGGATGCTTGCACCAAGATGCTGCACAGAGTTTTGGTGAATTGAGCAAAATGTAAAAACAAGATGAGGTCCAGAGAATGATTAGCAGAGAAAGCAGATGCAGAAATCTCAATGAGGCTCTGCTAGGCAGAGATACAGAGTCCTAAGACCCACCTCTATCTTTTGGGAACCTGGTGACAAAGAAGTGGCTCTTTAATATCCCTGAGAGTGAGTCCTCTCTTTGTGTTTTTCTACCTATAGATCCAAAAGAGCACCCCAGAATTAAAGAACATAAAAAATGGAAGAAGGTTTAGAACTCACCTGGTTTAATTGTTCTCAACCCAAGTCATGCTGAGAAGGGCTGGGCAGGGGTGTTGGCATCAGAAATGCAAAAACTTCATTCCTGATTATTTTAAGTCCGAACTTTTAGGGCAGCATCCAGGAATCCGAATTTCAAAAAAACTCTCTGGGTCATTTTGATGCATATTCCCAAATAGGAATCTTTGATGAAGCCATTCTCTCCCTCCACTTTACAAGTAAAGAAGCAGAGGCCTTCTACAAGTCCTTTGACTTACATTTCTCTGAGTTTCATTGTGGAGACAGCAACTCACATCTCTATTCCTCGCCCTGACCTGGGTGAGGTCATATGACTAATTCTGTCCAATGAGATGTGGGCAGAAGTGACGTAATCCATTCTAGGCCTGGCCCTTAATTTTCCCAAGTTCCCAAAGGAGACTTCCTTGTTGATTTGATTATCAGAATAAGGCCAGGCACGGTGGCTCACACCTGTAATCCCAGCACTTTGGGAGGCCGAGGCGGGCGGATCACGAGATCAGGAGATTGAGACCATCCTGGCTAACATAGTGAAACCCCGCCTCTACTAAAAATACAAAAAATTATCCGGGCGTGGTGAAGGGCGCCTGTAGTCCCAGCTACTGGGGAGGCTGAGGCAGGAGAATGGCGTGAGCCCGGGAGGCGGAGCTTGCAGTGAGCCGAGATTGCGCCACTGCACTCCAGCCTGGGCGACAGAGCCAGACTCCGTCTCAAAAAAAAAAAAAAAAAAAAAAAAAAATTTATTAGACTAGAAAAGCAATTAAAAAATGAATAACCAGGCCGGGCGCAGTTGCTCGTGACTGTAATCCCAGCACTTTAGGAAGCCGAGGTGGGTGGATAACCTGAGGTCAGGAGTTCAAGACCAGCCTGGCTAACCTGGTGAAACCCCTTCTCTATGAAAAATACAAAAATTAGCTGGACGTGGTGGTGGGCGCCTGTAATCCCAGCTACTCGGGAGGCTGAGGCAGGAGAATCGCTTGAACCTGGGAGGCAGAGGTTGCAGTGAGACAAAATTGCGCCATTGCACTCCACCCTGGGTGACAGAGTGAGTCTCCCATCTCAAAAAAAAAAAAGAAAAGAAAAAAAAAGTGAATAACCTCAGTATGGATTCAATGTTATATCTGTTATAAAAAATATTTAAAACTTAATAGGCAAAAATTAACTCTTAGGTGTTCCTCTGTGGTTGGCTTTCTATTGACTGAACTATTTTAAAACTGTAGAAGTTCACTTAGAGAATACAGCAGTGCATGTGATTCTTATCTGAGAGCAACACAAATGTTTCCTCTCTGCAGTAATGCAAATCGATGTTGCTCATTGTAGATGCAATTGATTTCCATGCTTTAAAACATTTTACAAGTTTTTCCAATTATTTCTATCATTGCTACTGAAAACTTGGGAGCAATGTGTTCCACAGGGAACAGCTTGGATCCTTGAGTCACAACTGGAGAACCTCTGCCCTTGTGAACTGGTGGCTTGCATTTGACACTGATGTGAGCACAAAATAAACATTTATTGTAGCCACTGAGGTTTCAGGCTCATCTGCTGTAGTGGCTGGAGTTAATTACACTGAGATTGGTATTAAAGAGATTGGTATATATGGGGATTGGATGGTGGGTGTGTATTGAAAGACTATGGCTTGTGAAGTTCTCTCCTCAACTCTCTATGTAAGGACAGGTCTGGGCTGGTGAGATTAGAGAGATGTTCTCTGTTTAAACATGGGTCCTCATGTTTGAAATGTCACCACGGGAACTTCCTTGTGTGGGTTTCAATGTTGTGCCTTGGGAGGAGTTGCAGATGGCGTGATCACAAAAGGGTGAATGAGCTTGTCAGATCTTAGACAATAGTAGACATGTAGGCTCTGCAGTCAGGCAGATTTGACTTCCAGTCCTGCCTCTCAACTTGCTAGTTTGTCTTATCACCTTCTCTCTGAGCCTGTTTCCTATCTGTCAATGGGGACAACACACATGCCTATCTCACAGGATTTCTATTAGAAGAAATTGAAACACGTTCACATGAAGCATCCTTAGCAAATGTTTGGCTATTGATTTTATTGATAATTCTTCAATGTGGCAAGGAGTCAAGAGACGCTGATCAATTTACACTTCTGCTTAGGTACAGCAAATTGGATGGGGTTCTTAGGAAATAGGAGGCCCTGAATGAAAGAAAGTTATGCATTCATTCATAATTATTTATGGAGTATTCATTCTGTACTAGCAGGAGCTATGGTTATAGAAGCTGAACAAAACACAGGTCTGGCCAAAATGAGCTGACCACTTGCTTAGGAAGGCAAACAAGATACCATCATTCCTGACCCAGAGCAGCAAAGAGTGTGCGCAAGTGTTATGTAAATTCCTACAAAGAATACCTTAGTTTGTATATGAATGTAGGTTGGGGCTGGTGGGAGGTTACCTTTGAGGTAGGTTTTATCAGTGAGTTCTGCCTAGGCTGTTGCAGAGATCGCCAAACAGAGAAACTAAACCTAAGTCACTTATTTCTCTCCACTGTAGCACTCTGAGCACCTGGCCCAGGGTTGGTAGGTGGCATTATGGTGTTAGGGAGGCACGATCCTTCCTTCCTCTGCTACCTCTGCACAGTAACGATGGCTCACCTTGCCTGTTACAGCTTACCGCTCCCTTCTTGGATGGAGTTTCCTGGAAATAGATACCAAGTTTGGGATACCGGCATAGGACATTCACCGGGGGTGTTCACGGGAAGAGCACCTGTAAGGCAGTGAAGGAAGCAAGGCTGCACAGAAATGAAAGTGAACTAAGATGCAGTTGCAGGAAGACCTGAGCTGATTTAGAGATGTCCCAAATTGGACAAGCAGGCTGGGTCTTTGTACATTGGCCAGTTGTTGGATGTGGGCTGGGTCTGTGGCTGTGGAGTGAGGCTGCTTGCCTAAGTGAAAGGCAATTCCCAGGGCAGGACTCCACTGTTCACTCTCTTCAAGCAGCCAGGAGGATAAATACTTCAGCCCAGAAGAGGAGATCTTGGTGGCACACCACAGCCCTTCTCTCTAATGACAAGACCCAGATGTTGCCCACAGGCCTTGCTCCTGAATACCGTTCGCCTTAACTCAGCATATGGCCACTGCTAATTGCAAAGGAGGTGGAAATAAATACTCTTGAGCGGAATAGCCATGTTCCCAGCTACACTTTAGGCTCCTTCTGCTAACAGAAGAAAGGAAGCATACATCTTGGGAATAGCCAGCAGTCTCTGTCCCCCGAACATTGGATGAGTTGGAGTCAGGCTGCAGGAAAAGGGAGAGAGCTTTGTTCTGGGTAGAGAAGCTGTCATATGTAAAAGGTAGCAAGATGAGGGAAAGCCTGATGCCTTCCATGGAGACTTGCTTGTATTTGAGCATTGAGGAGCATGAACTACTGTGGAAGACAGTCAAGTGGGCATGTGTGTCCTGAGGCCAACTTCAGCTTCCTATCACTTTTCATCAAGTATTGGCTTTGTCTTTGAGACCAGCCCGCCATCCCCATCTCTAGCTGTCTGGTTAATCTCTGCCCAATGAGTGCAGACTCAGTCTGCATTTATAGCCTCTAACCCACCAATACTTTCAGCCAAGAGACAAGTTAAGTCAGCTGGGGTGCATTACAGATAACCAACAGTTTGGCTGAAGCTTTTAATTCCAGACTCCAGCTCTGGCATCTGGATTTCTCAATGGTCCCAGGATGAGATGTTTCCATCTGGGAGATCAGTGGTCACATGGGGC
The DNA here is from genome assembly GCF_000001405.40 of Homo sapiens. Lineage (NCBI taxonomy): Eukaryota > Metazoa > Chordata > Mammalia > Primates > Hominidae > Homo > Homo sapiens. Next base: position 129,996,164 of record NC_000012.12, on the reverse strand, counting down.
AGCTAGAATTCAAATGCACAAACATCCTCACAGGAAGAATAACTTGACTTTCTCCAGCACACATCAGCCTACACAAAGACCTGTGAATCCAAAGGAAGGCAGTGAGAAGTCTCACTGTGTGTGTGTGATGCAAGCACCTGCCTGAATTGCACACATGCAGTTCTGAAGAGCATACATGTTCTCCACTTGAATCATCCCTGTGAAACAGTGTCATTGGGTTTTTTACATTTTTTTCTTATTGATTTGTAGGAGATCTTTATATATGGAATACTTAGCCTTGTTTCTGTATTTTTGAACTGTAAAATTTCTCCAATTTTTTCATTTGCCTTTTGATATGGCTTATATCATCAAATTCATTTGTCTAACCTAGAAAGGCCATTTCTACCTTGAGAGCATAGAATAACCCTTTCAGGCAGTTTCATTTATTTGCCATATGGAGACAACACCCTTATTGAATAATATATATTTTAAGCATCATTGTTGATTTGGCTTCTAGGAATAAAGATTTGTGCCTTTGTGAGCCAGGGAAGGGAACAGAAACCTTGAATCCTGAATGCTGTTCAATTAAAATTATACTAAGTGTTTGGGCTGGTCGGGTTGAAAACATGAATATCTTAAATGTTATTTTTATTTATAGCAGTTACACCATCAAAGGAGAAATTGGCAAATTAGAATTTAAACCAAATAATTTTGAAATGTAGGAGTAGAACATCCATACACTGACAAGAACAGATCAGGCAATGGGGATTATTTCAGCTGATAGTCCTCAGTCAGTAGCGTGTGGTGATAACTGTAGTGAATTCCAAAGATTATGTTCTCTGAAGGATGCAAGGATTTCTCAGTTGCAGCCAATGGTTGCCAAGTGGAAGAGCCCAGGGTGGTTCAATATGCCAATTTTCAAGAGAAATTAGGACATTGATATGAAATCTCTCACTTTAAAAATGTTGCAGTGATTTAAACAACAACAACAACAACAACAGGGTGGCCACATTCTGTGCAGCAAATAAAATATGTTTGTGAGCTGGGAATGGTCTTTGGGTACTTGTTTATGGATGGTGGGGACTTAAAAATATTTATGAGGGGAATGATATTTATGGGGAAAATTAAGCTTCAAGGTTTTCCCCCTTCTCTGCTTCAGTGATGATGGTGATGATGGTAAAGATAGTGATGGTTATGATTATGATGATGATGGTAATGGTGATGATGATGGTCATGGTGATGAAGATGGTGATGGCGATAACGATCGTGATGATGGTGATGGTAGTGATGACGATGGTGGTGATGATGATGGTGATGATGGTGGTAATGGTGACGAAGATGGTAATGGTAATGATGATGATGGTGATGATGATGATAGTGACGATGTTAATGATGATGATGGTGGTGATGATAGTGATGATGGTGAGGGAGATGATGATGAACCTCAGCTCCCAACCTTTTGCTGGTGGCTGCACTGACCATCACCGAATGCTTCAGACACCTACTCTTCCGCCTCCATACACATTCTTCAGATCCTCAGGACAATGAGGATAATTCTGATCTGATATATCCACCCATAGGTCAAAGTTTGAATCCTGAAGCCATTGAGAGCACAATTCTTGTTGAGTAAGCAGCCCCACTTGGGGTTAGATCAGATACGTTTTAGACTATGACCACCAGTGAGCCCAGAAAACCCCCTTTGTAGGCAAGAATTTGCTTCTAGGATGCAGGGTTGGAAAGAGCCCTACTATATCCATGCAGATATTCAGAAAATGGTTACGCATTTTGCAAATTACAAATTTTCAAACAGTTTTTATATCCTCTGCTTCCAAGGTGAAGAAGAAATGGAGGATTGGTGAAATTCTTAGGGTCAGAGAAATAGTAAATGGGAAAAAGTAGTTCTAGAGCCCAATCCTCCATAACCTTAGTCCAAGTCGGTTTTTGTGATACCATACTACCTACTTGTCTTCTTTGCAACCATCCTTCAAAACTATTTTCTGAATAACTGCATGGATATAATAGGGTTCTTTCCAATCCTGGATCCTAGAAGCAAATTCTTCCCTACAAAGGGGGTTTTCTGGGCTCATTGGTGGTCATTGTCTAAAGCATGTCTGATCTAACCCTGAGGGGGGCTGGGTACTCATGAAGAACTGAGCTTTCAATGGCTTCAGGATTCAAACTTCAAACTGGGACCATCCCACATGCAGGAAAAGCTTTTCTGACATGTACATGTGGGTTTTCATTGCAGGTTTTTGAAAAAGTAGGAAACTTACACATTTCTATGGTTACCTGTACTTCTTTTAACACGGCACTTTTCATTTTATTGTTTCTAATCCGAATCAAAATGTTAAGGTCCGACAGAACTCAAAGACTCTGACAATCTAAATGCCAGCAGTGACAAATGGCTCTTGGGTTCCATGGTGTTTCCAGTGCATCTGTCAAATGCCATTATGCTTTTATAATGGCTGGGAATATTCATCTTTTGGAGGAACAGTGCAATCATTCTAGCCTCTGAATTATGAAAAATGACAATTTCTCTCTTATGAATTGTCATCTTATGCTGTGACACACACAGCCACATGGCTGACTAATTTTATAAAACAAGCAAATCATACGAAAAAAGCTGCACTCCTATTTTCTAGGCTGCCCTCCTCTGAGGATTTGCAGTCTGTCACAGTGAGATTAATTTATGTGGCCAGGCTGGTTGCAATCCTGATTGGGAGGATAGAGGCATTTATGTTTGGAGGGCAGCTTGTACCTGCTATAGAAAGGGATGGACAACCATGATTTTGAGAACCTGAGCCTTGTACTCTCTAGCCAGGATGTAGACCCAAGTCTTCTGGGTTGCTGACTTTTCCAGTCCCGGATTCTAAGAACATTAGTTGGCTTTACTGGATGAAAATCAATGATTTAGAATTAGTCCTTGGAGACATTCAGAGCATGAATCAATTCAAAATGGGAGTTTTCTGGCCACAAATTGGTATAAAAATAATATAGTTTTTTTTCTAACTATTTTCTGCCTTCCCTGTGGGAAGATCCATCCCTGCCTCACTGATGACAAGCATTGGCATGTGAATTTCTTTGACCAATGAAACCTGAACAGACGTAGGTATACCACGTGCAAGGAGGCATTGAGAACCATGCTGTGGCTCTACCCTGCTCCCTTCAAAAGGCTGCTTTTTTGGTCCGAGCCCCAGAGTGAAGAACACTGAGGAAGGGCTGTTGCTGACTCTTGAGGGATGTGTCCTATGAAAGAGAAACTCATATCCGTTAATCAGATTTTGGTGCTATTTGTTAGTGCATCATAACCTAGCTTTAGCTGACTGGTACAAAGTCCCATAGCTCTGCAGTCATGCTTCCTAACAACAAAAATAACCAGATGTGTGATAGAGGTGAAGGCTTCTCTTCCTGATCACTGGCTGTGATTCGAAAGTGAGAGTTTGACTTACCCTTTACCTCATTATTTTCTATTTTCCTCAGTTTATAGGACCTGCATATAGTCTGGGAAGAGAGAAGGTGAGATGAACTCTTCAACGTTGTCTACAATCCTCTTCTTCAGCAAGTAGATCTCAGTTTGAAACTCAAAAACTAAGAATGTAAGTATGTGTGTGTGTGTATATATATATATACACACACACACATGCATATATGTATATACTAAAATAAGTGTGTATTATTTCTATAATTATTTTCTAGTCAGATAGTTTTGTGTTATAAGACAATAATAAATCCCAGTAGAATGGGTAGGAAACATATTTGCTGAGTTGTCCCATCCTGGGTTCTTTGTCTCAAAGACAAACAGCTTGAGTTTGTATTGTTTCAGTGCTTCTGCTGCAAGCCATGGGGTTCCAGTCTTGCAATGTGTTTCTCTGATTCAGCTCTAAAGGATGGAAATAGACATACGTTATGCTGTCATCACTCTCATCAGGATCCCAGTCATGGGCATCTTCATTCTTATCCTCACCAGCCCAGTCTTCAGAGGGAAGTACTTGAACTCCTCATCTTCCCCCAGGAAACTCGAGTCTCCTGGCAGCTTTTTCTCTGACATCTTAGTGCTCTACCTAAACTACCTTGGCCAGAGGAGGAAGAGGGGCTCTCATTTTTTCTCTCAGCAGCTACCACCATGGATGCTGAATCTGAGGATGGAGCCAGAATCTCTTCTGTCATTTAAAATGCTCAGAAAAAATAAACTGTTAAAGAAGAAACAAAAGCTAGCCATGTGTCTCTGTTATTTGTTTCTGTTGTAATACTCCACCCTACCTAAGGTGATCGATGACTTATTTTCACTCTCTGAAAACATGAGGGTCTCAGTATAAACAAGGAAAAAAAAATCAAAATATTATCCTCCATCAGAAACATCTACCAGCTATGCTGTCTACTCTTTTTACAATACAGCTCAGTTGAATGACAGCTGGAAATACAGTATACATTTATGTCTCCCTAAATATCTTGAAGTTAATGGTGACCTAGAACAGGAGTCAGTAAACTATGAACAGACCAAATCTGATCTGTTGCCTGTTTGTGTAAATAAAGTTTTATTGGCACTCAGCCATGCCCATTTGTTTAACTAATGTCTATGGCTGCTCTGGTGCCACAATGGCCAGATTGAATCCGTGTGACAGAGTCCATATGGCCATAAAGCCTAAGCTTTGACTTTCTGGCTCTTTACAGAAAAAGTTTGCTGACTCCTGCCTCAGAAGAAACTTCATTGGCTGGTGTTCTCTGTTTGGAGCAGAGTATAGCCACTAAGTGTCACGGAACATGATACACTGCACAGCCTCTGCCTTCAAATCAGCCAGCTCCCATTAGCTTGTGAGTTGCCACCTGTCACTGCAAGTATCAAAACTTCTCCATCATCTGTGCAACAAATAGGCTGAAAAGATGAGGCCAGAGCCAGCCATTGATTGGTTTATTAAGCCCTTCAGGAAGAAAGCACTTGGGATTTTCTATTCTCTCAGGAGCTTCATGATTTCTGTGAAGCTTTTTATCATTACCTGGATGACCTTTCCTAGGGTACCTATAAGGCTTCTCCTAATACGTTTTTCTCAAAACAATGATTAAAGAAAAATATTGTGGTTGCACAAAGACGGTTATATCAGTAGCTTCTTCTTCAGTGGGAAAAGGGGAAGTAGATAGGCAATGCAATGGAATTATGAGCCCAATGTGCTTAGGATCTTGTAAATGTTAACCAACATTATCCCCTCACCCAACATGGCAGCCCATACCCTCTCCTCACCTAACAAGTTGTCCATACCCTCTCCTCAGCCAGCATGACTGTCCATACTCTCCCTTCACCCAACATGGCCACTCATGTCTTCTCCTCAGCTAACATGGTTGTCCATACCCTTTCCTCACCTAACATGGCTACCCATACCCTCTTCCTCACCCAGCATGGCCACCCATGCCCTCTCCTCACTCAACATGGCATTTTTTTTTGCCCTCCCCCAAACCTGGGATGAGGTGGAGCCTCAGTGTCTTGACTTTATGTGTGTTTGAATGAAGAGGGTTTACCACCTCTACCTGCTGATAAAAAACCTTCACTAGAGGAGAATTGGGGTGTGCGTGTGTGTGTGTGCGTGCGTGCGTGTGCATGTGTTTAGGGTAGTGGAGAATGAAATTGATTTCTTACCTCTTCTTGTTTTGTGTAATTCTTTACCCAAATAATATGATTTTAGCTGCAGCACTTAAGGCACTCAAGGGCACCTCAGTGGTAGTCCAGGGGCTGCTTGGTGTTAGTGTCCTTAGGTGATATGCTTTGGAGAAGTTTGGGGGCAGGTGCTTGTGGTTGGAGGCAGGACATAGAGAGGGGACTCCAAACTGTTGTTCCCAACCAAACATCTGAATCAGGGGCTGAGAGCCTGAGGTTAGAGCCATGGCCCAGAAAGAAAAGATCAGCAGGGAGAGAAGGAAAAGCAGAAGAGGATCTGGGAGACTTCCAGGGACAGGAGGCAGCTTATTTGTGATCTTGGTAGTTCTGCATGCTGCTTGTAAAAGCAAATGAAAAGGCTTATTACTGACAAGTTTCTGAGGTCTGGTGAATCTTTAAGTAACAGCTTCAGAAAACAAAACAAAACAAAAAGATACAACACATGGGAAAGAAGCAACAATACCTATATATTTATCTTAATGGAACCTGGCATCTGTTTTTTAAAATAATAATTCATAAGGTTCATTTATAAATGCTCAATGAGAAATGGAACCATAAGCTTCACATCCAAGAGCCACAAGAAAAGATTCCTTTCTACCTAAATCTGCAGCTTCCAGAGAGAAGAGATGTTATAACTATCAGGACAGCTCTAGATCTTAAAAATGCACATGAGAACCATCTGTGTGTCTTGTGAATATAAGTCCAGATTTCATTGATTCTGGCACCTTGAAAAAAGTGCTGACTTCACAAAGACCTTTCCGCTTCTACCTCTAAATAAGCTGTGCCACTTGTACAGTTAGATCAGATCTGCTGATATCCCATAAACCACATTTACTGATCAGCACATTCTCTCAGTAGCAAAGCCATAGAATGTCAGTCCCAATGTAGACTCATAAGCCTAGGTTTGAACTGGTTAGATCATTGAACTGAGACATCCCAATGTGGCCACTTATGCTGTCTTAGTCTGTTCGTGTTGCTACAACAAAATACCAGAGATTGAGTAATTAATAAGCAATGGAAATTTATTTCTTATGGTTCTGGAGGCTGTGAAGTCCAAGATCAAGGCACCAGGCTTGGTGTCTGGTGAGGGCTGCTCTCTGCCTCCAAGATGGTGCCTTGTTGCTGCATCCTTACATGACAGAAGAGCGGAAGGGCAAAGGGCCTCACTAATTTCCCCCAGTCCTGCTATAAGTGCATTAATCTCATTTATAAAGGCTCCACCCTCATGACCTAGTCACCTCCCAAAGGCCCAATCTCTTGATACCATCATCTTGGGGTTTAAGTTGCAACATATGAAATTTGGAGGGACACATACATTCAAAGCATAGCATACATAATGGCTTCATAGCCATGACTGTTGAGCCCCTCTCCCTCCATTCTCCCCTGCTACCAAATGGTGCTGGAGACCAAGCCATCTCTTATCTCTGGACCCTGCTATGACCATTGTTCTAGCAGGGTCTAGAGAAAAGAGACTCTCTTGTTATACTTACTGGAGAACAAGTGTTATAGGTTTGAGGCATTTATGTTTGGAGGGCAGCTTGTACCTGGTACACAAAGGGGTGGGCAACCGAGATTTTGAGAGCCTGAGCCTTGTACTCTCTAACCAGGATGTAGACCCAAGTCTTCTGGGTTGCTGGCTTACATGTGGTCATAGGTTTGACCATTGTTCTCCAATTAGAGAATAACAATAACACAACAACAGCAACAAAAGGGAGCAAGCTTTAACTATGACATAGTTCTATCTCCCTGAAGTTTTCCTCAGCCAACCTTTTTGGAACCTGACTTCTATTTGGAAGGGGTATCTGCATTTGACATGAAGTCTGATGTTTGTACAGGTAGGACCTCATGATAAATATAGATTCTGAGAAGCTCTGAGTTAAATCAATGGCCCTCTCCAAGGTAATTAAAGTGAGTTTTTTAACGGACTAATCTTTTTCCCGAATTTATTTTCCTACTTTTGATTTCTCTTTTTTGAATTTCCGATTTTTATCTATTCTGTTTATGTTGTATGAAATATTGTTTAGTATATTGATCTTTTTTTCTTCTTGCTATCTTCTATCTTTTTATACTTGGCATTATTTTCCATCTGGATGATGGGGTCGGGGGTGTCTGTGCAACTGGCATTAATTCAAAGAAGAAATGTAGCGGCATAAAAAAGAGTTTGAACCTTAGAAGCTGGGCTCTAAGAGAAATTGAGGTATAAAATAAACACAATAAATGACATCCTGAGTTCCTTCTACCAAGACTAGAAAGTATTTCCCTGAAATAGAATGGGATAAAGGAGAAAAGAGCAAAGAGATGTGACAAGGGAGAGACGGCTTTGAGAACCACAGTCAACACCACTTCACAGGCAGGGCTACACACAGCCTCCCCAGGAAGCCCACTCTCTACCAGTCATCCACACAGCCATCACCCTTGCTGTCCTTCCTCCAATCCATCACTCAATGACCACTCCACAGCAATGGCATCAATCTGTCTCCTAACGACTCAAGTTACACTGTGGGCGAAACTTCCCCTGGCTGGTGCCAGGATGTAATTAAACTCTCAGGGAAGGAGGACGGGATCCTGGACATTTAGTGGGGAAGACGTTATGGAGGAAAGGAGAGTCCTGGACCTATAGTGGAGACACTTTACACTCTGCAGAGTGTAGCTGCAGAGAGGCAGGTATCATCACTAGAGGAGAGCAGGGTGTCACACCAAGGCAATCATCACTTCAGCCTCTACAGCTTGCATTTTAGCTGTATCCAATACTACCGTGAGGGGCAAAAAGTGGAATCAACCAATCAGCCACGATGCAATGTAGCATAAGTCTCAAACTAAAGCTTCTGGGTTGAATAATGAGACGTGGAGTTGTCTTTTATTTGGCCTGCACTGTATTTTCACATTTTTACATTCATTGTCAGCATTTTGAAACTATAAGGTCTTGTATAACAATTGTAACTTTTTGGCTTTGAAAAACATTGGAAGATCAGAGAACACTTGGCTGATGTCCCTGGGTGGTAACAGTGGACTGGAGCTGGGTCCAGAAAGCCCTTACAATTTTCTTTCATTATCATCCTAAACCTTTGAGTTTCTGCATTCAGGGATTTTCCTAGTCCCTATAGGCATTCAGGTTTGCTGTCATATAATCATTAGGGGAGAGATAAGCCCTGGCTCTGTTTTGATCACTATTATTGAACTAATTGCCTATTTTGCTAAATTCCAGGTGTTATCAATATAGCTAATTGCCTGTCATCTTGGTTCTAAATAAACTGATCAGTGTATTGGACCAGGACTGACAGTAATTCTATGAGAGTTTTCAGTCTTCTATTCTGCAGTCATTTTCATTCTTCCGCTTCTCACAATTCTGAGAGGTCAATGAAAATTCTTCTCCCCTCCCACTTTTTTTTCTTCCACATTTTATTTTCATCCCTATGAAATAGAGAAAGAGTGCTACACTGGACATCCAAATAGCCTCCATCTAGATCCAATAATTGCTACATTTTTGCCATGTTTACTTCTTTTCTTCCTCTCTCTCTCATTTCTTGCTGAAGTTGAGACACTTGAAAGTGACCTGAAGACATGAAGACACAGGGTGCCTTATCTCTTAATAGTTCAGAAACAGCTCCTAAAAATAGTAATGGATATTTTCCATGCATAACTGTAATACTACTATCACTGTTTACCAGAATAACAGTAATTCCATAATATCTTCTATTATCTAGTCTATATTTAAATTTCCCCAAATACCCCCAAAGAATCTCTTAGAGGGCTAAAAGTTGTCTTGAACTAATTCCCTATCCTCTCAATTTTTGTCATTTAAATTTATAAATGATTAGCCTGAGAACTGAACACACACTGCAAAGTTCTTCAAAACAATCTCAGCTCCTTCCCTCAGGTCAAGACTTGAAACCCCTGTTTTCCAGATGCAATTTCCGCATAGCAGTGTACTGCAAAACTCAGCACTTTAATTTTTTTTATTATGGCCATGGGATGTATGGGTCAGAAATTTGGACAGGGCTCCTTAAGGGTGGCTTTTCTCTACTGCCTGATGTCCTGGGTCTCAACTGGGAAGACTTCTGGCTAGGAACTGAAATTATCAAGTCATCTAAAGGCCCCTTCACTCTCATGTCTTTTGCCTAAGCTGGAAACACCTACACAGGGCTTCCCTACAGCATGGCAGCCTTAAGTCAGATGAGACTTGGGCATGAGAGCCAAGGGTGCCTTGGGGCTTTGATTATCAAATTGTCATGTCCTATATTTTCCATTCATTTGTTACCTTTTCAGAGAGGACCATTTTTCTTTTACCTCTGATAGAATTAAAGTCATCTTCCCATGAAGTCTGCCTATCTCCCATTTTATTTCCCCCTTCTTTGATGCACACTATCTTTTTAAAAAGCTCTTGTAAGTTCTGAATAGGGAAGCTAGCATTGATTTTTTTTCCACTTTCACCTGCTTCCATTTAACTGATGATGAGTGTCTTAGGTGTGAATAGAGTCTATGGCATCCCGATGTGACTCTATCCACCTATGAAACTGTGAGTCCTCTCAACTGCAACTCAAATGCAGAGGAATTTATTCATGCAAATATCCAATAGACAGTCTAAATACGTCCATGGATTCAGCCTTCTCTTCCCTCCCCCAACCATTTCTTAGAAGGCTATGCCGTGGGTAATTGGTAACAACAAAGCTTTCTACCATCATTAAAGTTGATTTGGTGTTAGCAGTCAGTGAGTTTTCCTGTGGGCAGATTTCTTAATAGGTTTCAAGATTTTGAAAGTAAACACATTAGCAAACTACAACTATTTGGGTGAGTGCATCTCCCACTGGTGATTAATAAAGAATTTCTGTGCATTACTTTTCTAAAGAGTTAGTGTTCTGGAATAGACAGCAGAGGCATAATTAAAGATGGTAGCATCACAGTCACTAATAACCTCAAGAGGAGTCTGCTGTTCTGTGTTCTCCATAATTGAGCTTGTAGTTAATGTTTGTGTGCCATTTGTCTGACAGTATTTCAGCTCATTGACTTCATGGAGTCTTCTAGATTTGTGGTTAACTTGCATATGCTGTAAGCTTTTGAGGGGGAAAAAAACACAATTCCACTGTGATCACATACATGGAGGGAAAATTTGCAGAGTACAGGTTAAGTATCTTTTATCCAAAATGCTTGGGGCTGGAAGTGTTTTGGGTTTTGGGATTAGGGATATTCAGCCTGTACTTGGTTTTGCTTTTTTCCAAATGAGTGATATTTCAAAGTGACCATGCCAAAAGTAGTCAAGGAAACTAAAGTGATAAGTAGTATTATGATTTTTAAATTGCTATATGATTGGTACTCTGGAGACATTCTAAAAGTTTGGGCCTTGGTGGTAGAAGTGAAGTAATTATTTCATGGAGTCTTTCAAAATAAACAGAAATGCAGCAAAATGCACAGAGAAAAGTATTTGTTTTCTGTGTCCTGCCTCTGACAAAATATAGGGACCACTGGGGAGAGAATGGTGTTAATGAAATCAAAATGAGATTAACCTAACTAAAAAGACACTTAGCAAAGATGACAGTAATGTTCAGCTTAGATATACTTTTATGTATTTAATTATTCATTAATGAATGCGGTCTTTAATTTACAGGGGGAGGAGGGAGACACCGGCCAATTCCAGTAACTAGAAGCTGGTTGGTCACTAAGCTGATATTTGTGTTTCTACCAAGTAATAGTAAGCTTAATTTCTATTTTCATTAGAATGTTTACAGAAAAGATTCCCCACACCATTATGAGTTGTGTTTAAATCACCAGCCTTCCTCCTGCAAAGGAAATAAATGCCAATTGAGTTTCTGCCTTAGAAGTTGTCTTTTTCTGTAGAACATGATTTCTTTAAAAACACAAAGGAAAAAAAATCGAAAAAAAGTGAGACTAGATTATTTTCTTTTTGGTTTTTTCTTTCTCCCCATTCTCCAAAGTCATTTTGAACCTCATCCAGCCATCCCCAAACTCTTCAGTGAAATTCCTGGGAAATCCTTAATGATTTAGATACTTTATTCTCTCTTCTGGGACTTCATTTAAAAATGTCCCAGGCCTCCTTTTCTGAATATTAGAGGGTCTCAGGGAATGAGCCAAACAAATTAGCTATCCTGGCTTCTAGTTGATATTGAGCTGAGGGCCAATTGTTGATCTCCCTTTGAAGATCCTGGCCTTCTACCATCTCCCACAGAGCGTGGGGGGCTGGCAGGAGGAGGAAATGTTTGCATCCGCTGGCTCTGGCCAAGCAGAATTCATGGGCCAGCCCCCTTTTCTTGGCTTCTAGAGCAATTGAGCTTCAGGCACATTTTCCGCCACTGCCCTCTTCTGCAGTATGTTCTTGAGGCTTTTGCACCTGCCCTCAGGGCTTCTTTCTTATTCAGGTGTGGCACGTGGTGCAAAAGACACCTATTTTTCCAAACACTTGCAGCTTTTTAAAACATACATATGCAGTGGCTCCTCAGATTTCGGCTATTATGAGCTTGAAAGCAACGTGCTGTTTAGATTCAAATTACCGAGAGAGGAATGTCTCACCAACTTCACACACACACATAAAAACACTTTTTTTTTTTTTTTTGCAATTTTCAGGATATTCAAAGAAAGGGAAAAAATGTGATGCTTGTGTGTGTGGTTTTTTTTTTCTTTTTTTTTTCCTCTTCATGACACGTTTCTCTCCCTTCCTCCTGTTTTGATTTCCGTCACTTAATTTCTTAAATTGGCTGAGCTAGGAGGAGTTTACAGGGACCAGATTTGGCAGTGGAGAACTGTTCTGCACTACAAAAGCAGAACCACTCCACTGAGCAAAATGACCACAGTAAGAAGAAAAATCTTCCTTTGCAAAAAATATTGCTCAGTGGGTCGGGGCTACTGGTTGGGGTGGAACCGAGCAGAGTTGTTTGTGGCCAGCAAGAGTCCAGCGACCCTTACATACCCAGGGGAGCTGCCCACACTCAGAACCATCGTATACTTAAGCAGTTATTTTCCCCAGCAGCTGGGCTTCTTTCTAATTAGCCACCTCGTGTCCAAGTCTGACCTCAATTTCAGCTCACCTGAGAAGATGAATAGGCTCCTTCACCCTCAGCTGATGGCTGGACCCAACCTTTGCGCCCATGATGGAGCACACTAGAAGCAGAGGCCAAGAAGCAGAACAAGGCTGGCTGGGCACAGAGGCCAGATATGCAGCCTCATTCATAATTGGCCAGGGACAAAACCGACTTGGCATTGCCTGTCGTCTCCAGACCTTGTGAAATAAATAACTCCAATGATAAAGCAGCACATTTTGCCAGTTGAGGGATTAACTCAGGAAGAGAGAAGAAGAAATGAGTGTCCAGCCCGACAGGGCTGTGGCGCCTGCCAAACTGACTCCTTTGGATTTTTGGTGGAGCGGAAGCCAGTGTGTAATTATTTTCTGAACCAAGCCCTAATAGAGCTGTCAGTAGATTTGTGGAAAGAATGACAGTAAGAATCTTTGTTCTGCAGGCTCTGCGGTGAAAGCCTTCTACAAGAGAAGAGTTCATGATTTACAGAAACAGCTAAAGAAAAATAATCTAAGAATTTGTGATCCATATGGTTTGCAATTTGTTAATCTTGGTATTCATTGAGGAAATGTAAGAAATTATTGTTCAGCTGTGGGTGCCTTTCTAGGTTTGGGGATTCAGCAGTGAACTAGGCTGCCTCCTCATGTAGGTTACCCCTCTGGAGCTACATGGACCAAGAGTGGGGTCCTGTTCCTGAAGGGGAGATGGAGGCTGAGAAGGGAGTAGCCAGTTGATGTGCATTACTGCAACATTATCTTTTTCTGTACCTGTTTCTCCCCATTCATTTGTGTCTTAATCTGCAGCCTCATTCTCAATTCCATTCCTATCTCCATCTTTAACTCATGGATAGTTTGAATATGCAATAAAGTAGCTATTTCATCTGATAGTTGGGTAGAAAAACAGCAACAGCAACAACAATAAACCAGGTTCCTGAAGACCTAACACTAGAGTACCCTCCTCCCCAGGGTATAAGACAATCCTGTGTCTATGCTGTTCCCTCTTCCTCCTTGCCTTTTCCTACAGCTTCCATCAGCACTATGCAAGTCATCAACTCACATTCAATCACTGTCCTTCCAGCCGGTAAAGCTACTGAACGTTTTTGTCTCTCACCCATAATTGAGCTACCATGGTGTGGTCAACTGATCCGCTCACATAGTGATAGATCGGTCCCATTTGCCTGTCTCCTGGGTTGTGTGGACAACCTATTTTTGCCCACATGTATCCATTCAATTTCTTTCGGTAGTAACACTCCAATTTATCTTTTGAAGAATGAGCTCTTCCTTAATGCATGTGGTCTTGTGTGGGGGACAGTTAGTCAAAGATCCTAGTACTCCCTCACCAAAAGTGAACCTAAAATTCATTCTAGTCTATCAGCTCTTTCTCAACTTTGAGTCTTTAGCAGAGTGTTGCAACAATGGAAAATAGACTCATTCCAGTGGCCACATCCTAAGAAGATGGCCGGTTGTTTCCTTAGCTCTTGTGCTCTTTGAAACTGTGTTCTTACGCTTTTTAACTATTCAGCTACTTTATCACCTATCTCAGGAGTTCCCAACCCCCTGGCTATGTACTGGTATTGGTCCATGGCCTGTTAGGAACTGGATTACACAGCGGGAGGTGAGTGGCAGGCAAATGAGCATTATTGCCTGAGCTTTTCCTCCTGTCAGATCAGTGGCAGCATTAAATTCTCATAGGAGCACGAACCCTACTGTGAACTGCACATGTGAGGGATCAAGGTTGTGTGCTCTTTGTGAGAATCTAACTGCCTCTGATGATCTGTCATTGTCTCCCATCACCCCTAGATGGGACCATCTAGTTGTAGGAAAACAAGCTCAGGGCTCCTACTGTTTCTACCTGATGGTGAGTTGTAAAATTATTTCATTATATATTACAATGTAGGAGTAATAGAAATAAAGTGCCCAATAAAAGTAATGTGCTTGAATTATCCCAAAACTATCCCTGTTGCCCTGATCCATGGAAAAACTATCTTCTATGAAACTGGTCCCTTGGTGCCAAAAAGGTTGGGGACCACTGTTCTATGTTCTCTCCTTGCTTAAGTTAGCCCAAATCAGTTTCTCTGGTTTACCACTGAAGAATGGATACAAGAGGTCTTCCCAGAGGACTATTGCGTCTTTCAGTCTTTGGTAGGAGTCACAAGTAGAGAATTGCTTAAAGTTTAGGAAAAGACAGACTCATGCACTGACTGACCAGTCATAGCACCATGAATGAACAAAAGTGAGTTAAGTATGACCATGCCTGCCCCTCGAGTTGGCTACACTCCTGCATGTGCTGGGATGCTGATAGCGTGGACTCCTAGGGCATCCTCTGGGTTCTGTTTTTAAATTTGGCTCTCACTGAGTCTTGTCCATCATGGATAGACTCAAGAGAAAGACACAATTGGATGGTCTCGGTTTCACTTGTTCCTCTCTTGGCTGGTTACAAGGTCATGGTCCTTCAAAACCACATACTTAGTGGCAAGAAAATACCTGCCATTCTGGTAGTTTTCAGAAATGGCTCATTCATGCATTCATTCAACATACATTCATTGAGCACCTATTGTTTACAGTCCAGACCTTTTTCTGAGCGTCTCACCTACAGTAAGGCTCTCATCACCATTTGATTGTTTAAAAATATGTTACATGAAATATATTAAAAACAATTTTTTTTCCTCCAAGACCTAATGTATAGGTCTTCTAGTGTTGCCATAACAAAATACCACAGACTGGGTGGCTTAAACACCAGAACTTTATTTTCTCACAGTTCTGGAGGCTGGACATCCAAGGTCAAGGTGTCAGCAGGTTTGGTTTCTCCCAAGGCCTCTCTCCGTGGCTTGCACGTGGCTGCCCTTTGCTGTGTCCTCACATGGTCTTTCCACTGTGCATGTGCACCCCGGGCATCTCTTCCTCTTATCAAGGCACTTGTCCTACCAGATTAGGGCCCCAACCTTATGACCTCACTTAACCTCAACTACTTCCTTACAGACCCTGTCTCCAAATGCAATCACATTGGGGATTATGGCCTTGGCACCTGAGTTTGGGTGGGAGATGGGACATGATTTAGGCCATCACCTGGCCCTCAACCATGGTTTTCCTACGTGGTAAATGGCACCTTAAGCCTCTTCATTGTCAAGGTGTTACTCAGGAGTTTTCTGTGATGCTTCCCTTCCCTGACACCAACAACCAAACTACCACAAGTCCCATAGGCTTTGTCTCAGAAATCTAACCCTAACTACCCAATTCTTTCCATCTTCACTGCTAACCACTCTCCCCTAAGTGCCCATCTCTCACCTGGGCAAATTCACCAGCCTCCTGATTCTATGAATGTTCCACACAATCCAGTTTTCACATAGAGCCAGAGTGGTTATTTGACCTTGAAACATAAATCATGTCTCTTTCTGCCATCCTTGCGGGGCAGCCCGTTTTAATTAGTCAAACGATCCGGCTCCTCACGATCCCCTGCATGACCCCACATGGATCTGGCTTCTCTCTGCCTCTGGATTTTACCTCTTTCACTCTCCAGTCTGTACACTAACATCTGTTCTGTCTCAGGACCCTTGTGTTTGCTGCCTCCTTTGTCTAGAAGGTTGTTTCCCCTATCTCTGCCCCCAACTTCTTTCTGTATCCCTCTTCCCTTTCATCCTCCAGGTGCCATGCTGGTCGGGGTACAATGGTGAACAAAATGGACACATTTATTTCTCAAGAGCTTGCAGTCTTATCAGTCTAGCATGAGAGAGCCAGTATCCAAATACACCTGCTGAAACCCACCACAACACAAACTGCCATGAAAGCTATGTGGAAAAGTACCAATATGTACCAGAGCCTATAACACAGGGAGCTGGTCCATTCTGTGTGGTTAGGGTAGATTTTCTGAGTAAGGAATGTTGGACTAGAGAACTGAAGAATGACTAAGAGTTAGCAAGACAGAGGAGGATATTCATTCAGGCACAAAGGAAAAATGAGACTGGTGACCCATCACTAGGAAAGAAGAAAGACAATGTTGAGGGTCATCGCATGATTTGAAGCTGGGGCTAAGGATTTGGGTGGTAATTTTAAAAGCAGTGGGGAGCGATGCATAGATTCTGAGCAGGGAATGGATGAGATCAGAAATTAATAATTCCAGGCAATTTAGACTTTTATGTAAGAATATGAATCATCAGAGATCTATCAAGCATAAGATCTGGAAGAACCTTTTACTGTCAGTTCATTTCACAGATGAGCAGGGTTATGCCCAAGGGGCCAGGTAGCTTATTAATGACAGAGTCAGGACACAGTCCTTTGAGAACCCTACACAAAGTGCATAGTCTTCCCACTGCACCATCTTGATTCAATTTTACTCAACACCAAGCAGGAAAGAAGACCTATTTAGCAATATGCTGATAATTATGTTAAATAATGATACATGGTATATTTATCTAAAATGCTGAAGAGAGTTCATATTAGTAGCTCCTTTGTAAATCTTTGGTTTATAGAGGTGAGTTTGATTTCTAATGCCTGGGAGTTTGGGTGACCTGTTGCAGAGTGTATTACACCAACACAACAGAGAGGTGATGTGTCACTGCTGTGAATTCTGCAGAGCAATCTCCAAAGAGTCATGTCCCACCTTGGCTGTGTGTAAAGCTCTTTCTTCATGCATCCATCATTCCTTCAAAATGTCCAAAAATCTAAATCCTGTGTTTTGTATTTGGCCAACTAAAAAATGTCCGTTTAACATTGGATTTTCTCAATTACCCCATTAAAAAGTAGGCAAAATCCACGAATAGACATTTCTCAAAAGAAGACATACAAATGGCCAACAAGCATATGAAAAAAATGCTCAACATCACTAATCATTTGAGAAATGCAAATTAAAACCCCATGAGATATCGTCTTATACCAGTCAGAATGGCTATCATTAAAAAGAAAAAATAACAGATGTTGGCAAAGATGCAGAGAAAAGGTAATGCTCATACACTGTTGGTGGGAATTAAAATTAATGCAACCTCTATGGAAAACAGTATAGAGCATTCTCAAAGAACTAAAAATAGAACTTTACCATTTGATCCAACAATCCCACTATTGAGCATCCACCCAAAGGAAAAAAATCATTACATAAAAAAGACACCTACACTTATATGTTTATCACAGCACTATCCACAATAGCAGAAACATGGAATCAACCTAAGTCTCCATCAGCAGATAACTGGATAAAGAAAATGTGGTATATATACACAATGGAATACTATCCAGTCATAGAAAGGAATAAAATCATGTCTTTTGCAGCAAAGTGAATGGAACTGAAGGTCATTATCCTAAGTGAAACAACTCAGAAAGGCAAATACCCCATGTTCTCACTTACATGTGGGAGCTAAAAAATGTGTACAGATGGACATAGAGAATAAAATAATAATCGTTGGAAACTTGGAAGGGTGCGGGGATGGAAGGAGAGTGAGGGATGAGAAATTACTTAATGATTACAAGATATATTATTCAGATGATAGATGCACTAAAAGCCCAAACTTCACCACTATGTAATATAGCCAGGTAACAAAATTATAATTGTGCCCCTTAAATTTATACCAAAAAATAGATTTTCTAGGATGATGGCACAGTGGGCAGGAAGATAATGTTGCAGGGCAGATTCTCAGGGCCATCAGAAGATTGCTGGCCACAGGGCTGGTCTCTGGCATTCACAGATACTTAGAAGAATGAGAAAATGAAAGGTGAAGAAAGTACTTATGAAAGATGCAAATTTCTCATTGTTCAGTTCCCACCTATGAGTGAGAACATGCGGTGTTTGGTTTTTTGTCCTTGCGATAGTTTGCTGAGAATGATGGAACATCACACACCGGGGCCTGTTGTCGGGTGGGGGGAGGGGGGAGGGATAGCATTAGGAGATACACCTAATGTAAATGACAAGTTAATGGGTGCAGCACACCAACATGGCACATGTATACATATGTAACAAACCTGCACATTGTGCACATGTACCCTAGAACTTAAAGTATAATAAAAAAAAATTTAAAAAAAGGTGCAAATTTGTACATCAAGATATAATCTCATCACATAGGCACAAAGCTCTTTCTTCCTTTTATGAGGCAACAAGATCTGTCATACCTAAAATTCCATTTCATCCAAGTTGTCAAATTTATGTGTGTAGAGTTGTCTGCAGTGTTTTCTCCTAATCCGTTCGATGTGTACAGAGTCTGTAGTTTTAGTCCCTGTTTTATTCCTGATATTGGTGATTTTTTCTTCTCCCTCTGTTTTCCCTGCCAGTTTTCCTAGAAGTTTGTTGCATTTATTGGTTGTTTCAAAGAACCAGCTCGTAGTTTCATTGATTTTCACTATCTTTTCTTTTTTTAATTTTAGTTTTGTTTTCCATTTCTTTTATTTCTACTCTATTATTTTCTTCTGCATGATGTAGGTTTACGCTGTTCTACTTTTTCTAGGCTATTGAAGTGGAAACTTAGATTACAGATTTTAGACTTTTTCTCTTCTGTAATGTAAAATATTAGTGCTGTAAATTGTATTCACAGCACTGCTTTAACTGCATGCCACACATTCTGATATGTTTATTTTCACTTCATTCCGTCCAATGTATTTTTTTGAGAGTCTTTGAGATTTTCTCAGTGTGTTTATTTTCAAGTGTGTAGAGAATTTCCCATTACCTTTCTGTTGTTGATTTCTAGTTTGATTCCACTGTGCTCCGAAAATGCAGCTAGTATAATTTCAATTCTTTGAAATTTGTTGAGGTGTGTTTTATGTCCCAGGAAATGGCCTATCTTGGTATTTGTTTGGTGGACACTTGGAAACAACGTGCGTTCTGCTGTTGTTTGGTGGTGTATCCTATAAATGTAAATTAGATCCAATTGGTTGATGATGTTGTTGAGTTCTTCTACATCTTTTCTGGTTTTCTGCCTAGTTTTTCAATCAGTTGTTTAGAGAGGTTGTTGAAGTCTCCAACTATAATTGTTGTTTTGTCTATTTCTCGTTTTAATTCTATTGGTTTTTGTTTTGCTTGTGTTGCAGCTGTGTTGTTTGAGGCATGAACATTTAGGATTACTCTATCTGCTTGGTGGATTGACTATTTTATCATTGTATAATGTCTCTCTCTGTCTCTTGAAAATTTCTTTTCCCCTGAGTCCACTTTATATGATATTAATATAGGCACACCTGCTTCCTTTTGATTAATGTTTCTTTAGCATATCATTTTTCATTCTTTATTTTCAACCTACTTATGTAGCTATATTTGAAATAAATTTCTTATAGACAGTGTATCATTGGGTCATTTAATAAATCAATTTTGTTAATTTGTCTTTATTTTTCATTTCAATAGCTTTTAGGGTACAAGTGATTTTTGGTTACATGTATGAATTACATAGTAGCAAATTCTGTGCGCCTGTCACCCGCGTAGTGTTTGCTGTACCCAATATGTAATTTTTTAATCCCATACTCCAATCTCACTCTCCCCACCTTCTGAGTCTCCAAAGTCCATCATATCAATTTGTATGCCTTTGAATACTCATCTGCTAACTCATCTTTTACTGATATTAAGGTTTAAGTCTTTCATTTTATTTTTTGTTTTCTGTTTGTAATTTCTGTTTTTTGTTTGTTTCTCTTGTCTCCTTTTTACTGACTCCCTGTGAATTACTTGACTATTTTTTAGAATTCTGTTTTGATTTCTCTATAGTGTTTTTGAGTGTATTGCACAGTGTAGACCTTAGCAGTTGCTCCAGGTATTTTATTTTATACATATAACTTGCCACAGTCTACTGGTTTTACCCATTCAAGTCATCCTTACTTCCCTTCATGTTCTTCATGTCCTTTACCCTCCCACATTCATACATGATTATCTTAAATATTTCCTCTACATGCGGTGAGAACCATGTCAGTGTTATAATTTTTGCTTCATATCTCGAATATAATTTAGAAAACTGAGGAGAACGAAAGCCTATTATACATACCCATTTTTTCTTCTTTCCATTGTTCTTTCTTTGTCTCTGATATTCCAAGATCTCTTCTGTTATCACTTTCTGTTAAGATAACTTCCATTAGTCGTTCTTTTGGGACACCTTTGCTGACAACAGATTCACTTAGTTCTGCACCCTCTGCTAGTGTCTTGATTTTCCTTCATTTCTGAAAGATATTTTAAATGGATAGAGAATCCTGAGTCGACAGTTCTTTTCTTTCAGCCTTTGAAAAAGGTTTTGCTACTTTCTTCTGGCCTCCAAGGTTTCTAGTGAGAAATCTTCTTTTATTGAAATTGTTTCCTCCCTATATATAAGGTATTGTTTCTCTCTCACTGCTTTCTAGATTTTTTTCTCTTTCATTTTCAGAAGTTTGGCTATACTGCATTTTGGGATGAAATTCTTTAGATTGTCCTGTTTGGGGTCAACTGAGTCTTGAACCTGTTGGTTTATGTTTTGTTGTTTTTTTTTTTGTTTTTTGTTTTTTTTGCCAAATTTGGGGGCCTTTTAAGCCATTTTTTCTTAAAGTACCTTTTCAACCTCACCATTTTTCTTTTCCCCTCTGAGACTCCAAAGACATAAATGTTAAATCTATTGGTATAGTCCCAGTGTGTCTCTGGGTCTCACATTAAAAAAAATTAGTCTATTTTCTCTCTGAACAGGTTGAGCAATTTCTGCTGTTCTGTCTTATATAACAGTTAATTGCTTGTTTCCTCTGTCACCTCTATTTTGCTGTTGAGCCTATTCATTGAGCTGTTTATTTCAGTTCTTTTTAAGTTCTGTAATTTCTATTTGGTTCTCTTTGTATCTTCTACTTATTTGCTGTTTATTTTCTATTTCTTTGCTGAAGTTTCTATTTCTCATTTGCTTCAAGTGTGCTTTGAATCACTTATTGAAGTAATTTCAGGATGGCTGTTTTAAAATCCTAGCCACATAATTCTGTGTGTCATCTACATGTTGGCATCAATTAGTTGCTTTTTCTCGTTCGAGTTGATAGTTCCCTGATTCTTAGTATAATGAAGGACTTTAAAAATTCAAACCTGCTCACTTTAAGCATTATGCTACAGCACTCTGGATATTATTTTAATCTTGTTTCAGCAGCTTTCTCTGATGTCATTCTGGTTGGAGGGATGGAGGAGAACAATGCTGCCTCATTTCTATCCAGGTTCCTCACCCTGTCTCCTTTGACCCCTGGGGAGAGGGGCTCCTCATTGCTGCTGGGTGAGGGTGGGAGTTCAGACTCTCTGAACTCTCAGGGCTCCACTGACAGCACCACGCTCACTGGAAGGGGATAGTGGGCCTTGTTGCTGCTCCTCATCTGTCCCCCACTGACACACAGGAAGGTTGGTCTCCTTCACCGTGACTAGTGGAGAAGGTCAAGTCTCAATCTTGACTGGCAGTGGTAGAATGGGTCATCATTTTTTCTGTGGTATGTGGCTGAAGCAGCATAATTATCTAAAACTTTTCTGTCTGGCTAGTCTGTTTCTTTCCTTATGTTTGAGATAAAAAGAGCAGACTTAGGGCCTTTTTCATCTGCATCCATTGGTGTTTCTGAAGCATCAGCATCTCTAGCACTCAATTTAGATTACATGAGGCAAAAATAAAACCAGAGATTTCACCGTCCTATTGTTCCTTGGGTCCTGTTTGCTTTACAGATAATGTAAAGCATGGATGTTAGCTCTACTTAGCAGGAGGAATAGGGAAAAGTACATCTACTCCAGCTCTCAGATGTGGAAGTCTAGAATTCTAACATTCAGACAATACCAGGTGGATTGAACGAAACTTTCTCATGGCCTGGCTTGTCCACATTTCTCTGGCCTCAACACTGATTATGTCATTATTATATTACCTAGCCTTCCCTCCTGCTCCATGACTTACTTTATATAATTTAAGAAAAAAAAAACAAAAAAAAAATGCATGGTCTATATTTACTTTAACGGACTTTAGACTGTTAGATTATTTCCTCAAACCTTCCCTTCCAATCTCTCTTCCCAAGCTACCTGCTTATCTGAGACCACTCTAATTTCTGCTTTTGTCTTTTTAGGCTGCTGGTGGTGGTGTTTGGAATTAGAACTCCACAGGCACAAAATGGAAGCACTCTGCCCTCCCCCAGATCGCAGATAAGCTGCCAGTCCTGTCACCAGCCTCTGCAGGAGTTTGGGAGGCTGCAAATCTTGGAAACAGCTACCACGGTGTTGCTGGTGCCTGTAAATATGGCAGAAGGCCTCCAGCTACAAAGTTTGTTTAAAGCCTTTTTATTTAACAAAGTTTATTTTAAAACCCAAGCGTGTTCTTTTGTTGTGTGGATCTGTCTGCTTCTTTGAGACAACTCTCAAATTAGATGCATCCAGGCAAAATGGAGACATAAACCTTGTCCCCATAGCTGGACTCAACCCTGGGAAGCCTGGGGAGCCAGCTGTACTTTTTGCTCTTTTCTAGGTTTACTCATGAATTTTGCATTCATCAGAGTCCTAGAAGAACACGGAGGGCATATGACATAGATATCCACCGGGGTGGACAGGAGCCTAGGTATCCACTGGGGTGGACAGGAGCATAGATATCCACTCGGGTGGATAGGAGCCTAGATATCCACTGGGTGGACAGGAGCATTGATATCCACTCGGGTGGACAGGAGCATAGATATCCACTGGGTGGACAGGAGCATAGATATCCACTGGGGTGGACAGGAGCATAGATATCCACTGGGGTGGACAGGAGCATAGATATCCACCGGGTGGACAGGAGCATAGATATCCACTGGGGTGGACAGGAGCCTAGATATCCACTGGGGTGGACAGGAGCATAGATATCCACTCGGGTGGACAGGAGCATAGATATCCACTCGGGTGGAGAGGAGCCTAGATATCCATGGGGTGGACAGGAGCATAGATATCCACTGGGGTGGCAGGAGCCTAGATATCCACTGGGGTGGACAGGAGGATAGATATCCACTGGCTGGGCAGGAGCATAGATATCCACTGGGGTGGACAGGAGCATAGATACCCACTGGTTGGGCAGGAGCATAGATATCCACTGGTTGGGCAGGAGCATAGATATCCACTGGGGTGGACAGGAGCATAGATATCCACTGGGCTGGACAGGAGCAAGAGGAAACAAGGGCATGCATGATGCAGTGCTTTGTGGGTCTTAACAATCGGGAGCCATTACTATCTTAGACCTGAAGAGGCAAAGAAGGAGGTGGTAGCCAGGGCCCAGGGAGTGGAGCTGTAGAGAGAGCCTCTCTCTGGCTACCACAGGCCAAGTCTGACAGGAAGCCAAAGGCCATAGGAGCCCTTGGGTGCAATTGGTAATGGTGTGGAGGAGGGCAGGGAAGAGTAGAGACGAGACCTGGAGAGGCAGTGATGTCCAGCACTGCTTGCACCCTGACATAGACTGAGAGCCCCCAGTGGCTGCTTACCTCATGTGGAGTAGACCTCAGTGTCAGAATGGCCCACGGGCCTCATGCTTGTGGCCTCCATGGTCTTCCTGACTTCATCTCTCATGCATTTATCTTGTTCACTCTATTCCAGGCAAACCAGCCCCCTTGTTCCTGGAAAACATCGGCAGGTCTCCAACTGAGCGCCTTCTCATTTGCTATTTTTTCTAGCTCAGTGGTTCTCAACCAAAGGCGATTTTGCCTCCTGGGGGACATTCTGCAATGTCTGGAGATATTTTTGTCACAATGGGGGAGAGGTGCTATGGCACCTAGTGGGTAGAAGACAGGGACGCTGCTGGATATCTTACAGTACCCAGGACAGCTGCCTCACACAGCACTAGGTTTGAAAAATTCTGCATCTATCTGCAAGTCCATCCCTCCGATTTCTGCATGCTGTCTTCTGCATCAATATACGGTTTTTGTTTGACTGTCTCCCTCTCAGTAGGCTCTTCCCTGACCATCTTATCTAAGGCCAGGATCCACCCTCATCTCAACACTCCTTGTCCCCCTTTTCCAATATATTTTTCTACATAACACTTATCACCTTCTAACATACTATGACATCTTTTTGTTTAGTCTTATTTTATTTTTAATTGACACATAATAATTTTACCCCAGCTTCTGGTAAATACTACTGTCTACTTCTATGAGATCAACTTTTTTAGATTCCATGTGTGAGTGAGATCATGCGGTATTTGTCTTTCTGTGCCTGGCTTATTCCACTTAACATAATGTCCTTCAGGCTCTTCATCCATGTTGTTGCAAATGACAGGATTTCATTTATATTTATGGCTGAATAGTATTCCATAGGGTATATAGAACACATTTTAAAACTTTTAAGTTTAGGGTTACACGTGCAGGTTTGTTACATAGGTAAAGTTGTGTCAAGCGGGTTTGTTGTACAGATTATTTCATCATCCAGGTATTAAGCCTAGTACCCATTAATTATTTTTCCTTATCCTCTCCCTCCTCCCACCCTCCACCCTCCAGTAGGCCCCAGTGTGTGCTGTTCCCCTCTATGTCTCCATGTCTTCTAGCATTTAGCTCCCACTTATAAGTGAGAACATTTGGTATTTGGTTTTCTGTTCCTGCATTAGTTTGCTAAGGCTAATGGCCTCCAGTTCCATCCATGTCCCTGCAAAGGACACAATAGCACAGACATGGAATCAACCTAAATGCCCATCCATGATAGACTGGATAAAGAAAATGTGGTACATACACACCATGGAATAGTATGCAGCTATACCACATTTTTAAAACACATTCATCCACTGACGGACACTTAGGTTGATTTTATATCTTGGCTGTCATGAATAGCGCTGCAATAAACATGGGAGTGCAGATATCTCTTCAACATCCTGATTTCATTACCTTTGGATATATACCTGGTAGTAGGATTGCTGGGTCATATGTTCTATTTTTAAGTCTTTTAGGAACCTCTGTACTGTTGGCCATAATAGCTGTACTAAGTTACATTCCCATCAACAGTGCAGAAGAGTTCCACTTTCTCCACGTCCTTAGCAGCATTTGTTATTTTTTTTTTCTTCTGGATAATACCTATTCTAACTGGGATGAGTTGACATTTCATTGTGGTTTTGATTTACCTTTCCCTGATGACTAGTGATGTTGAGCCTTTTTAAAGATACTGTTTGGCCATTTGTAAATCTTCTTTTGAGAAATGTCTGTTCAGGTCTTTGGGCCATTGTTAACTCGAGTGTTTGTTTCTGTTGTGGTTGAGTTGTTTGAATTCCTTTTTTATTCTGGATGTTAACTCCATGTCAGATGCAGAGGCTGCAAATGTTTTCTCCCTTCTGCAGGTTGTCTTTTTACTCCATTGTTTCCTTTGCTGTGCAGAAGCTTTTTAGTTTGATGTAATACCATTTGTTTATTTTTGCTTTTGTTGACTGTGCTTTCGAGTTCTTATCCAAAAAATCTTTGCCTAGGCCAATGTATGGCATCTTTCTATTAATATTAGGAGAAAATCTTCATGGGATGTAGACTTTTGTTCATTTTGTGCACTGCCATTTCCCTAGTGTGTGGAGAAGTGCCAGGTATATGGCAGGTACTTGATAAATATTTCTTGGATGAGAAAATACATTTTCACACAGAAAAGTTTGTCACCTCTATCTCCACTTCTTATTTTTAGAATTGAATCTGGGCTTCACTTTCACCTGTCCAAAATGGCCAGCTGTTACCTGCAAAACAAGTAGAGAAACAGTGCATTCTACTGATGAGTTCTGTTTAGATCCATGGAGTGAATAGGACAAAGTGCAGGTACCTTTCTTAAAGGACATCTTCTTTTTGCATCATCACTGTACTTTTTCAGAAAACAAGATGAAAGGGAAACCCCTTTATACTGTTTTGCGGAAGCTACTAACTCTACCAATCACTTGGTCTTACTAGGACCTTGTCTAGCTCTGCAATACCTTCTTGAGGAACTCAGAGCAGAACTGCCTGGAATGTTCTAGGTGGTAGCGCTCACTTATTTTATAAGTAAGATGAGGCTCATGTTTCCCTTTTTATTTTAAAGTCTGAGGTTCATCTTCCTGAGGATATTCAGCCTCTGTGGTTCATTTAATTCACACAACACACTGGCTGTATATCTTTAGAGAACATATAATAATATACCGGTGCTACTGTTTTATTTCACCACTGTAATTCTCTTTTCTTCCATTTGTAGAAAAATGCACACACGAATACATTCCAAGGACGATGGAATTCCATTTATATCCAGCTCATCCATTATTGGCATAATTTATATTTCAGAAAGTAATTTATTGTTTCTCTGAAGGAAGTTCAATATTTGAAATCAGTTATCTTACAATGAATAAAATAAAAGTTTAAAGCCAATTTTACCTTTCCATTACCTGCAGTGCAGCCAAGGCAACGAAGAAGCTTCTTTCAGATTAAAGTCGAATGTACAATAATTGAATGGATTTCATTCTAAGCTTACCTTCTTTGACATTACGTTAATGTTCAATTTCTTATTGCATGGACATGGATCCCAGCCCATTTCCCCACAAGGCAGGGAGGTGTAGGCTTATTTCCAAGAGAAGCTCTATATGTGAGCATCTCAAGACAACAAAGTAACATAAGGAGCTCCGTTCTCTTGATATTTGGTAAAAACCACATGCAAAATTAAAGCCAGTTAATCCTGGCTTTGTTATTAATAGTCTTCCCAGCCTTGCTGCCCCACTATGCCCATCTTCTCAGTGATAAATCGACTCATTCTCCCCATGAGAGGTGGTGCTCATTTTCTTAGTCCGTGCTGGGCTTATAGGCCAACTTGAAAAGTATCATCAGTGGGGTCAGGACATCTAAATAACTAGATAGAATAATTTTATTCATTCACTAAATACCACCAGCCTCATGGTGCTATGATGTAGGCAGGGAGGCAGAGATCAAACAACCAATCACAAAAACACATGTACATTTGCAACTATGTTTTTCATACCCATCATGAGTCATGAAACCATTGGATTGCAGCTAATATTTTAGAGGTAAATGAAAGAGAGTAAAATATAATGCCAAATATCAGTGCATTGTTTGACATAAAACCAACATGGACACATAACTATATCAATCAGCATAGGATAGGTTATGCTGTGGTAACAAAGAATCCCCATATCTCAGTAGCTTAAAAACACCTTTTCATGGCTTGTCTGTGCTGCATGTTTGTAACTGATCAGCAGGGCTTGCTCTCCTCATCAGTGTCACTCAGGACCCAGGTTGAGGGAGCAGATACCACCTCAAAAGAGTTGCCAGTTGCCTGCAGAAAAACAGGACTGGAGAGTCTCACTGGCGCCTGTGCTGGGTGAGATCTAATCATGCTTGGACCCACTTGCACAAGAAGAAGTTGCAAAATGCAATCCTGTAATGTGCCTAAAAGGCAAACTTTTCTGAGAGATGACTGTAAAACACATTTCTTTCATAGTTAGGAAAGTTTGGTGACTATTACTGAAGATAATTTTAATGTTTCATTCCAGCAAAGCAATAGAAAGTCATCTCTGTTAATAAGCCCTGCCTTTCATACCCTGCTCCTCAGGCTGATGCTGCCTGCAGGACCCACGCTGTCAGCATCACAACACCCCTGACTGGAGCTCACTTTGGTCTCCACTCAACACTAGTGTGTATTCATCGTGCCATTGCTGATGCAGAATGGCCAACAGGATGCTCTCTGTGTCCAGTAATGTGCAAGTGACTATCCTTCAATGAAGAAGCCGCTGAGATGCTTTGCTCTTGGTGGAGTGGGTGTGTCAGGTCACTCATGTGCTTGACCTCCTGTGACATGACATGTGTCTAGGTGCTTTCTGACCACTAAAGATGCTGCTGATGATAACAAAAATGAGTTTGAATGAGGATGGACCTTTGACCGATTAATATCTCACCATAACCACCCAACTCAACCACCCCCAATATTGCTTAGAGAGGAGCCATTAATTATTTCACCTCCTTAAAATATCCTTCCAAGAGTGTGTAGAGAGGCTGCTGTGAAAGGTGAGAGGAGCTGACATTGAACGCCTCTGGTGGAAGCAAAGCCAGTGATTCTCCAAGACTTTTTAGGAACGATTATAAGCTTCAAGACAGTCCACCAAGCTCCACCAACCACTTCAGTTGGCTGCAGTGAAGTGAATGGTTTAGCAGTGTGTCCAGAAGCCACTGTGAATCTCTTATCTGCCTACTTGCCTGCTTGCAACTGACCCTGGAGAATACAAGCTTCTACTTCTTTTGTGCCTTCTTGTGCAAATTCCCCTTTTTAGCACACCTGAACTGTGCCTGGAAAGGGATCCTGGGACACGAGGTTCTCAACCTTGGAAGGGTGGTGGGCTGAGTTGACAACAGACCCTCCAGCATGGTGGTCCATTAGATAATGACTTATCTTACAGTAGATCACATAGGAAGTTTAACAACCTGCAGAGTTTCCAGCTTCACAGAATCACCGTTTTAACTTCCATAAATGTAATGTAAAAGAAAAATGTTACTGCTACCTGACTGGACAGTCATTACAATGTTTTATAAATAGAAGTCAACCATAAGAAATAACTGCAATGAGCACCATTCTAGATATGTGCTGCCGTATGCCAAGGCTGCAAGCCGAACTCCTGGCCCTGCTGTGCTAGAAGGGAGGCGAGCGAGAGCGGGAGCATCACAGCCATGCCAGTGCCCAAAGAGACTCTGACCTTGGAGGGTTTACAAAGGAGAAATGCTCTCACTATGTGATCTAATTACTCCACAGAGAATCAGAGGACCATAGCTCCTGCTTTGGGGCAGCACTGTCATAATCTTTCCTGTGAAGTTCAGGGAGAAAAAGAAGCTGTCGGAAGCCAAAGAGAAGCCTTTCTGCCTGACCTCCTGTGATCAGGAAGGGAAAGGGCTCTGAAGAAATATCGAGTGACATGATGGGGGTTGGGGAGGAGTTCTCTTTTTGTTTCCTTACATAAGTAGAGCAGAGCTGGGTGGATCACCCTGAAACTCCTCGGAGCTGAGTTACTGTGTCAGGAATTCAGACTGGGATGAACAGCCTGTCTGGTTTCCAGCAGACAGAACTCACCATCGTGACAGTGTTTCTACCACCCTCTCCCAGCCTTCCTGCCTTCCCTGCTCCCTGCTACCTCTCTTTCCTCTCGGAGCTTTCAGTGGACATTTACAATATTGAGTCTGTCTCCTCCTTACTCTGTCAGTAGCCAGCCTGGCTGCTGCAGGCCTCCTGGGGCACAGTAAGTTGCTGAACAAAACCTCCTTTTCAACAACTCCATTAAAATCCTGGAAAACAGAGGGGATGCTTTCCATCCCCAGCTCATTCTAATGCTTCCCAGGGCCGCTGTAGGGTGGGAGCGCTCAGTTATTAAAGGAGATTAGAGCTGATGGGTCTGTCTGAATGGCGCTCCGGTGCCTCCCTGAGGCCCGAGATGCAAATGGGAAGGAGCCAGCAAAACAATTTCTCTTTGCCTGGGCTTTCTTGGGAAAAAACAGAGAAAAGTCCTTTGGTGTAAAGTCAGTGGGAATTCTCTGGTTGACCTCTTGGTGTTGGTTGCTCTTACAACACTCAATAAAATAAGGGCTGGGCCTTTCTTCTCAGCTTTTGTTCCAGTGAAATTTCATTGCTTTACTTTCTGCGAAGGGCTCAGATATTCGGAAATAACAAATGTCTTAAAGCCACTTTCCTGCAACTTTCACATATCCATCTTTGTGTCTCGTGCTATCATTCTCCTTTCTCTTTCCAGCTTCCTTTTCTTCCCCCAAGATAGTTTTCTGCCTTTCTCACTGTGGTCTCCATCCTGTTCCTGCTGATGTTCACCCCCTTGTGTGGTCTCCTTCCCAGAGGGCAGGCAGGACCTGAGACTTGCTCTAACCAGTAGAAGGTGGTAAAGGTGAAGGTGGTATAGGTGATGGGATATGCATGTTTGCATTGTGTGGTATTGGGAGACCCAGGTTGCTAGGACTCTCTTCTTGGCTTGATGAAGCAAGAGGCCATGTCAGGGATCCATGAGGCCAGGAAGGAGGGCAGCCCACAGGAACTTCTGCAATAACCTAGGTGAGCTTGGAAGCAGCTCCTTCCCCAGCCTCACGTTCAGATGAGCTCTCCTCCCTGAGTGATACCTCGATCAGATCACAATTCTCAGCAGACTCAGCAAAGCCATGTCCAGCCTCCTGGCCCACAGAAACCACAAGATAATAACTGTATGTTGTTTAGGACCTTAAGCTCATAGTCATCCATTCCACAGCAATAGATAATACTGATAAAGGAGGTAGAAAGAAATTATTTAGGTAGATAGAGTGAAAGAGTCCTCAGCAGAGCTTCCCTTCTAACACAAAGCAGCCCAGGAAAACATTTCTTGTCTAACAAAGAGCAGCCTGAAAAATCAAGCTGCAAACATAGATAAGCAAGCTGGAAGCTTGCACGGGGGAATGCCGGCAGCTGTGCCAATAGAAAAGGGCTACGTGGGGGCCAGGTGTGTCCAACATGGAGGCTCCATCTTCCCTTTTTTTGTTACCAGGTGTACAGTAAAGGAATGGGCAACATGGCACAGCTGAGGCAGGGGACCCACCTGCATAGTAAGAGATTAGGGTGGGGGCTGCCAGAGATTCGAGCCCTGTGCAAATGGCACTTCTGGTCTAACCAGTTTTTCACACTCTATGCAAATGGCACATTTGGTCCAACCAGTTTTTCATGCCCTATGTAAACCAGACACTGCCTCCTCACCAGCTGATCTATAAAACCCCCTGTGTTTCACCATGGATCCGGCAACCCACTTCTCCAGGACCCCTCTCTGCAGCAGAGAGCTGTTCTTTCTTTTGCCAATTAAACTTCCACTTTTAACTTCACTCTTCATATCTCCATGTCCTTGTTCTCCACGGCCATGAGACCACAAACTCTGGGTGATACTCTAACATTCAGGTCGTTTCAATATACCCACTTTGCCTCTTTTAAAAGAGAAAAATCAGTAGCCCCCGAAATATATTTTTCAGATGGTAGACCATGCATGATGTCTCTCTGCTGCTGGGCATCTGTGGCCTCCGTTGGCGCTCCCCACTCCCCATCTTATCAGTGTGTTTCCATCCTGAAGTGCTGGAATAATTATCAGATACTGATATGGTCTCATCCTGTCAGCGACTAATACGTGGCCCATTTCCTGCTGACACTGCATTCCTTGTGAATAATTTGTTTCAGACCAAACTGGATAATTTTTAGGCCATCTTCCCTTTAAAGAGCATTTCAAGTAGCTGCTGTCATCTGTGAAATAAGTTTGGTTTTTATAAATGAACTGTATTATAAATCAATGAACCCGACTCTTAAATATACGGGGATAATTTATGGATGTTATGGAAGGTAGCAAAACCTGCTCTCGAGCTTATGATTAAATAGGATTCTACCTGTGAGTAGAAAGCCCATTCCTCACAGTCCTTCATGCATTCTCAGGGTGCTGCCTCCTTCTCCCCACCTTTTCCACTGTTGAAGGCAGCAGTAGCCATTACTGAATTGATTTTGGCTTTTCTACACAAAAATTGTTCATCAGTCTATTTTTAGGTGGCAAGAGTCTGGGAGACAGGAAAGTTGGATTCCTGAGTCTGGTCCCTTAAATGTATAAATTGCATGAAATGTGGCAAAAGCTCTCTCCAGCAGAGAAGACCCCAGCATTCATCAGTTTGGGTTAGAGCACAAGCTTGTTGCACTAGACACTTCCCATTTACCCCTTAGACTCTTCACTGCTCTATGTCTTGGGGGATGTTTTATAAATGCATTCATAGGTTTCATTGTCTTTGGTTGGATTTGGGATCCAACCAGTGAGACACTCTGGCAGAAGACGGAGGGCAGGAGTAGAGAGGCTGTTATATTCCTTCCACTGGCTTCTCCCCTGCAGGGCCTCCATGGGTTGGCTGCATCTCACTGTGGATCCTCTCGGCTCCTGCAGGGAAGGCTCCCCTGACCCTGCAGGTGTTGGGGTGGCATCAGGCTTTACTGCTACTAGTCTCATGTTGCCTCCACCCTTGACAATGGTGCCTTCACTAAACTCCCCTCCATCGTCCCTTTGGAATGTGACATCTGTGTCCTGCAAGGCCCTGAGCAACATGCCGTCAGCCCTGATAGCTGCCTAGGCACATTTTCCCACATAGCTGGGATGCCCTTCTTGACATATTTCTCTACACCTATCTTTTCCCTGTGCCCTCTCACTCCCTTTCAAGCAGAAAGTCAGCCTCAGACATAGATATGATAGAGAAGAGAGCAAAAGTAGCCTGGGAAACTTCTTGAATTTGTTCCAAACATCAATGTCCCAGAGAGGGTTTGGAGATCAATACTGTCTAATTCAGAAGCAGGAGGGGAAGCCAGGCATGGTGGCTTATGCCTGTAATCCCAGCACTTTGGGAGGCCAAGGTAGGAGGATTGCTTGATGCCAGGAGTTCAAGAGCAGCCTGGACAACATAGCGAGATCCTTGTCTCTACAAAAAAAAAAAAAAAAAAAAAAATAGCTGGGCATGGAGGCACATACCTGTAGTCCTAGCTGCTCAGGAGACTGATGTGGGAAGATCTCTTGAGCCCAGTGAGCTATAATTGCATCACTACCTTCAAGCCTGGGTGACAGACCCTGTCTCTTAAAAAAATTAAAAAGCAGGAGGGATCATGGAGGGGATTCTCTACAGGCCAAGTGCTGTGTGGGTATTTTGGCATCGTCATGAAGGTGACAAAACCCCAGAGAAGGATGTGCCTAAGGAGACCACACAACAGGCAGATTTGCATGTACCAGGGACGGACCTGCAGGGAGATGCTCACCAACTCAGTGGCCACCTGTGAGGCAAGCTTCATGGACACAGAACTAAAGGCCAACCCACCTGGACCCTAAATCTCACTGTACGCCTGCCCCAAGGAAGCCGGGCACCACACGGGACACAGAGGGAGGGTTGCCCTGGCAAGGGGAGCCAGTTTGAGTCGAGGGCTCACTGTGCGGCGGACATCAAATGCCTTATCTATGTGAAGTAACCCACCAGTCCCAAATCCATGAGGACTTTGCAGAGGGGAAAACTGAGGCACGGGACAGTGGAGGAACTTTTCCTAGGTCTCACAGCTATGAGTGGCTGACAATCTACCCTCCAAGTCCTACTACTCCACTGTCACTCAAAAACTGCAATAAAAGTGAACCACACCAACCTGGTAAAACACAATGAAAGCTCTTTCCAGCCGGGCGCAGTGGCTCACGCCTGTAATCCCAACACTTTGGGAGGCCAAGGCGGGCAGATCACTTGAGGCCAGGAGCTCGAGAGCAGCCTGGCCAACATGATGAAACCCCATCTCTACTAAAAATACAAAAAAAAAAAAATTAGCCAGGTGTGGTGGTGGGCACCTGTAATCCCAGCTACTCAGGAGGCTGAGGCAGAAGAATCACTTGAACCCAGGAGGCAGAGGTTGCAGTGAGCCCAGATCACCCCATTGCACTCCAGCCTGGGTGACAAGAGTGAAACTCCACCGAAAGAAAGAAGAAAGAAGGAAGGGAAGAAGGAAGGAAGGAAGGAAGGAAGGAAGGAAGGAAGGAGAAAGAAAAGAAAGAAAGAAAGAAGAAAGAAGGAAGGAAGGAGAAAAAAGGGAAAGAAAGGAATAAAGAAAGAAAGAAGAAGGAAGAAAAGAAAAAAAGAAAAGAAGGAAGGGAGAAAGAAGAGAGAAAGAAAAGAAAGGAAGGCAGGAAGGAAGAAAGAAAAGAAAGACTCTTTTCTTTGCATATGAATTTCCAGTGATGGCCACAGTCAGGATGAGGCTGGTGATGCCAAGGGGCATTCCTTCAAATCACCACGGGGAGCTGTGGATGCCACTCACATCGTGGACTCCTGCGTCTGTGGGGAGAAGAGCTCAGATTTCAGATTTGCCAGCATTTTAGAAAACTGTAGAATCTCGAATCTGGAAGCGATGCTGACATGATTCAGTCTGGTGTCCTGCCCTTAAGCAAGGGTTGATGGTCCCCTCATAGACTGTCCCCTCCTAGACTGTCAGGTAACAGAGCAGAGCCTCTCTCAGGACCTCGTCCTGGAATTTAATGTTCATCCCTAGCCCCCTTAGAGTGCATCCTCCTGACCATTATCCAGTAGTAGGGAAATGTAGTTTCATGTCAGCTCCTAGCTTCCTAACCTCCTTCTCCAGTCCGTCTCCATCAAGACAGCTTGCCTATCTCTCGTGAGCACTTCCCAGTCTCTCAAATGATCTGGCAGGTGCATTATCTTGCCGATGCCTGCCTGCCTGCCTGCCTGCCTTTAGGATGGAAGCCTCATGAAACCAGGTCCATGTGTCTCATTCCCTGATTCATCCCCACATCCTGAGCAGTGCTGGGCAGATGGCAGGAAATAAAGTCATATTTTGTTGAATGAATTAGTCATCCTTATGATTGAGAATCACCAAGGGAACCACAGGCACACAGGCTGTCCAAGTTGGAAAGGATTTTAAACTTCTTCCAGTCCAATTTTCCACCCAACACACAAATCCAAAGTTCCATTTGTTGCAGAATCATGTCCCACAAACGTTTCTCGACTTTAAGACCATTTCAAAAAGTATACTGTGGTGGGGTTTGTTTATTTATTTATTTATTATTATTTTTTTTTTCACAAAGAAGCAGCTGCTGTTCCATCAAGCGCAGAGAGTGAAGCTCCTTAATGACATCTTGTTTGGGAGCTGAGTGTATATCATTTGGGAACAACTTACAAAGACGGTCAATTTTGCAGTTAACTGTTGGGATGAGCAAAAGGCTAAAATCCTGCAAATAGTAGATCATTTGATTTTAAAAGTCAGCTTTTGTTAATGAAATGCTGTGCTTTACTCAAACTATTTTCCCATCTTACAAGTGCCAATTACCTGCCTGGAATGTACAAACCCAGTGTTCACAGATGGCCTTTCATGTCTCTAAACCACCATTTGAGAACATTGTAATAAAAGTTAAAAGGATTGTTAGTATCAAGTGCTGACGAGGGTATCGGAAACAGGTATCTTTTCACACTCTCACTCCTGGTAGGAGCAGGACTTGGAATTTTAAAAGCATACACCAATTTCACTTCTCAGAAATTTCAACAAGAGAAATATTCTCCTCCACACATGAGTATTTCAGCACAGGTTAATAAGGAAAAAGTGGAAACAATTGAAAATATCCATTAATAGGGAAATGTAGTTTAAAATGAGCTAAACCTACATATGATAACATAAAAAATATCCATGATCCATTGTTGAATTAAAAAGTTGCACCAAAGTACCCAGAGTTTATTGACTTTTCAAAGAAGACCCACACAGACACACACAACATACTTAAACCTCTCAGGTTCTAGGCTCCAATACATGTATGCAATTTTATAGAGCTGTCCAACAAGGTACAAAACAAACAAATCAATGGTTGAGCCTGGGGAAAAGAGAAGATGTGGGTTTGAGAGAATAATTGATGGGAACTTCAGCATTATCCCTGAATTTCAAAGAGAATATACGTTTGTAGTCCTGGTGCAATTAACATTTAATTAAACAATACTGCTGTTATAAATCACAAAAACAAATATGAGTGTCAGTGTAGGTGGCACAAAATGGCATTGTCAGCATTAAGATGCATTAATAATACTCCCATTTTGGCCTTATACGTGAGATGAAGAGATTTCTTTCTCTCTATAACACAAGAGATGGCCAGCAGCTTTCTGGAAATTTTTCTATCAATGCAAGCAACCCACACGTAGTGTGGCTTCTATGCCTTATGTCTGGAAGTTGATTCCACTCAGCATTGCCTGTGAGAATGGCCTGAAGGCAAACAGGAGCTGGAGAGGCATGAGGTAGAGAGATGCAACAAAGGGGAACAGTGGAGAATGCTCTCACCTTGCTCGTCTCGTGATTTGGGGATGAATCAGACCCTTCTGTTTGCTGGTCAGCCTCTCCTCTTACTCTGTAAACATAGGCTCCTTCTGGGACCTGCTGAACAGTGTCCAGGGCGGCAGGCATGCTTTCACGTGCCCTGGCCTTCATGCCTCCTACACATGAATGGTCCATGGGAGGCCGGTAAACCCAAAAGCACATCAGAGAATTCCCTAGGATATTAATACCTGAAATTGGGAACAAGAACTGGATTCCCAAAGGCAGTGGAACTACTGTCTATAAAATCTGGGCGTTGTGGTCAGCCATATTTTCCACTCAATAAAGAATTCAGGTATGTGGCAGGTGCAACGGCTCACACGCATAATCCAAGCACTTTGGGAGGCCGAGGCAGGTGGATTGCTGGAGTCCAGGGATTCAAGATCAGTCTGGGCAACCTAATGAGACTTCCTCTCTGCAAAAAATAAAAAAATTAGCCAGATATGGTGTTGTGTACCTGTAGTCCCAGCTACTTGGGAGGCTGAGGTGGGAGGATTGCTTGAGCCTGGGAGGTGGAGGTTGCAGTGAGCTGAGATGGCGCCACTGCACTCCAGTCTGGGTGACAGAGCGAAACAGTCTCAAAAAAAAAAAAAAAAAAAAAAAGAATTCAGGTCCACAGTAAGAGAGGATAAGACTGATGTGCACAGAGAGGGGTGGGGGATGGTGAGGAAGGGCCCATCTGGCCTTCTAGCCCCCTTTCCAGTTCTGCTCACGTTCACCCCCTTCCTGCTGGGCAATCACACAGCCTTCTTCAGATTCTCTGAGCCAATAAATTCCCTGTTGTGCAGACAGGAGAGACCCCAATTCAAAGGCAGGGACTCCTGTGAACCCATCTCAGCAGTGTGGACACGGACGTGAGGAACGCTCCTCCTTAATAAAATCTCTCCACACCAGGACGGCTTCCATTCCTGTCTCTGGAATCTGTCCAAGGTGAGCTGAAGGGGTCACTGGTGTCTTTGATAATTCCAGACTCTTTTTGGCAAGAAAAGATGTAAGAGAAGCCAGCTAACTCCTCTACCGCATCCAAGGTTGCTGTGTCTCTGCTGAGCACCAATATTATTCCATATTTATGAAATATATATTGAATCATGCATTAAACCCAAGAGGTGTGTAAAAGAGTGGCTCTGTGTCTATAGGCCGCTATCCTAGTAACTGAATGCTCTAGAAGAATCCCTATGGAATGTTCTAGAATTCTTATAGAGCATTCTAGAAAAATCTCTACAGAATGTTCTGGAGGAATCTCTACAGAATGTTGTGGAAGAATCACTGCCCGAAATGTTGTAGAACTCTCTCCTTAGTTCAGCTAAAGACAGGAGCCAGGCTGGGCACGGTGGCTCTCTCCTGTAATCCCAGCACTTTGGGAGGCTGAGGCAGGCAGATCATGAGGTCAGGAGATCGAGACCATCCTGGCTAACATGGTGAAACCCCATCTCTACTAAAAATATGAAAAATCAGCCGGGCGTGGTGATGAGTGCCTGTAGTCCCAGCTACTTGGGAAGCTGAGGCAGGAGAATGGCATGAACCTGGGCGACGGAGCTTGCAGTGAGCCAAGATCGCGCCACTGCACTCCAGCCTGGGCTACACAGCGAAGACTCTGTCTCAAAAAAAAAAAAAAAAAAAAAAAAAGACAGGGTCTTTGTCGCATGACCACGAAAAATTAGGCTCACAGATGATTTGAAGGGGAATAAAAATAGAGTTTATTGGGTGAAAAGGAAAAAAAAGGTAACAGGGACTCTCCGAAAAGCCAAAGCAAGAATCCTGCTAGTATATGCTTCCTGCCTCGCAGATTGAATCCCAGGTTCCACCCAGGAAGAGGAGGGGCCAGGCTCTTCCCTGGTGCAAGTGGCGTGAACCTCTGTGGCCCCACCCCAGTGTGCAGGCAGGTTGGAGTTTCTCTGGGGACCCCTTCCCACCTGGCTGTCTCAGAGAGGCGGTCGCTTACACTTCCTTCAGTTGTAGTAAGCAGCCCCAAGGCCTCGTGGCACTGCTTCCTGGAGGGACTCTACAAAGTTCTGCTGCTTCTTTATTCTTTTATTTTTTAGAGACAAGGTTTCTCCATGTTGGCCAGGCTGGCCTCGAACTCCTGGCCTCAAGTGGCTCGTCCACCTTGGCCTCTGAATGTGCTGGGATTACAGGCGTGAGCCACCACACCTGACTATGCTTCTCGGCTTTGATGAGAATCAGCTCATTTAGGGACCACCCGGCTGTGGGATGTGATCCCACACAGCCAGGCTCCAGGTACTTGAGAAAGCCCATTTGTGACTTCACAGTCGGGAGAGCCCTTTGCAGAGGTCCACACCCTTCCGCCTGCTGCTTCCCGGGGGATCTTCACTCTGAAATCATCTGGCATGTGTGTTATCCTGCCATTGGCCATCTGCCTGCCTTCCTCTAAGATGGAAGCCTCAGGAAAGCAGGCTCACACCTGTCTCTTTCTCTGATTCATTCGCCAGCTACATCCCCTACACACAGACACACAAACGGGATGGGCAGGGCAGATTATCCTGTTTCACTATACAGAATGGTTTCAAGTGGCCAGGCGTGGTAGCTCATGCCTGTGATCCCAGCACTTTGGGAGGCTGAGGTAGGCAGATCACCTGAGGTCAGGAGTTCAAGATCAGCCTGGGCAACATGGTGAAACCCTGTCTCTACTAAAAATACAAAAATGAGCCAGGCATGGTGGTGCATGCCTGTAATCCCAGCTACGTGGGAGGCTGTGGCACAAGAATCGCTTGAACCCAAGAGGTGGAGGTTACAGTGAGCCGAGATCATGCCACTGCACTCCAGCTTGGGCAACAGAGCGAGACTCTGCCTCAGAAAAAAAAAAAAAAAGAATGGTTTCTAGTGACCTAATTTTTTTCATCCAATGTGACATGAGTCTGCTCTAAATAGGACTGGACAAATGCTCATAATTTTGTCTTTCCACTCATCTCTTTCCATAGAGTAGGATATTAATTGTACAAACTCCAGATCCTGATGCACCTGGACTGGGCACTGGCTTAGCTACTCACCAGCTTGGGAAAGCCACGTAACCCCCCTATGTCTCAGTTTCCTTCTCTGCAATATGGAGATGAGATGTGTATTAATTAGAAACACACTAGTTGCTAATAGTTGATACAAGTAAAGAGTTATTTTTCTCACAAAGCAGAAGTCCTGAGGCATCGCTCCAGTGGCTCAGCTGTGTCCAAGGGCCTTATGCCTATGCATCCCTTCATCCTTTCCTCGTGCTCACAGGATGGCTGCCACAGCTCCTGTCATCATATCAGTGTTTAAGGCAGGATTAATTGAGGATGGTGGTAGCCATACTGTTCC
This sequence comes from Homo sapiens, assembly GCF_000001405.40. Lineage (NCBI taxonomy): Eukaryota > Metazoa > Chordata > Mammalia > Primates > Hominidae > Homo > Homo sapiens. The sequence continues at coordinate 129,956,471 of NC_000012.12, read as the reverse complement.
TCTCTTTTTTTGTCCCCGTTTGTTTAAATGAGAAAATAAATAAGAAATAAGAAAGCACAAGCGTTACCAAACTTGCTGTACCTTTTTTTTTTTTTTTTTTTTTTTGAGGCAGAGTCTCACTCTGTCGCCCAGGCTGGAGTGCAGTGGTGTGATCTCCGCTCACTGCAAGCTCTGCCTCCCAGGTTCACGCCATTCTCCTGCCTCAGCCTCCCGAGTAGCTGGGACTACAGGCGCCCGCCATCACGCCCAGCTAATTTTTTGTATTTTTAGTAGAGACGGGGTTTCACTGCGTTAGCCAAGATGGTCTCGATCTCCTGACGTGATCCACCAACCTCGGCCTCCCAAAGTGCTGGGATTACAGGTGTGAGCCACCGCACCTGGCCCAAACTTGCTGTATGTTATTGACCAGTACAAGGTCACAAGGCTTCCCTTTGCTGTAGGGAAAGAGATATCTACTTTTTCATCCTGAGTTGAAGCAGCAGTAAAAGGGGGAGTTAAAATGGATTTTGAGTTAGCTAAATGGCCCTGGGAAGATTAAATAAAAGCACTTGTGAAATACCCAGATGCTCAATAATTATTGATGATTGTTGTTGTGTTGGCCTAGCAACAGTTCATGTTGGATATTCCAGAAATGCCTCTCCTCATTTTAGTAGATATTCATAATATTGTATGAGTTGTATATACTTCCACAGAATCATAGCATTTTTGGCCTGATCAGTATTTCAGCATCATGTTAGTTTAATGTTTTCTTGATGAGATCTTGATGAACTTCTTAATGTCTTAAGTAACTTGTCTCTAAATATTACTACTACTGCTGGGATCTCTTTTTATCCCTTTAAAATTTTTATTAAAGTTTATTTTTTCCATTACAGTGGGAGATGGTGCCAGGAAGGTAGTTATTGCTTGACAACTGTTAGTAAATGGTAGTAGTGATACATCCAATCTTACAATTTTGTGTGTTTTCTTCTAGGCAAGCCAGGTACTAGACATATCAATTATTGCTGTCATACCCTTCTCTTCTCTGGAATTCTCCTGCCCACCCACAGGTCTTTTGAAGGGTGTGCTTTGGCAGCTGAAGGTCAGATTATGCCTGCACAGGACACAATTGCACATCAAACCCGGAAGGAAGCAACTTTCAAATGAGACAGAGCCCAATACAGGCCTCTCTCTTGAGACTGTAAGCTGACACAGAGGTTGAGTCTCCCAGAGATCCTGCTCCTGTAGAGTGATGTACACTTGGAGGTGGTGGAGGAGGAACCTCAAATATGGGTAGTGGAGACACATGGCAGCTCGCGGTCCTCAAGAGAGGAAGTGACGGGGGTTGGTGAGAAGTCTCGCTGATGGCTGGGCACAAGCATGAGAGGCCACAGGCTCCTGCTGGGGAGGCCATGGAGTTTCCCTGCTCTCTTTATTTAGTTTAACTTTGGGTTCTGCAAGGTGGTCCCTGCTTTTGACTAAATTCCTTTTGTTGAGCTAGTTTGAGCGGGATTCTGTTCCTCACAATCAAAACTACACAAAGATAGGCTGGGTGCGGTGGCTCATGCTCGTAATCCCAGCAATTTGGGAGGCTGAGGCAGGAGAATTGCTTGAAACCAGAAGGCAGAGGTTGCAGTGAACTGAGATTGCACCGCTGCACTCTAGCCTGGGCAATAAGAGCAAAACTCCGTCAAAACAAACAAACAAACAAAAAAAAAAACCAACTACACATAGATGAGGAACCTTCACAGATGCTTTGCACAGCATGGGAATAGAGTTCATATCATGCCTGTAGAAAGTCATGCACGGTGAAGTGGCTGCCGTGTCATTACAAATCCTTCATAGCCAACTTTATAAGAATACACGTTTTTTCTTACTTGAAAACATTTCCTTTATTAAAAATCTGAAAAACACAGAAAACCTCAGAAACAAGCATGAATGTCACTGGTAATCATACGACTAGAAAACTAAAACCCCCAAATCTTGACTATTTGGTATATTGATTGGATTCTTTCTGATTAATGAAGATAAGTAATACTGGCTAGAAAAACAGATAAAGTCGAGTATCTCAGTGTTTTAACACAGTAAGTCTAGTTCTCCTTCACATTACAACACAACATGATTTGTCAGAGAGTCTTTTCTCTGTGTAGACAGAGAGTCTTTTCTCTGTGTAGACACTCAAAGATCCAGGCCCCTTCCACTCATGGCTTGAACCTTCTCCGGATCCCTTTCACAAGCCAGTCCATAAAGATTAAGGGGACCATGCATGAGTAGCTTTTAAGGGCCAGGCCTTCAGGTAACGTGTATCAGTTCTCTGCGTTTCATTGACCCATAATCCGTCACGTGATTCCATCTGGCTGTGGGGAGAGGGGTTGGAAATGCAGTCTTACTGTGTGCCCAGGAAGAAGAGAAGAACATTGACGGGGTGCAATTGCAGTGGCTGCACAATCTTCTGTTCTCGTTAACCTTCTACCCAGGGTGGTGGGCAGCAGGTGGTTCTTAGCTATATGAGATTTATAAAATGTATTAATTATTCTTGCCTATGGTATTAGTCAGCTGAGGCTGCCATAACAAATATACCACAGACTGGGTAGCTTAAACAGCACAGGTGTATTTTCTCATCATCCTGGAAGCTAGAAATCCCAGATTTAGGTACCCGCAGGTTTGGTTTCTAATGAGGGCTCTCTCCCTGGCTTGCAGATGGCCACCTTCTTGCTGTGTCTTCACACGGCCTTAACCCTGTGTGCACAGAGAGAAAGGGAGAGAGAGAGAGAGAGAGATCTGATGTCTCTTCCTCTTATAAAGACATTAGTCCTATTGAATTAGGTTCTCATCCTTATGATCTTGTTTAACTTTAATTACCTCTTTAAAGACTCTAAATATTGTCACATTGGAGGTTAGGGATTCAACCTATGACTTTGGGGGGGCACAATTCAATCCAAAACAGCTGTTGAGCATTGCTTTTCTCTACTTCTGTCAACAATGCTTTGCTTTTACTTTGGGGAACCATCTTACTTTCAAGCCAAGTTCATGTCATTTGTTTAAGGCTAAAACACTCCCAACATCTGGCTCCAGAAGATGGCACGTATCCCAGACTTGGCCAGTTGGCCTATTCTGCACCCTGGATTATTGGGCATGGATGAGCTGCTCACCAGCTTGCAAAAGGCACGTCATCCCTCTGTGTCTCAATTTCCTCCTCTGTATTATGGAGAGGAGACTTGTATTAATTAGAAACACAGTCATTGCTAATAATTTATATAATTGGTTATTTTTCTCACAAAGCAGAAGTGCTGAGGCATTACTTCAGTGGCTCAGCTACATCCAAGGGCCATACGGAATTGGTCCAAGTTGGGCATGTTACCCAAACATGCCAATGAAATACAATTTTGGAAATTTTGCAGGGGACATTTAAGAAGTGCATTCATTTCCTAGGTCTGCCGTAATAAATTACCACAAACTGGGTGCCTTAAGACAACAGTGATTTATCATCTCACAGTCTGAAATCAAGGAGCGTAAGTGTTGGTTCCTCCTGGAGTGTTTTAGGGAGAATGCGTCCATGCCTCTCTCCCAGCTCCTGGTGGGTGGCTGCTGTCAATCCTTAGCACTCTTCAGCGTGTAGACGCATCACTCCAATCTCCGCTTCCATCTTTTCATGCCTTCCCTTCTATGTGGCCTCTTTTTTTTTTTTTTTTTTTTTTTTGGCCTTCTCTTCTGATACTTGTCATTGCATTTAAGGCACATCTTAATCCAAGAGGATCTCATCTCAAGATCCTTAACTTAATTACACTGATGAAGACACCTTTTTTTCCAAGTCAGTTCACATTCACAGATTTCAGATTGACATATCTTAGGCAGATGGGAGGGGTGGGGACCATTACATCTAATATAGGAAACAATGGTCTCTTTCATCTGGAATTACTCTAGAAAAAGAGGTAAACCAAGAGCTGGCTGGGGCCGCCATGAGGAGAAGGCTTGCCTGAGAGTCCAGCTAGCACACTCAAAAGCAGATTGTGTGGCTCCGGTCCAGAAAGTTTAAAATGTGGTCTCATCTCCATTCTGCTGTGGATCAGAGGGTGCACACCAGCAACCCGCAGGCAGACTGCATCAGGACTCCATCTGCACAGCGGCTGGGATGTATGCCTCATTCTCACACCACATCCCCAACATCACCTCTGCCATTATTCCTGTCTGCATGGCTTTTAAATCCAGAGAGTCTGTGAGTTGCCCAAGGTCCTCTGAATAAATCTCTTCTGCTTAAGTTAGCTAAACTTGGTTTCTGTTGTTTGCAGCTCACAGCCTAACAAATACAGCATGCGTCAACAGAAACTCAAACCTGCTTGGATCTCAATCCACTGTCTGGAGTCAATGGCCTTCCCACTGAAAATAGCTACATCAAACTGGGTCCTGCAGAGCGGGAGGAGCCCCAAGCTCCTTGTCATTCCCGCTGCACTACCACCAACACTCTGAAGTTTCTGGTCAAAGCTATTGATCATCTGCTTCCATTTAATGTGTTCTAGAGAAACCAGCAGTTTAAGAACAGGACAAGTTGCACATCTTTAAGAACTTTATTTTTTAATCTCTCTGTGTTTCAATTTCCTCATTTGCAAAATGGGAGTAATATTAAGATTCCCTTCTCCAAGGCTGTCATGTGTATCTGAAGTAGCATATGAGAAGTTCTAATCAGAACATCTGCCACATGATAAGTGCTCAGTGAATCCTAGCTGATTCTGGTTTTCATTTTATCCACATACACACCTGCAGTAAAGTGAAAATCAGTTTTCCTTAACCTTTTTTAACAGGCTGACCTAGGGGGGACCCAACCATCCTGATATTCCAGGACTGAGAGGTTTCCTAGGATGTGAGATTTTCCAGCACTAAACTTAGAGGATTCAGGGACAAACCAGCCCAGTTGATCATCCTAAATCTAAGGTTACTATTGAGTTTTTTGAAATATTCATGTGTTGACGAATAAAATCTTTTCACTTTCAAATGATAGACAATGAACTCTAGTTTGCTTAATAAATAATCATCCACTTGTTCACTTAATGGGAAGTGTAGACTTCAGAAAGTCCTGGCTTTAGGGAGGGTAGGAATTGGAGGCTCATAAGATGTGGTTAGAAACCTGTGCTACTGTCTATTCCTCAGTACTGCTTTCCTCATGCGGGCTTCATTTTAAGACAGGCTGTCTCTCAGGAGAACAAATTGTGATTGCCACTTCTGGTTGTCTTTCTGCTGGCTCATTCAAATCAGCATTGGGAAGGTAAGCTTGTCTCTCCCATCATATCTTCAGCTCAAGGGCCAGGGCAGACCCTCACAGACTTCACTTTGGTCCTAGGCTAATGCCTGACTCAGCTAATATTTTGTATTTTTTTTTTAAGAGTCGGGGTCTCACTATGTTGCCGAGACTAGTCTTGAACTCCTGCACTCAAATGATCCTCCCTGCTTTGGCCTCCCAAAGTGCTGGGATTACAGGTATGAGCCACTGTGCCTGGCCCCTTTTCTATCATTTTTAACAAGTGTCAGAATAATTTATTTTCTTTGACGTTGGCCATCCATAGTTGACTAATATCAAGAGTTATTTTGCTTATGGAGGAATATTTTGATCACTGGGCTGGTGCTCAAATTTCCATTGGAAATTTCTAATGGAGACAAGTCTCCATTGCATAAGAGACTTGACTCCAACTGGCATAAGAAGAAAAGGAGATTTTTGTGGTTCATACAGTTGGAAACTCCATGGATCATCTTCATATTATGTATGGTTCAATCTACGAGCACGGAAAAAATAGCATCAGAGTCTGATTTCCCCCAAATGCTCCTCATTGTCACAAGATGGCTGCTGCAGGGGAGAACTCTACATGTTCTCCCCTTCAGGACAAAGAAAGAACCTGCCTCACTCCTAAAAGCTCAGCACAAGTCTCACTGCACCTGTTTAGCTCTCATTGGGCCATGCAACATGACTAAACCCACCATGGCTAAGGCAATGGGATGCTTTGATGGGCTGACACAATAACCACCTCTAATGCAAGGGATGAAGAAACCCATTCATGTGACCTGATGATGGTTGGTGTGAACCTGCCAGAAAGAGACTGACACACTATTTTGCCAGAAATACAGGCAATGAATATTGAACAGAAAAAAATACAGTGGTCCACTTAGCAATGCTCCCTCACTCATAGTTCATATTAATATTTCTTGCATTGAATGCAGGATAAATTAACAAATATCTCCAGAATAGTTGGGGCTTAGATAAACATTCACACAACAGACACAAAGCTCTAAATGGCCCCATTGAGGGCCAGAAGGACAATGACGTCTGGCACAAAACATCCCTTCATTTATGGAAGCAAAAACTGGCCACTGGAGTCATGCCTTAAAACAGAGCTCCAGACAGAATCCAAAAATTGCGTTTTAGTTGCAATAGTATGGCAGTAACTGTCTGTTGGTGGTGTTTGCTGTCACGTCTCACATTGTCATTTGCATGGGCTGCTGTCCATATTCTCAATAAACAGGCCCTGCCTGTAGCCTGGCTTACACGTTATTTTTCTAAGTTGGTAAATAATGAAATGAGATGTGGGGTGTCACGCGTGCTGTTGGCACATACTGGTACAAACATGTGCCGCTCGGTTCCGTTGACGCTGCTCCCATCTGGCCTAAATATAGAGACATCGATTTTCCTCCAGATGGTGCTGCGGCTTTCAGTGGATTGCTCTTTTTTCTACTAATAAGCACGGAGCTCGTCCCGCCTAATGACGGAACCCTGGGATGCGAACATCTGGGGGAAGCTCAAGGTGTCTTGTCAGTTGACTTGCAAGCTCCACGTGGAAGAGTTCAATGAATCTTTGGTGGTAACAGGAGCTCCAGCTGCTGAATTAATTATCAGGCACCAGGGGAGTGAGACGGTGACCTGGGGAGAAGCCCTTTGGCCCTGGGTCCCCCTTTCTCATCCATAGAAGGGAAGCGGTGAGCCTCAGGAAGTGAGAAGGCACTACTGCCTGTCTGGGCCCAGTGATTCAACTGCTCTGCTCTTGGGAGCCCTGGGACCTTTCCCAGGATGGAAAAATGCAACCATTGCTTTCCAGGAAGAAAGGACTGTAGGGAGGAACTGGAACCTGGCTGTTTGCCAAGGAAGCCAAGCAAAGCCACCCAAAGCAAGGTGAGACTCCAGTGAAGAGGAGCTGTGGGTTCTCCAACCCATTCTCACTTGGCCAATTTTTTATTTTTGTGTTTTGGAGATAAAGTCTGGCTCTGTCACTCCACAGGCTGGAGCTCAGTGGTGCAATCAAGGCTCCGTGCAGCCTCAACCTCCCAAGCTCAAGTGATTCTCCCACCTGAGCCTCCCAAGTAGCTGGGACTACAGGCGTAAACCACCACACACAGCTAATTTTTGTATTTTTGTAGAGATGGGGTTTCGCCCTGTTGCCCAGGCTGGCCTTGAACTCCTGGGCGCATGCAATCCACCCACCTCGGCCTCCCAAAGTGCTGGGATTACAAGTATGAGCCACCATGCCCTGCCATCACATGGCCAATTTCAGCAAACGACTTCTAAGTCCACCTGCCTCACTTATTTCTACTTTCCAATAGAAAGGGAACTGGATAATAAAAAAGAATTGAAGAGAAACATTCCTAAGCTGTATGTTATTTGGTTTATGGGATGATCACGGTCTCATGCACCTGGTTAGATACAACCAGATGACGCCCTGCAAGAGACAGGATGACATTGCAGCTCAGAGCACAGATTCAAGAGCTAGAAAGCCTGCCTGGGATTCCTGTCCTGACACTTTCTACTTAGGTGACCCTGGGAAGTTACTTAAGCTTTCTGCCTTCAGTCTCCTTATCTTTAAATGGGAAAAATAGCATTACCTACCTCACTGAGTTGCAAAAATCAAATAAAGTATGTCAGATGATTGGAAAAATGCCTTTGGCTTAGTAAGATGATATGGTCCAACTGTGTCCCCACCCAAATCTCATCTTGAACTCTATTTCCCTTAATCCCCAAGTGTCTTGGGAAAGGCCTAGTGGGAGGTAATTGAATCATGGAGTTGGTTACCTGTGTGCTGCTCTCATGATAGTGAGTGAGTTCTCACAAGATCTGATGGTTTTACAAGGGGCTTTTCCCCCTTCACTCTGCACTTCTCCTTGCTGCCGCCATGAGAAGAAGGATGTGTTTGCTTCCCCTTCCACCATGACTGTAAGTTTCCTGAGACCTCTCCAGCCTTGCAGAACAGTGAGTCAATTAAACCTCTTTCCTTTATAAATTACCCAGTGTCAAGTATGTCCTTATAGCAGCATGAGAATGGACTAATACAGTAAATTGGGAAGCAAATACATCCTTCTTCACATGGTGGCAGCAAGGAGAAGTGCAGAGTGAAGGGGGAAAAGCCCCTTCTAAAACCGTCACATCTCGTGAGAACTCACTCACTATCATGAGAACAGCATGGAGGTAACCAACCCCGTGATTCAATTCCCTCCCACTGGGTCCCTCCCATGATACCTGGGGATTAAGGGAGCTACAGTTCAAGATGAGATTTGGGTGGGGAAACAGCCAGCCACATCATAAGTGCTTGTAAGCGTTTGCCATGATTATGACCTAGGAATTTTAAAATAGCTCTGTGCCTTTAGTTTATTATACTTAGCATGTAAGAATATATTGCTCATCATTTAAATAACACTGAAATATATTGCCAAAAAATCTCACTGTGCAAGCATATTTTGCGTATGAGGATATGAATTGTATATGCATCTGTTTGATTAACAAGGGCACATAAATATGTCCCAGATGAAAGAATGATAGCTACAACATTTGTCAGAAATTATAGGCCCAATAAGTAAGTGTGCTTTAATACATATGACGACATTAACCATTATTCCTTGATAGGAAAGTAAATTGACAATAATGAAGCTAAATTAACATTAATTTGAGGTTGTCAGACAAAAATTATTAGAAATTGAAAACTACAACCAACTTAAGACAGCACTGAAGATTTACTGACAGCAGTATCCCTTCCCTAAAATTGTAGAATTCCAGTTATGTGACTCCATCTTATACTTATTGATTTGCAAACACTCTTTATATATTAAAAATATGATTTCTTTTTCATATGAAAATATTTTCTGCAGGTTTTCATTTCCCTCATTAGTGTGTGTGTATCCACGTGTGTGTGCATGTCTGTGCATATTAGTCTTCAGAAAAGTTAGTTTTTATTCAGTCTAACCTGTCCATATTTTATGATTCTTTCACTGGGGTTATTATTCAAAAAGTCCATTACTATCAAATATTCATATTAAATATAACTGTATGCTTTGCAACCCCTTATTACATTCATTTCTGTTCCTGAAACACAGATGGTTGTCGGAGGACAGACCTCAAGACTGTTCTGAAGAAGTCAAACGACATTAAAATTGCATGGCTTTTTTTGTTTGTTTCTTTATAAATGTTGTGATTGGCTGGGCATGGTGGCTCACACCTGTAATCCCAGCACTTTGGGAGCCCAAAGCAGGTGGATCATGTGAGGTCAGGAGTTTGAGACCACTCTGGCAAACATGGTAAAACCCCATCTCTACTAAAAATACAAAAAAATTAGCCAGGTGTGGTGGTGCACACCTGTAATCTCAGATACTTGGGAGGTTGAGGCATGAAAGAATCACTTGAACCCAACAGGCAGAGGTTGCAGTGAACTGAGATTGCGCCACCGCACTCCAGCCTGGGCAACAGAGAGAGACTTCATCTCAAAAAAGACTTCATCTTGTGCCGCAGCCTCCCCCTGAACCAAAAAAAAAGTTGTGATTGGCAAGCAATGGGGACTGATTTCTAAATGAATGTATCAGGAATAAACTGTGTAGCTAAATGATGGCTGTCCCTTTTAGAACAGTCACTTTGGGTGACTCGATAATAATCCCAGTGACACCTCCTGTGCTAAAAATAAAGACGAGGCAGCTGGTTTATCAATGATGTTCAAGAAGCATCCCTTCATGAACTCTTTCCTTGAACTCTTGGTGCCACACCTTAATGTTCTCTATTTGAAAGTTACCCCTGAAATTTTCCTTGCCAGAATCATGTCAGATTTAGTTAAGATCCTAAATCTCCCCCGTCAGTTTTTGGGTTGGGCTACTTCAGTCTTTCATCTGTGTCGAAAATGTCAGCAGTAAGAAATCAACCTCAGCACACATGGGAGAGTTCCGCCATGTGGCCCGAATAATGCCCCTCAGAGACATCCAAGTCCCAACCCCCAGAACCTGTGACTGCACCTTTCATGGCAAAAGGGACTTTGCAGGTGCAATTAAATTCAGAGTTTGAGGATGAGGAGATTTTCCTGGATTATCTGGGTGGGCCCAAAATGCAATCTCAAGTTCCTTAGTAGCAGGAAACAGAGCAATATTGACAACAGAACTGGAGGAGATGAGGACGGAAGCAATGGATTGGAGTGCCCCTAGGAAGGGGCCACACGTCTCCGAATGCAGGCGGCCTCCAGGAACCAGAGACATCAGTTTCTCCCCCAGGACCCACGGAGCAACCAGGCGGCCCACACCTGCTGATACCCCATGAAGCTGGTTTTGAACTTTGGGGCTCCAATTTGTGTTATAAGCCCCCAGGTTTGTGGGGATCTGTTACAGCCGCCCTGGGAAACGAATACACTGACGTCCTCAATTTTGTTATGATTTATCGAAGAGTTTGCACCAAAAATCCACTCTAAATTTGGCAACTGTTAAAAACACGGAACTCTGAGTAAACTCCTGCAATGGAAACAATGCCCCATCTCTCTTTTTGGGAGGGCAAGCCTCGTTTTTCTGCTTCTAAGTTTCCTTTTTCTGGCCAAAAGAAAACTGTATCTGATCTCTTCTTTGCTGAAGTGTTAAAGAAGTAACATGTTAAATAATGTGTTACTTCACTCAGAGTATTTGCGTTTTAATTAAAGGCTAAAGGAGGAGGCAGCTGTTTATACAGACAAGGGCTCTGAGCCGCTGGAACTGCAGGCGCCAGGTTGGGAGGTATTTGTGGCCCGGGGCCTCCCAAGATGTCCTCAGAAGAGGCAAGGGTGGCAAGTGCCTGGTCAACCTGTGGAAAGTCCCATGTCATGGTGAGATGCTGTTTTTAGGTCCTAGGAAGGTAGGAAAAAACAAAGCAGATGAAGTCCCTGGCCTCGTGGAACCTACATTCAAGCAGAGGAAGGTGAGAGATGAATTAAGAAATAGCAGATGGAGTAACTGACCACACCATGGAGAAAAATCACGCAGGGAAAACTGGAGAGGCTGTACTAGGAGAGGTGGGCTTGGTTTACACAGGGCGGCCTTTGATCAAAGAGCTGAAGGTGAGAGAGCAAGTCATTGGCGGGGAGAGCTGCAGAGAGAGGAGCAAGATGCAATGAGGTCAGTAAGGCTGCTGTTCAGGTGGGAGGTGAGATCATCAGCATAGCAGGGGCTAGGTTTCATAGGGTCACGTAGACTGTTGTAAGGAATTTGGATCCTATGCTGCATGAGATGGAAGGCATTACGGGATTTGGGGGCAGACAAGGACCAAGGTCTGACTCATGTTTTTTGAGGACCACTCTGGCTGCTATGCTGAGAATAGAATCTGGGACTGAAGGGCTGAATCAGAGAGAACCGTGAGGATGCAACTTCAGCCATCCAGGATGAGGGGATGGTGTCCTGGACCAGGGTGGTGGAACGGTGGTGAGAAGTGGTGGGATTTTGAATATTGTCGAATCCTAGAGCCGATAGGATTAGCTGATGCTTGGGATCGTGGTATGTGAGAGGCAGAGAAGAGTCGAGCATAATTGCAAAGATTCTGAGTAACCGAAAGGATGGAGCTGCTATGGATTGAGACGGAAAAGTCTGTGGGTGGAGAAGGCCACAGAAGGAAGACCAAAATACCAATTTTGAAGATGCTAAGTTCAAGATTTTGATGTCCAAGCTTGGGGCATAGGCAACTGGATGTGAGAATCTGCAATTCAGAGAGGAAGGCCCTGCAAAAGATCTCTGGGAGTCACCAACGCATAGATTTAAAACCATAAGAAGCAAAAGAAATTATCTAGGCGAGTGTGTGTGGATTAGGGGGAAAAAAAAGATGCCCAATAGCCAAATCCTCACGGAACTTTCAGAAAGCAGGGATTTGGGGAAGGAAGAACCAACACAAATGACGAAGATGGAAAAGGCTAATCGGGAGGGAGCCTTACTGAGATGAAATGTTGCAGGAGGTGTTTCTCCTTTTTTTTCTTTTTCTTTCTTTCTTTTTTTATTTTTCTTAGGTGGAGTCTTCTTCTGTCTCCCAGGCTGGAGTGCAGTGGTGCAATCTCAGCTCACTGCAACCTCTGCCTCCTGGGTTCATATGATTCTCGTGCTTCAATCTCCCAAGTAGCTGGGATTACAGGCACGCGCCCCCATGCCCGGCTAGTTTTTGTCTTTTTAGTAGAGACAGGGTTTCACCATGTTGACCAGGCTGGTCTCAAATTGAATTCCCAACCTCCAGTGATCAGCCTGCCTCAGCCTCCCAAAGTGCTGGGATTACAGGCGCGATCCACCTCATCCAGCCTAGATGTTTCAAGGAGGGAGGAGCCACCAGCCACGTGAAATGCTGCTTATTGCTCAGGCGAGAGTAGGACTGAACATTGACACATGAAAGTCTTGGTAGGAACTGTTTTGAGGGATTAGTGAGGCGGTAAATCTGAGTGGAGTTTGACAAGGAGAGGAGAGAGAAAAAAGCAGAAAAAATATTATAAGCAATAATTACCAATACTTGCCAAATTTAATAAAAAACATTAGCCTGCACATCCAAGATGGAGTTTGTTGAGCTTCTTTAATTTTTAAAACATAAGGTCAAAATGAATAATCAATAGTAATTTAATTGTCCCTGATATGATTATTATGCATTGTATGCCTGTATGGACATATCTTATGTACCTCGTAAATATACACACCTACCATGTACCCATAAAAATTAAAAATAAAACATTTAAAAAAATATATAAGGGAAAACACAATACACATTCTATGTTGTGGCATTTTTTCCAAGTAGTCACACATAGAGCATTAATTACAAGTATTCCCAGAATCGAATACTTCAAATCTTCAATCGTTTTTGTTGCTGTTGTTTTTATTTTTTGTGAGTTTTTTTTTCTGTAGCCACTTCTCTATTGATTGACATTGAGATTGTCCAGGGGTTCTCATTATGGTAATCAATAGGCAATAAGCATCTTTGCCTCTACCTGCGTAAATACCTATTTCTCTGAGAAGTTCAATGTCTCACTGGAATGACTTTTATAACAAAAAATAATAAAGCAAATCTACCTCCCAATCCACTTTCTATCTCCTGTGCACTCCTACGGGCTCTTCTTGGTCCAGCCATCACCGTCTCTTTCTCAGATTTTTGCCATCTCCCACCGCTGGTCTTCACGCTTCTGCCCTTCTCCTCCCGCCGTCTGCTCCACGAGACAGCCATGTCAGTCAACGTTGCAACTCTGTTCAAAGCCCTCCAGCGACCTCTTAGGTCATTCGGGGAACAAAGTCCTTCTGTGGGCTGCACGACCCCGTGTGCTGTGTACCCCACTCTCCTCCGCCTATCAGTTCCCTCTTTCTGACCATGGTTCCCCCAGTTATTTTCTCATTGACCTGGCTCTGTCTGCATGGACCTATTTGCTTTTTTAAGAAACAAAACAGGCCAGGTGTGGTGGTGCATGCCTGTAATCCCAGCACTTTGGGAGGCCGAGGAGGGCAGATCACGTGAGGTCAGGAGTTCGAGACCAGCCTGGGCAGCATAATGAAACCCCATCTCTACTAAAAATGCAAAATTAGCCAGATGTGGTGGCATGTGCCTGTAGTCCCAGCTACTCAGGGGCTGAGGCATGAGAATCACTTGAACCCAGGAGGCGGAGGTTGCAGTGAACTGAGTTCATGTCACTGCACTCTATGCTGGGCGACAGAGTGAGACTCAGTCTCAAAAAAAAAAAAACCATCCATGTTTCATCTCAGCCTGTTTGCACGCCCTATTCTTCTGCTGCCCTCGATTGCTCCCCCCGGATATCCACATGGCTTGCTCCCTCACTTCCTATCGCCTTTTCAAAAACACCATCTTACCGCGCTGATACAGTAGGTACCTGTTTTTGTGTTTGTTGATTCTTTGTTGGTACCACAGAGGCAGCTTACTCTTCTACCTCTGGGCTGGAATTGTTCCTGGAGTCACTCCAATAAGTGTTTGCTAAATGAATGGAAAGGTGAACATGACTTTCCCCTCTCTGTGTCATCGCTGTTTAAATCTTGAAGACGTGAGCGAAGTGGAAGGGAAGGCGTGACCTGGAGGTGGACGTGTCCCAGGTAGCCTCTCTGAACTTACGTGGGTAGCAGCATTACCGTGTTTCACCAATTCCTGGTCCTTCTCCATTTTGCATCGTACTTGCCCACCCTTATGAAGTTAGGAATGGCCCTGTGACTTCTTTGGCCAATGGAGCGTGTTTATTTGCTGGTGCCGGACTCTCTGCCCCTTTCCCCTTACTCTGAAGTCTCAGTGAGGTGCAGGCGCCATCCTGGAGAAATGCTGATGGGGGGAGGGAGAGATGCAGCTTTGTTGTTTCAGCCACTCATGTCTGAGCGTTGTGAATTAGTGAAGCATGTGTGTTAGCCTGCCCTGCCCCACACATGTGAAACTTTGCAGAAAGAGGAAGGAGCTTCCCTGCAGTGGTCGGCGTGGGAGTCGTCTCAGTGTTTTATATGGAAATAGCAAAATGTCGCTGGGGGAGAGTTCACCTCTGGAATCCGCTGAACAGCTCCCTCAGCCCATCGGTGTGATTGGCCTTTGAGACCAAAGCAGCATTTGGTTCATGCGTGGGAGTGACAACTCAGGGCAGGCACAGTCCCCCTTCCTGGTTTAATCAGGTCCTCTATAAGAACCTACAGACACACTAGAGGGTCCTGTTGGTTTCATTTCCTACCAATTACCTGCTTCTTTTCCTACCTTTCTTGTTTTTAGAGACTGCAGCTCATTTTTATCACATGGTCCAAATATTTTTATCAAAAACCTGTTATTCCGGAGAGGCTTTAACGAAGAGCCTCGTTTAGCCACTAGAAAGGTGACTATAAACTGTGAATATTGCTCAACTAAGCTACTTCGGTAATCATGCAGTAGGTGCTTAGTAAGTATTGTTGAGTTGATTTGGAGAAGTCAGTACATACCCCTACTCATAATTAAGCAATACTTTTTCCATGATTGGACTTGGTGAAATAAAAATCACCACTGCCTTTGATTCTAGTTTAATTTTTGAAGGCCAGAGCTGCAAGGGAATTTAAAGGTTGTATAACTGCCAGCAATATGTGAGAGTTTTTCTTTTCTTTAATTTACAGTAATCTAATCTTTTTTAAAAACCAATGTCATTGTATATATTTAAGGTCTACAACATGACATTATCAGCTACATATATGTAGTAAAATGGTGACTATAGGCACGGTGGCTCACGCCTATAATCCCCGTATTTTGGGAAGCTGAGACGGGTGGATCACCTGAGGTCAGGAGTTTGAGACCAGCCTGGCCAACATGGTGAAAATCTGTCTCTACTAAAAATACAAAAATTTAGCTGGGTGTGGTGGCACATGCCAGTAATTCCAGCTACTTGGGAGACTGAGGCTGGAGAATCACTTGAACCCAGGAGGCGGAGGTTGCAGTGAGCTGAGATTGCGCCACTGCACTCCAGCCTGGGGGACAGAGTGAGACTCCATCTCAAAAAAAAAAAAAAAATGGTTACTGTAGTGGAACAAATGGACACATCCATCATCTCACATAGTTACCCATCCCCTCTCCACCACTCGCTGTGGCATCAACAGCTATAATCTACTTGCTGTGCAAAATTTTGTTTCCTCCTAAAGAAAAAGACATTTCACACAATCACCATGATTATCCAACACCAGAATCTCCTAGATAAAAAGAACAATATTCACTTATATCAGGATTTACCACACATCTCAATGTTTCTTTGGAAGCCTTCACATCTACCTTCGCACAGACTTGAGGTTCAAATACATTTCATGTATTTTTTCTTTTCTTTTTTTGAGATGGAATTTCGCTCTTGTCACCCAGGCTGGAGTGCAGTGGCATGATCTCGGCTCACTGTAACCTCCACCTCCCAGGTTCAAGCAATTCTTCTGCCTCAGCCTCCCGAGTAGCTGGGACCACAGGTGTCCGCCACCACACCCAGCTAATGTTTATATTTTCAGTAGAGACGGGGTTTTGCCATGTTGTCCAGGCTGGTCTCAAACTCTTGACCTTAGGCGATCCACTGGCCTCGGCCTCCCAAAGTGCTGCGGTTACAGGCACGAACCATCGCACGCGGACTTCATGTACTTTTAAAACTAAGGTTGATTGATGGTCTGTGTTGAGAGGGATTCCGAAGTCTAAGCTGGGTTAAGCCTAATCACCTTTGTCACACACCTGACATTGCAGGCAGTTTTGGATGGTTCGTTCCACCATTTGGCTTGCATACAGATATTTCACTGTGGACCAGAAGACTTCTCATTTATCAGTGCAAAATGCCTCTTCCTTTAAAGATTAAAGCTTGGATTCATCCTAAACCCCAGAGGAGAGCTCTTATGCTTGTACCACAGTGCTGGTTTAAGAAGCTCTTGATTTAAATCATTTTCTAAAGCCTTCATTGATTCATTCTCTCATTTCTCTGAGCCTAAGCCTTAGTTATTCCATAAAAATTAGCACAGTAATTCACAGGTAATCGGTCCAAAGAATTACTTCTTTTTAAGACATAGAAAAAGGAGGTCAAATGGGAAGCAGAAACAAACCTGAAGCATTTGGAATATGGTTTATTCAGCTAAACTGACATATAAATATCTAAACTATCATATAAATATCAGACAAAGCCATCACGTAAATATCTAAACCAACATATAAATATCTGAACTATCATATAAACATCATATAAAAAACCATCATATAAATATCTAAACCATCACATAAATATCATACAAAGCCATCACGTAAATATCTAAACCAACATATAAATATCTAAACTATCATATAAATATCATATAAAAGCCATCATATAAATATCTAAACCATCATATGAATATAATAAACTATCATCAACATCTTTGTTTTAGTGTTTTGTTTCCCCTGTCCTTTAGAATCTCAGTCAGTGCTTTGTGGCACATTAGTGAGTGCTGAACTCATGTTAATGGGATGTGGTCATCATTTAAAAATAAATGAAACGGCATAACATGATACAGCAAAGCGTGGCAGAGTGTAATTTAATATAGGGAAGGATGGGATGATGATGTAGTTTGGGTATTTGTCCCCACCTAAATCTCATGTTGGACTGTAATCCCCAGTGCTGAGGGTAGGGCCTGGTAGGAGGTGTTTGGATTATGTGGGTGAATCCCTCATGGCTTGGTGCTCTCTTCATGATAGTGAGTTCTCATGAGATCTGATCATTTAAAAGTGGGTGGCACCTCCCGCCCCACCCCCAACAGTCCCCCTCTTGCACCTGCTCTGGCCATGTGAGACCATACAGTCCCCTTTCACCTTCTGCCATGATGATAAGCTTCCTGAGGCCTCCCTAGAAGCCGAGCAAATGCCAGCACCGTGCTTCCTCTACAGCCTGCAGAACGTTGAAGGAATTAAATCTTTTTTCTTTGTAAATTACCCAGTCTCAGGTATTTCTTTACAGCCATGCAAGAATCGCCTAACACAGATGGGGTGGGATGGGATGGCATGGCATGGCGTGGGGTGGGATGAGATGGAAAATGCTAGAATAAGTTACATGTGAATGCAGCAGTGTAAGCCTTGTTTTCTGAGGTTTAGCTTTGGTTCTACTGCCTTGCATGTGTGTGTGCCCATGTGCATCTGTGTGCCTTTTAGGGAGTAATGTCGAATACTCTATTTCTTGCTGTGAATTGCAGTCAATAAGGTATAAAAGACAGTCGTCCAGATGGCCTGTGTCACATGGAAGGACTCTTTGCTCCTCCCTTCGCCTGGCCCTGGCCACAGCTGCAAAGCCAAAGAGATGACCGTCAGCAACATTCACTCTAGTGGGAAGGACAGTGATGAAAATTGTGTGGTCATCAGGCTGGCACTGTAGGCGTGTGGGCACGAGACACAGGCTATTTTGGCTTTGATGGCACCAGGGCCCCTCCCTATGAAATGGAGATTCAGCAACATCTCTGTCCACCCACCCTGGGAAGGAAGCAAAGAGGGACACACAGCACATTTCAGACGGCCACGTGGGAAGCTCAGGAGGCACAATCAGCCCAGAGAGGCACACGCTGCACTCACCAGCTCTGGTGAGCCAGCTGGAAGATCGCTTCCAATGCCATTCCCCTAAGATGCAGGGTCCAGAAGCATTTCCAGCTCTGCTTGCGTTTCTGCCTGTGCTGCAGGTTTCTGAGGAATGTGCCTTTTAATTCACCTTGAGGATGTCTCTCTTTTCTTTTTTTTTTTTTCTGAGAGCATCTATCTTTAAGACACAATCTTTGCTCTCAACTTGTGGCTAACTTAGGGTAGAAGTAATTGCGTTCGTGGACCAAATGCTTACTGCAGATAATTGTGCATGTGTGTGGCTGAAGATGCCCATTTTTAGCAACTGTTAAAGTGAAGAAATTCTCACCTCTAGACAATACTCTCCTTTGTAATATGCACTTCAAAGGAAGACAAACACCACTCCCTCACTCTACTCAAGTGTAATTTAAAACCAACTCTCAAGCATAATGGGATGTTACAGCCAATATTTATTTTTTTCCTTTCATTAGATAAATAGTATTAAATTGGGATCCTTGAGAAAATTGTACCAACGGTATCATAGTTGAATGTATTTTGAGCTCAAGACTCACTCAGGCAAATTTTCCTCATATGCAAATCACCATCATTATGCAAATAAGGACATCCGCATTGCCATGCAAGTGTAAAATGGATGTTTGTTTTTATGATGATGAATTATCTTCCCCAGTAGCAGCCTGCAGCGTGCAGTTTGGAAACCTGCGTGGGGATTGTGTTTGTTTTTCAGGCGTTTTTGTTGGCTCCAACATAAATCTATTGCCAATGCTGGCAATGTGGGGGTCTCTCTTTCATTCCAGGTCTGGGGTCTAAGTTTCTCTCTTGAAGTGTTCTGGGGTTCTTTATTGTAAGTTGGTGTTTACCTGTAATAGCAAGTCTATGGAACACTTTTTACAGCTGCCTTTCAAGTCCGATTTCAATCTGTAACTCTACTTTGGGGTTAAACTGGGAAGTCCCCAGCTTACCTGCAAACTCTTCTGTGTTCTTTCCTGGAACCAAATGACTTATTAGAATAAGGAGAGAAAGTGATAAAGAGTGATGGATTATTTTACTGTTCTGCTGTATGGTAAAAGTAAACTGGATAATAGCATTACAGCAACTAACGCTTCTTGTGAAAACACCGTGCTAAGTATTTAACTCATGGTTTCTCATTGGATCCTCACGTAATCTTCCAAGGAAGTTATTGTTGTCAACCCTATTTCATGCCTGAGGAAGCATGGGCTTAGAGAAGTTTAATAGCTTGCTCAAGGTCACAAGACTAATGCCTGGTAGAATGGGGACTCAGACCCCAGGTTCCTGCTTTTACAAAGCTCAAGCCCTTAGGCACCTTGCGTCTCTCGAGGGTGATCTGATGCCCCAGAGTTGGAGCCATGCATTTATGCATACTGAGCGAGGTAGGGTTCTTGTCGAGGGGGAGACGGTTGAAGGAGACACTGGTGGAAATGTGTGTGGTTCACTCATACTGCAATCTCAAAGGGGAAAAGGAGAACCCCTCCACTGACGTGAGTTGGATTCAGTGACTTGGTGTTTGGGGAGAAAGGAGGAGAGTTGCTGCAGACCAGTCTGTGATAAACTCAGCCCTCAGTATGAGGGAACTTGAGTGCAGGAAAGGAGACAGCGTCATCAAGGCAAGAGGACACCGATGGTTTCCAGGAAGATAACAAAGCAAGAAAAATGGTGCATGACGACTTCCATTGCCCGACATTTTCTTATCCCTAAGATGCTCTCCTTTGCCCTCTTTCCATCTACCTCAGTCTTCTCCCTCTACCTACAGGTCTGAATCTTCATTCATGTATTTTAGGCTTGAAAGGAATAGGGCTGTCGGTGAGAATCCCAATCTTTCTACATTGTTTCTTCGAGGGCTCTTGAAGTTCTCCTTCTTTAGGGAGCTTATTGCAGTGGGATATTTCATTCTAGGCAGCTCAGCATCTCTTCGCTTTCTTTTGGAAGTAGCACACGAATTTCCTCGTTGAGAACAACTGATTTACCGAGTGATGCAGTTCAGCATCCCTGTAAACCCAGTGATTGTTAACCCGTTCTTTCCAAGTCTTTTGGGAGATGACCTTCCCCGGAATCCAAATCCTGAACTCTTTGATAAAAAGACCAAGAGAGGCCAACGTTCATTCATTCCAGAAAGTCCCTGGAACGATGATCAAATATTCGCTGCTCCCGGGTCCTCCGGGGGTGACTGTCCATACGATGTGCCCAGTCTTCCCGCTGGTCCTGCAGGCATCCCCTGATGCCTGTTCCCCGGACTCAGTGTACTCTCCCTGGCACACCCTTCTTTATGGACAACAGGAGGAGGTAGGGAGTGGAGCAGGAGCGGGAGAAAGCCACGCTGAATGGGGTCTCATTAGACTTCCAGGTGTCGAGATGGATGATTAGAAAATGAGTCCACTGTCAGTGTCAAGCGTTCCCTCATCAGGCACCATGACAGTGCAGCAAAGAGGCAAAGGGAAAATCGTGCTGGCTGCTCAAAGGTCCATCCCTCACCGAAATGCACCTGCGAGGCTCAGCTGGGTCAGCTCAGGAGCCCCAAACGAAAGGCTCCCAGCTCTTTCATTTGGACCCAGGGTTTGAGGAGAGGGAGACAGGGAAGGGTTAGAAGTGGAAAAAGACTGGATTCAAAGGAGGGAAAAGTGGTCTGCTGGTGAGAGGCCCCCGGATGCAGATGCATCTGTGAGCATGGCCGGCTCGGGACCCAGCCCTCTACTGCAGCTCCCTTCAGACGCTGCCATGCATGGGCTTTTGCCTGGTTGGTGCAGTCGGGCCTGAGGGACACGTGGAGGATTCTGGCCTGGAGCAGATGCCTCATGCCTCATGCCATGAAGGGTCCCTTTTAGATGCAACTCTTCAAAAGTAAAAGGCAGGAGTACTTTCCCACAGAAAGACAGGTTCTTCCTGATCTTCCTTTGATTTCATGCTTTCTAAAGCTGTTCATTCCTTCCCTTTGAGTCTCCTGCTGTAAAAGGCACAGAGGTGGTTTTGGTGCATGGAGGAACCCCCACAGCGCGAGTGGATTGGAAATATATCCATTTACACACAGCGGCCTACAAGCGGCTCTGCGGCTCAGCTTTCAATCCGACTCCTACAACTGGACTGCTTTTATTCTGGGTGTTAGCTCAGGTTTAATGACCCCATCACTGTCGGGCTCTATTTCCATTCCCAGGGCAAGCTGCCATCTTTGGTTCTCTTCTCTGGCACTTGAGGAGTAAATATCTCTCCCCAAGTCTATATTTCTCAGCTTCTGTTTGAAACCACAGCCAGGTACACCTGCCCCACCCATTCCACTCTCACCCTTGGCCCTGACCCTAGGTCAATTTACCTTTCTATCAGCTGCTTTCCTTGGCAGTTTAAAAGGGACAGAGGTCCATGGATCAAGGTCTCAGTTCCTTCCGCTTGGACCCACTCCAACCACTCCCCATCTTTGCCTCTAGAGATTCATGTTGCTGGAAGAGACGACCCAGCAGCCTTAGCCTGTGTCACATGCCCACCAAGGCCATGTGTGATGGGGAGAGAGGTTCTTCCAGGGAGAGCAGGTGCTGTTCCCAGAAGGGACGCTGGCCACACACACTATAGCTGTCCACCCCAGGCCCTTGCCACATGGTTCCATATCCTGTCAAAGGGTACGTGTCTCTAAATCGGAATTCCCTTATGTCCCTTGCAATCAGCCTCAGGGAAGGGTAGTTAAAATATGTCCTCCTATTAAAGGCAAAAGCAATAATATGCTACTGTAGAATTTTAAGCACAAATGAAATCCCATTTGTATTAGTCCATTTTCACCCTGCTGATAATGACATACCCGAGACCGGGCAATTTACAAAAGAAAGAGGTTTAATGGGACTTACAATTCCACATGGCTGGGGAGGCCTCACAATCATGGTGGAAGACAAGGAGGAACAAGTCACATCTTACATGGATGGCAGCAGGCAAAGAGAGAGCTTGTGCAGGGAAACTCCTGTTTTTAAAACCATCAGATCTTGTGAGACTTATTCACCATCCTGAGAACAGCACAGGAAAGAACCGCCCACATGATTCAATTACCTCCCACCAGGTCCCTCCCACAACATTTGGGATTTCAAGATGAGATTTGGGTGGGGACACAGCAAAACCATATCACCATTTTCCTTACTACAGAAAGGATACTGTTCTTAAGAGTACCAAGGCTAAGCCCTTATTATGGGCTGAATTATGGTTCCCTCCTCCAGCCCCACCCCTCTAACCAATTCATACGTTGCAGCCTCTGATTTCACCTTGCTTCCTCTTCCAGGAAGCCCTCCATGAACCCCAGGGTTGGGGCTTCTCCTCAGTGCTCCCACATCTCCCTGGATTGGGGTCATCTCCACTAGCAGGCCAGGGGCTCCCTAAGGGTCTGTGTTCTGCTCACAGCTGTGCACCAGCTCTGAATGCCATCGGTGTTAGGCACACAACAGGTACTCAAAAAAATATTGGTGGAATCAGCAAATAATCACAGAGTGCTTTATCATGGAAACGTGGGCCGAGCTTTAAGGCGAGCCTGAATTTAGGAGCCGAGAACAGCATGAAAGAATCTGAGGCAGGAGAAGGTCAGGGGTGCTGGAAGGGAGCAGGACACTCACTTGTTTGGGGAAACAGCAGCCTGGCGTGAAGGACTGGGTGGGTGCTGGAAGCCAGGAGGGCACCAAGGTTGTCCAGGCTTGAGGGGTGGGGCCGTGGGGAGCCGTGTCCAGGGGAGTTCTGGGGGTAGGGTCTGGGGTGGGTTCTGAGCAAGTTCTCCAACTGTTGCAGGCTGTATTGGGTCCCCCAGATCCTTCTGTGGAAGCCCAAACTTTCAGCCCCTCAGGCTGGGGCTGCATTTGGAGATGTGAGCTTTAAAGTGGTGCTTAAGTTGAAATGAGGTCATTAGGTGGGCTCGATTCCAGTCTGACCAATGTCCTTATGGGAAGTGGACATTAGGGCACAGACGTGCACAGAGAAATGATACCCTGGAAGGACACAGGGAGACGGTGCAAGCCTAGGAGAGAGGCCTCAGGAGGAACCAGCCCTGCCAGCACCTTGGTCTTGGACTTCCAGCTTCCAGAACTGAGGAAAACTAAATTTCTGCTGTTTAAGCCACCCAGCTTCTGGGACTTTGTTACGGCAGCCCCAGCTGACGATGAATACTGCCCCCAGAGTTTCATATTCTTTAGGGAAAATGTGATGTATCCTATCCAAAAAATGGCAGAAATGTTATAGATTATTTTAAAACCATTTTATTGAGGTGTTCTGTATGTATTTAATGGATACAATTTGGTGAGTTTGGAGAACATACACACCCTTGAAACTAAAGGTTAGTTTTCCTTTCTTTTCAGTAGTGCTTTTTCCTGCTGCAAGGTGACAGACTTTTGAACCTGTCTGTAAGATTAATTGTGCAGAAAATTGTCTGAATTAATTGCTTACATTGTCAAAAGGTCAGTAGAAAACAAGTGATGCTTTTTGAAAATGTGGTTTGCGTGCAGGTTTTATTGGCTGCCTAGGTGTGCCCTGAGTTCAGAGCTGCAGAGGTGCAAACAGAGCCCATTCCCTGAATGGAGGCTCAGTGGCAGTGACCACCTATGGTAACAAGGAGCACAGTGACGGATAGAAGTAGGGCCTCCTGCTTAACTTGCGACCTTTTACTTTTCTAGAGATTGAGAACTTCATAGAAGCAAGGGCGAAAATTTCTACCTTCAAGAGTTTTTTTTTTTTTTTGATGGAATCTTACTCTGTCACCCAGGTTAGAGTGCAGTGGCACGATCTCAGCTCACTGCAACCTCCACCTCCCAGGTTCAAGTGATTCTCCTGTCTCAGCCTCCTGAGTAGCTGGGATTACAGGTGCCTGCCACTATGTCCAGCTAATTTTAGTATTTCTAGTAGAGACCGGGTTTCACCATGTTGGCCAGGCTGGTCTCGAACTCGTGACCTCAGGTGATCTGCCCGCCTCAGCCTCCCAAAGTGCTGGAATTACAGCAGTGAGCCACTATGCCCAGCCCAAGACTTTTGTTTTGTTTTTGAGGTTGGGTAGCTAATTTTGGTTTGCCTTCCCAGGATCTAAACTGCCAAATTTCAGCAACAGCCACCACATTTTGTGGATCTAGCCTGGTGTCAGTTTCAGTAGATGTGGTCTAGGGATGAAAGACCAAGGCCTGGATGAAAAGCACAGTGTCTTCCTGGCCACAGGGACAAGTGCAGGCACGGGCATGAGGCCTATGCTGGTCCAATCAGAGCGAGGCCCAGGGCTTTGCAAGAACCTTCAGAGAAGACAGCCCTGGACACAAAGATGGGAGCACACGGGGCTGAGGCTTCTGTGGTCACCGCACGTTGGGAAAGAGAGAGCCTGTTTGCGCGTGGAGTCTGCACAGAAGAACAGCTAAGACAGGGAGAGAGACAGCAGCTGTTTATGACATTGTTTGAGCTCAGGTGAAGCCGGCCCTACAGACAGAGCTGAGCCTTCTCAGTTCCGTGGTTTAACAAATTATCGTTTTCCTTACGCAGTTTGTGTTGGATGATGAAAGTTTCATTTGTGAGTGAAACATTAAATGGCGAAAGTTAACATTTGATGTTTGGCTTAAATAATTTTCTTGATGCGAAGAGGAAGGATGACCCACTTATTTTTTAAAAAATTTAAAAAATTGCCTTTACGTCAATCATTATGAAAGAGCTCTTCCCCCCTGCCATTTGCAGTCCTGCCCCTTCACAGAGAGAATTAACGATGGAAATTAGGTTGAGGGGTTTATTTGTTTGTTTGTTTAGAGATACACCAAATTCAGCCATTAGGCAGCAATACACAGAACTGAGTTTCTCACCTTCATTAACAAGTGACAAAAAGCTTTGATGTTTTAAGATATGAGGGAGAATATGGTGGCTTCAGAAGAAAAACATTATCTTCTTTCTCCTGTGATATGTTCCTGTATTTCTCTCTTGTATTTATTCTTACAATAATAATTGAATAATTAATAGCATCACAAGTCTGGCTAATTATGACTACTTATCTAGCTTGCTAGAATATTAACTGCTTTGAGGCATGATTTGTGTCATCTCATGGGCTACTCTTTCCTTTCTACATTGTAGGAAGTCAGGAACAATTTGGTGCAAGAATGAGGAAACCAAGCTCAGAGCTTCTTTTTTTTTTTATTATACTTTAAGTTTTAGGGTACATGTGCACAACATGCAGGTTTGTTACATATGTATACATGTGCCGTGCTGGTGTGCTGCACCCATTAACTCGTCATTTAACATTAGGTATATCTCCTAATGCTACCCTCCCCACTCCCCCCACCCCACAACAAGCCCCGGTGTGTGATGTTCCCTTTCCTGTGTCCATGTGTTCTCATTGTTCAGTTCCCACCTATGAGTGAGAACATGCGGTGTTTGGTTTTTTGTCCTTGCGATAGTTTGCTGAGAATGATGGTTTCCAGCTTCATCCATGTCCCTACAAAGGACATGAACTCATCATTTTTATGGCTGCATAGTATTCCATGGTGTATATGTGCCAAATTTTCTGCTATAAAGACACATGCACACGTATGTTTATTGCGGCACTATTCACAATAGCAAAGACTTGGAACCAACCCAAATGTCCAACAATGATAGACTGGATCAAGCTCAGAGCTTCTAAGTAACGTGTCCAAGATCACAAACCTGGTATTTAAGCTGTAACGAAAGCTCCCTGTTCATAACCTCTAAGGGGCAAGGATTCAAGGGAAAGAAGAAGACCTGGCATCCTGAGTCATCCTGTCAGAGGCTGATCCAAAGCCAGCATGGAGATGATGGCAGAGAGGAGGTACATTGAACCAGCTCTCAAAAAACTGATGGGTTGTCTCACAGGTGAAAATTTAAGAGGCTCCACAGGTGTGAGCTTCAGCAGATGAAGTTTTCCGTCTGCGTGCGGAAGAGCAGCGACCTGAAGGAGATCCCCGTGACCTAGGAGATGGAAGACAACCTTGAGCACCATGAAGTGGCCCGGGGTCAGGGTGGGCAAGAGCGCAACACCCAGGCTACCGGGCTGCTCTGGAAGGGGTTTGTTCAGAGATAAAAAGAAGTTCATTGAGCACCTGAATCCAGCCATGCCTGAAGCTCGTATTTCCTATCAACCGTATGGTGATATGAACCAAACTGCTTTTTTTCCTTTGGTCACTTTGAGTAGAGTGACACAATTCAGGGGAAACACAGGTTTTGTGAGGGCAGGAACTAGAGAGGTCTGCTGTCAGGCATTTGGAGGCACTGGGGAATGAGTGCATTGGGAAGAGGAAGGTGGATCAGCACCTTAGTCTGAGTCTGACCTGGAAAACTGAGTCCACGCCAGGTGCCTTCAGGGGTGACTTAACTGGGCCACTAATGAGAATTACTGGAAGAGCCGAAATGCCAGAGGTCGTGAGGAAACCAGGGAGCCTGTGCCATGCAAGGGCTGGAGGGACAACAACAGGGAAACAGGGAGAGGACACTGTGAGGTCAGAGAGTGACACTCCTTAACAAGAACTGCCGCCCATGAGGCGTCCCTCCTCCTGCCTTCCAGTCCCCTGCCCAAACCCTCACTGGCCAACCTAGTCAGAGACCAGGAGGCCAGGCATCCTGGAGAAAGCAAGCTTCAAGGGTCGGGATCACTGAGGCAGAGCAGAGCATGGAGGGGAGGGGCAGGGGAGCTGTCTGAGGCAACCGCAGTGGTAGTGCGGGATGGAGGGAGGCAGGAAGAAGAGAATTCATTCACCGTGTGGGGGCCTGGGAAGCCCTGAGTTCAATTCCCTGCTTGAAACTCAGAGGCCTGCATGGAATGGACACGATGAAAGAAAAATTACTTTTGAAAACCTCATTAGCACCCAGATGTTTTGTTATTAGATAATAATTTAATATAAAAAGGAAATGTAATGATTATAGTCATACACTATTATAATATAAACTGTGCCCCCATGAGATCTGAATTTCTTTCTTTTCTTACTTCTCTGAAGGCCCCCAAGCTTTTGGGATGCAAACGCTGCTTCCTCACACATTAGCCAAAGCAATTAAATTATTTATTAATGGCGCTTATTTAATTTGATATCTTGGGAGCTTTCTGTGCATGTCTGATGTCATTTGGGAAACAGACCTTTGTTTTTCATTTTTGTTTTAGAAAACATATTTGAGAGTGAATTATTCATGGGATTGTTTAATTTGGGGTGGGGGGAGTTTAATTATTTTGAGGCTGTGTGTCATTTTCACTTCCTTTGAAGACTGCCAGGAGTTAATTAGCCATCCCTAAATGAAATAGAACACTTTTCTCATTGCTTTTTGGATCAATATTTATTTTTTTCTGGATTACTTTTCATTTGTGATAATAGCTTTTATTAAGGTAAGTGATTTTATACATGTTTTGCAATCCATATGTGGCCGTTGTCATTATCGAAAAATGACCATGTCATCATTTCTTACAAAAATGTTTCTTAGACTGTAAGCTGCCTGAGAGCAGGAACCGCACTTTAGCCCTCTTTTTAAGAATGCAGATTCACATTTGAGGGGTATAGACCGTGTGTAAAATACTGTGCAATGCAAGTTAGAAATATGACCTGATTTCATTCTCACAGCAAGATTGCAAATTAAGGGTTAAGAGAGTTCCAAGGTCATAAATGAATCGATTGGCTATGGCCATTCCAGCCTCTGGCTTTTTTTTCTTCCTTTTTTCTTTTTTTTCTTTGAAACAGGGTTTTGCTCTTGTTGCCCAGGCTGGAGTGCAATGGCGTGATCCCAGCTCACTGCAACCTCCGCCTTCTGGGTTCAAGCGATTCTTCTGCCTCAGCCTCCCGAGTAGCTGGGATTATAGGTGTGCATCAGCATGACCGGCTAATTTTGTATTTTATTAGAGATGGGGTTTCATTATGTTGGCCGGGATGGTATTGAACTCCTAACCTCAGGTGATCCACCTGCCTCAGCCTCCAAAACTGCTGAGATTACAGGCATGAGCCACTGTACCTGGCCACCCCTTAATAACCTCCCCTAAACCTAGCATAATGATAATCATAATGACTGTATAAAATTCTACTTTGAGAATGAATGAAGAAATACAATGGTAAAGACATGTTTCAGAATTACTCCTGAGAAAGGATACAGTGTCAACTGATGGTCATGCAATGAGTTTGCTTTTAATCCCCAATGGGCAATCTATTGGTTTATTGGTTAGGACAATTGGTTGCAAATGACAGAAACTCAATGCAAAGTGACTTAAGATAAAAAAAGCAGTTTGGTTCATATCATCATACAGTGTATAGGAAATACGAGCTGCAGGCATGGCTGGATTCAGGTGCTCAAACAACGGACCTCTTTTCATCTGAAAGCTCCCCATTCCTCTGAGTTGCTTCCATTTGCAACCATTGTTTCCCCTCATGATGCTGGGATGGCAAACTGAGCTGCTCAAATCCACCTCCCAGTCTCTTAGCATCTCAGGCAGCGAGCGCCTCTTCTGATGCCTCCAGCAAAAGACCAGGAGAAGGTTTGATGGCCTCTGATTGTGTGTCTGTCTTCCAACCATTCCTGGGCCCTGTGCCCATCCAAGGCCTAGAAGTGAGGTCAGCAGCACCAAAAATGCTCGGCTTTAGGGGAAAGTGTGTTGTCTTAAAGGAATGTTAACATTCTCAAAGGAATGTTGAGGATGAATATAGTGCAGCCGAAACACATTAATGTTCATTTGTTGAATTTTGAGAAATGTGTTTAAATGCTTGTCATTTCTGATGATATCTTAAGCTTTCAATGTTTGACTCACTCTTCCAGAAGATTCCAGCACGCTCCATTGTCTCTGTGTCACGCTCCATGGCGGAGGCCGGGGTGTGGGTGGAGGACTGTTTTCTTTCTGGTGGCTGTGCTCTGTTTGTGAGTCACTGGGCTCCCGTTCTTAAAGCGGTTGCCTAGGATCTGTGATGAAAGCACAGACTTGAGGTGCTCATTTTTTATATGACTTGTCATTTCTGTAACTGTCACCTACCGACTTGAGGGGTCTTGGAGGGGAGCGGAGGACTCTGGAGCCAATGGCCTTTCTCTATCCCATGCATCTGTCTTCCAGGGTGCAAGATGCCAACAGCAGCCCGTTCCCTAGTCGAATGACTGCAGTGCGCAGAAACGCTTGCAGCAGGTGTTCCAGGTGATAAGGAAGCCACTGGGTGCAGGTATGCGATTGAAGATGTTGATGGGTATTTAACAGGGAGGCCTTCCTTAGTCTTGGATGCTCTGGCTTTCTCCCAGTCCTGGTTTCTTCCCTACTTCAGGGTCTGTCTGGGTCTGTGGGAAGTCCATTTTCATTTTTCCGTGTACTCCGTTTTCTCCGTGGCCAGCCCAAAGAACCTGGGCTTTCTGGGGCTTCGCCTCTGACTGCCAAGAAAACATGCTCTTCCTGTCTGCCTCTGCCATCTTGTCTTCCTATTTTGCACAACCAACTTCCCTGTCCTCGGGGTGACTGCACTTGTGGATCTCAGTCGGAGAATCAGTTGGGCGACAAAAAAAGGCCATGTCCTAACTTTTGCATGGTGCTGGCGGGTTCTGAAACCCAAGACACGCCTCTGACCCCAAGGCGCTCGGGGTCCGGCTCTGGCAGCAGGCAGATTTGCACAGGACGGCCTGGGCGCAGAGACTGAGGCCCCCAGCAGGAAGTAAGGCCCCGAACAGGGAGGGACGTGGGCTCAGCCCAATGAGCAAGCAGCGCGTACTTTTCCTTTTTGGTTCTTTTATTTTTCTTATTCTTTTTAGATGATTAAGACATCATTTAGACAATATAAAAGTCACCTCTCCCTTTTTTTGAGACAGGGTCTCACTGTCACCCAAGCTGAAGTGCAGTGGTGAGATCTTGGCTCACTGCAGCCTCCACCTCCTGGACTCAAGTGATCCTCCTGCCTTGGCTTCCTGAGTAGCTGGGACTACAGGTGCACACCACTGCGCTGAGCTAATTTTTGTATTTTTGTATTTTTTATTTTTTTGTAGAGATGGTCTCAGTATATCCCCCAGGCCTGTCTGGAACTCCTGGGCTCAAGCAATCCACCTGTCTGGGCCTCCCAAAGTGCTGGGATTACAGGCATGAGCCACCAAACCTGGCCAAAAGTCACCCTTTTGAGTTTATTCACAGGGTTCTGTGATCACTATGATGTAACTCTAGAACATTTTCGTCATTGCTGAAAAGAAAACTCATACCCTTTAGCGGTCACCCCCACTTTTCACGACCCCTCAATCCTGGCAACCACGAAGCAACTTCTTATTTCTACAGATTTACTCATTCTGGGCATTTAATGAAAATGGAATCACATGGCTCATGGCCTTTGGAGCCTGGCTGCTCACTCAGAGAGTTTTCCAGGCTCATCCATGCTGTAGCTGGTGTCCCTGTTTCATTCTTTTTTGTTGGCTGAGCGGCTTCAGCATTTTAAAAGCCCACCATGAATGTAGGAGAGTCCCAGCTGCTCCACATCTTGGTCTCGCTCCTTTTTTTTTTTTTTCCTTGCTAACTGGTTATTTCTTGCTATTTAAAATTTTTATTTTAATCCATTAGACAGTAGGCTTAATTTTCAATCTATTATTTAGTTTCATGTCTCTCAGTCTCCCATGCCACCATTTATCCAATTCAAATAAACATCTACGTACACATACATCTAGATCACAATGGAATATTCTCTTTGCATAGCAATAAAATATGTTTATGATTTTATAATAGAGACTGGATGATGATCTCAGTCAGTATTTCTCTGGCAATCCTAATATCATCACTATAGATCAGCAAGCCAAATTAGTCATTTTATCATGGGAAGAGTTTTGTGGGAAATTTTGTGGGGAATTTTTGTATGTTTGGTTGGAAATAGTAGAAACCTCAAGAAAACTTCAGCAGAGCTATCTCTATCTCTGTGTCTCTGTGTCTACCTCTGTCTCTGTCTCCATCTCTATCTTTGTCTCTGTCTCTGTCTCTATCTCGATCTCTGTCTCTGTCTCTGTCTCTATCTCAATCTCTGTCTCTGTCTCTATCTCTATCTCTGTCTCTGTCTCTATCTCCATCTCTGTCTCTGTCTCTGTCTCTATCTCAACCTCTGTCTCTGTCTCCATTTCTGTCTCTGTCTCTGTCTCTATCTCTGTCTCTGTCTCTGTCTCTATCTCCATCTCTGTCTCTGTCTCTGTCTCTATCTCTATCTCTGTCTCTATCTCTACTAAAATCTACAGGAATTTCTCACGGAATGCAACTAGAAAGGCCCTGCTTTATTACAGGGACTGGGAACTGGAAGCCAGTGTGCCCACTGCTCTCTGGCCACCGGTTCTTTACTTCTTTCTCTGTGGTTTCTCTTCCTTTGCTGCTCAGTTCATGTAGCCAACAGAAGACACCTGTCTGCAGCTCCTCAGACAGACAGCCTGCCTCCTGCCTCACTTCCGCAACCTGGGGAGGCCGGCTCTCTGAGCAGCCCAGCTTGGGACAGTTGCCTACCAAGAGTCCTGTCTCACGTGGGCAAAGACAGTCTCACGCGTGCACAGGTGCCTTCCAGGAGCCCGGTCTCACGTGGGCAAAGGCAGTCTCACGTGTGCACAGGTGACTTCCAGGAGCCCGGTCTCACGTGGGCAAAGGCAGTCTCACGCGTGCACAGGTGCCTTCCAGGAGCCCGGTCTCACGTGGGCAAAGGCAGTCTCACCCGTGCGCAGGTGCCTTCCAGGAGCCCGGCACTGCAGACACATTTACAAGGATCTGCAGACCTATATGGCTGCCTCAAAAGATATCGGTTACAGCAAACCATGTAGGTGGCAATGTGTGGAAGGGAGGGGTAGGGTAAAGGCTGAGGACAGATGGTATAAGAGAGGAAGAAACTGAGCACGTTTGGGGCTGAGGGATTTCGGGGGAAAGCATCACTCTGAGTGGATGGGGAGCAGCACAGAGCGCCTCCTGCATCCATTAGCTGAAGGCAGTGGTCGTGAGAAGGCAGCCTAGATTATTCCTGAGACTCCATGGCTGGCTTGTAAATGCTCAGGCTCCAAACAAACACCCTGTCCACAAGGCCACCCTCCTTATGGATTAAGAGCTCCTAGGGTGAAAGACCACTTTCCTCTGAAGCAAACATCACCTCAGTCCGACTTGCCAAGGAATGAGGAATAAATAAATGCATCTGGAAACATAAATACATAATAAATAAAATAAAAATGGCAATAGGACCCAGTTTACCTTGCAAGTCACCTCCTTATTTTAATGAGAGCTATTTCATTGCACCATTTGCCAGCCATGTGTCCAAACAATACAAAACCTTACTACTGCAACAAGATCTCACAGTGCTTTCTGATGGCAATTGTAAACTTGGGGGGATTACTACTTGTTAAACTAAGATTAAATATGACTATTAAAATTCTGCAGTGAGGATCTAGAAGAAAAAGCTTTATTTCTGCCATTGCACATGAAATGGCTTTGATTAAATCTCCATGAAATACAAAAATATTCTATTGTTATAGGCTCAGTCTATGTAGTAGCAAAGAATGAGTTACTTGAAATGAAGCAATTACTTTTTCTACATCTAAGGATAATAGGTTAGAAAAGTAAAACAAGTTGGTTTGGGGTTGGCTGCCAAATATTAAACTCTGAATCATTCATGTGGAGTACAATTTCAGATGAAATACACTCATCATATCTCTATAATTGTGATTTCTTGTGATTAAGATGACGTTAATGCATAATGAAAATTGTGACTTATCGTCTCATAATGCCCACAATCTAATAAATGCTGTTTTAAGTCTCTTCTGAAGTTTAAACACACTGTTTATATTTCAGTTCAGACGGCAGAAATAAATGATTTAATCTTTGGCAAGGGAACAATTGGTTATTTGTGTAAGAAAAGAGAATTACATCCTCACCTCACACCATACAGCACAATAAATTCCAAATAGATTGAAAAGTTAAATCTAAGAAAATGAAACCAAGTAAATAGAGGTGGTTAATGATCATCTTTCAATATGAAATTAGCTTTCCCAAACCTAAGAGCAAAGAAAGAAACCACAAAGGATAAGGTTTATGGTTTTCACTACATAAAAAACAAGCAAGTTTCTATATGTCCCAAATAAAATTTAAAAGGCATTTAGCTACTAGGGGAAAATATTTGCTGTGTATGACAAAGCATTAATATCTTATTAAGGGCTCCTACCAGCCACCTTGAAAGACTAGTGCATTATTGAAGAAATGGGGAAAAGTCATGAGTAGTCAACTGATATAACAGGATTAAAAACTATTTATGTCCCCTAGTAGCAAAAACAAAAAATAAAAGCAAAAGCACAATTTAGAACAATAATTAGATATGACCTTTCACCTGTCACATTGGCAAATCCCTTTTACAACATTAACACCCTGTTATCTTTGGCACTATTAATATTTTGGAATAATTTTTTGTTGTGGGGAGGGCTATCCTGCATCCCAGGTCTCTGTCCTGTCCCTCAATGCCAGGGCACCTTCCCCCTCTAGCTGGGACAATGAGACATATCTGCAGACATTACCAAATATACCCTGAGGGCAAAATTGCCACCTGTTGAGAACCACTTTGTTAGAATATGGGGAAATAGGTAGCCTTGTACATTTCTGGCTCAAATTTTCTGGAAGACACGTTGGACATATTTATCAAAAGACTTAGTAATGTACATCCTCTTTTATCTAGTAATTATACTCTTAGTATTATCTTAAGGAAAATATATCTATTATAATATCCAAAGCCTGTTTATAACTGCAAACAATGATAAATAATCTAATCTCCAAGAGTAAAGAGTGAGTAGTTTGGTATAGAGAGGTAACATCATAAGCTGGAATTTCTATAACTATGATAAACCACAGCAAATGGGAACAAAAAGTCCAGTCACAAAATAATACTTAGTGTGGGATCTCATGTTGGGGAGGTTAGGGGCAGGGGCAAGTGTAAATGCGCATAGACAATGACTGCCAGGACAATTATCAACATATTCTGCTGGGTGGCTGGTTATGGTTCTATCAAGTATCTATTGCTATAAAACAAGCCACACATTGAGTGGCTTAAAGCCACATTTCTCATCTCCTTGTTTCTGTGGGCCAGGAATTCTGGAGCAGCTTAGCTGGGTGGTCTCAATCCAGAATCTCTCATAAGGCTGTGGTCAGCATGGTGGCTGGGGCTGCGGTCTCATCTGAAGGCTCAGCCGGGTCTGGAGGATCCAACTTCCAAATGGCTCACTCATGCTGTTGTGGCAAGAGGCCTTCATTTCTTGTCACATGATCCTCTCTATGGGACTATTTTATGATTCCCATGACAGGGCACCTGACTTCTCTCAAAGCACATTCTCCAAGAAAGTGAGAACAAGGAGGATGATATGGCACCTTTTATGTGCAGCCTTGGAAGTCAGCCACTGTCACTTCTGCTGCATTCTATAGATTAGGAGTGAGTCATAGTGTTCGACCCAGACTGACTCAGAGGGGAATTGGGTTTCATTGAGTGGACGATGATCAAATACTTTTTGGAAATATTTTGTAACTACAACAATGGGTGATTTTAGTTTTGCTTCTTGGTGTTACATTGTATTTTTCAAATTTCCTATTGTGATGGCATATTACCTTTGTAATCAGAAAGAAAAATATTTAAAATATTTTGAGATTATTTTGGTACTGGGTTGTGGTTGTTAGTGGGGAGAGGATTCACACTACATGCATGTAAGTATTCCATTCCCATACCAGAAGAAGGTACCACCTCATGATGATAGCAAGACTCACACTTGTTAACTAAAAAATGACAAAATACATCAAAGGGCAGGAAAGTGGTGTGATAAATAATATATACCTGAGTTAGCTCACTGGGCTGATCTCAACATCTGGGAGAAGCGTAAAATATTAGCTGTGACTTTTTGCTGAGCAGCAGATCCATGCACTTAAGATATGGAGGACTTCACCCTTGGATGACTCATGGGCACCTCAGACACATGTCCCAAACTGAGCATAGCATCTTCACAGACAAAACAGACAATCTGGACTCCCTGGAGGCTCACTTCCTCCTCTTAGTTTTGCAAAGAGTTGGCTCAGCCAGTCTGAGGTAGCTCAATAGAAAAACATGCTGACATCAATGTCTGATTCCTGGAGGTCTCCTTTCAACAAGACCACTTCACTGTTACATGATCCCTTAGCTGCTCCCACCCCTTTCCCTCTTTCTAGTAAAAGAAAAAACAATCAGAGCATGTCAGAGGTAGCACACACCTATTGGAGTACATTCCTGGTGCATCCAGTCCAGCAAAGATTGTCCTAATCAGTCCCCTTTCTGGAAAAATGAAAGCTCTGGGGATCATATGCACTGTGTTATTTCTTTTCTTCTCAGTTTTCATCTACAAAACTTCTCTTATATTCATGCTGTCAGTATTCTCAAAAACAGAAAATATCAAGATTAGGTAATTAATGATGCATTAATCCATTTAACATGCATTTAATAGGGAGCTGTTAGGTGACACTGACCATGGAAAGTACTGAGGGTGCAGAGATGAGGAAGATACGTACCCTGCACACCACATTTTTTTGTAAGAAGCATGGCAACATGACACACACATAAGAGAGGGTGTGTCCAGAGTGTTTGACAGCACAGAGCTGGTGTGGCTTCCTGGGAAGGCAGAGCAGGCTTGTGGGGAAGGAGGGCATCTCATCTAAGTCTTTAAGGGAGAGTGCACCCAGTAGACAGAGGAAATGCTTTCTTTCCAAAAAAAAAAAAGGAATCATATATGCACAGGAGTGGAGTTGAGAAAGACCACAGTAACTCCAAGGGGTGTCTACTGGGAGAGTTTGAAATCCTGAATATGTGGAAGAGAGGTTGGGGGTGAGGTTTGAGAGGAGACAGGGCTCATGTGACAGGTCCAGGCATTATCCGGAGGGCATTGCAAAGTCATGAAGGAGTTTAGGCAGGAAGAGAACATGACTATGTTTGTAGTGTTGTAACATCATTTTGGTGATCGTGTGGAGGCTTCAGGAGAATGAGCAGGGCAAAAAGAATCTAGAGAATACTTTCGCACCCTATGTGAGAAATCGTGGTGGTCTGACGGAGGGCAGTGTGGTGCAGATGCACTGGGAACCGACAGGGTTTGATGAATAATTATCCACAGTGGCCAGGGGAGTGAACCCCTGGAGAAGACATTCAAATGCAGTGAGCTGTGCAGAACATGTAAGACCATTTACAGATAGAGGAAATAGAAAAATGGGAGGGAGGGCATATTTTTGGAGATATTATAGAAAATCTAAGTTTTCATTATCTAAAAAAGGTATCCCATAGGCAGGGTGGAATTCAGTCCTGATCTCAAGAGCAACTTCCTGGATAGATACAGGGGCCACCTCTTCATGGTTTGTGTTTCAAGTTGTGGTGTCAAAAAGATGCCAAGGCGAGTGTTTAGAACTGAAGAAAGAATATATTTCTGGGGGACACATAAGAAGCAGGTGGAGAAAAAGAAAGCCACAAACGAATACTGGGGAGGAATCACAAAGAAAGAAAAAAACAAGAAATATTGTTACAAAACTAGGGGATCACAGCCTCAGGAAGAAACAAGTAGACAGTGTTAATGTTATAGAAAAATAAGACAAATGAGAAATCAAACACATCCTTGAGATGTACAATTAGCAGGTCACTTGCAACACTGTTGGAAATGGTTACCATAGACTAATGGGAAAAAGATAAATTGCACTGGGTTTAAGAGTGAAAAATCTATTTAGAATTGGCAGATGAAAGACATTTTCAACAGAAACCTTAGATCTGACAATGAAGGACAAATAATTATTTGTATTCTATGGCCAATTAATGAGTGAGGGTTCTACTCTTCAGAAGATTTAACACGAGCCAGACTTACAGATTAATGACAAAATTAATAATCAAAATTTAATATCCATTGTAGTTGAAACTGCAACTACAAAGCCAATGGAATGTCAATGCCCCTTGAAAGAGGCCTATTACTGATGCAAAATGATACCACTTATGCATGTGATTAAT
Source organism: Homo sapiens (assembly GCF_000001405.40). Classification (NCBI taxonomy): domain Eukaryota; kingdom Metazoa; phylum Chordata; class Mammalia; order Primates; family Hominidae; genus Homo; species Homo sapiens. The sequence continues at coordinate 129,919,313 of NC_000012.12, read as the reverse complement.
ATAATAAAAGAGAGAGAATATTCTTGAATAACTCTTAGGAGCCAGAAACTTTATATATCATCTCCAATTTAATCCATTCTTGTAACTCCAGGCTACACTGGTCCCCAAGAACAAATGAAAGCATAGACGTTAATGCTCAAATTACACTGCATTTAGTTCTTCTCTTACTTGCTGATACCTCTTTCCCTAGGACTCGTTTCTTAGGTAAGCTTGGGGAAGACACTGTGCCATCCCATGATGGAGACTTATTTCTAAATGGCTTAAGCAAAGTGGTAATTCATTGGCTCACATTGCAAAACTGCTTAGAGAGCAGGTACAGACTTGGTGTCAAGAACAGGAATCAGGTCCTCAAATGCTCAGGATTTGCTCCCTTTTCCCCACTAAACGTTGACTTAATCTCCGGGCTATGCATTTGATCAGGTGGGGGCCTAGTTACTAGTGGCTCTAGACCTTACATCCTTTTAGCCTTTCCCCAGGGAGAAATAAAGGCTTCTGTCTCCATGTTCTAGTTTGAAAATTCTCAGGGAAAGGCTCTGCTTGGCCCTCCTGAGTTACACCTCCACTCCCTGGACCAGTCACTGTTGCCCAGGACAGGCAGATGACCTCATTGGATAGGTCCAGTGCAGGCCACGTGCCCAGTCCCACGGCAGGGGCAGGCAGTTACAGGAGGATCACCAAGGAGGTCCTGGGAGGATACACCTGCTAAAATCCACCACAATCCATTCCCTACTTCTGCAATCAGAGGCTGCACGGAAAACATTCCTGGCCAGCTTCACCTCACTGTGCAAATCAACCCAGGAATATAAAAGCTTATGTCTCATACACCCCATTAACCCCAAAATACCTCCTGGCTAAAGGTTCAGGAGCCACATTCCCACCCTCAAGTTCTGTTTGCAGGTACAGAAACTGAGGCTTGGATTATATCTCCTCTAACAAAGACAGAGATTTGAACCATCTGGATGAGTTAGGCACCTCTGCCCCTCACATTACACCTTGCAAGTTTTGGGGGCTTTCAGCATTTGAACTGGGGGAGGTAAAATTCAGCAGACACTCACAGAATTAGTTTCTGGTTTATTATCCCATTTATCCGAAGTTGGAGTCAACAGGCCTGAGCCTCCATCTCCACATGGAGATCAGCACGCAAGGTTGTGTCTGAAGTATGCAGAGCTGAAAGCCCAGACAGAGCAGCAGGATGAGCTGGACACAGGGGTCAGGGGACCTGCATCTGGGCCTGGCTTTGCCACGGTGCAACCTGCAGCCTTGACCTGACATTAAAATGTTTGTGTCTTGGTTTCTTCATCTGCAAAATGAACAGGCATCCCTAAGACTTTTCAGGGTTTCTATTGTGGGACATGGTTGACTGCCCTTGGGCACACCAATACTCTTCTCCTGGTAGCTCAGGCACATACAGGACTTTGTTACTGGATGCCCATAGGCCATCTGTTTCCATAACCACATCATGGTTTTTCCCAATGAAGCTGCTCTCCCTACCCATGGTACATGTGGTGTGGTGGATTAACGCCTGTGACTCAAATCGAATCCAACCAAATGATTCCAAAACTCTGGTCTCAGGGACTGATTAAGCAATGGGACTATGGTCCTTCCTATTTGGGGTGAAGAGAGTCAGGCTGATCTGACTCCATGGCATAAAAATAACTTTTTTCAATGATCACGTATTTTGTGGGTCAGAAATTCACAATGGAGGGATGGGCTGTTTCTCCTCCACATTGACTGGGCCATGATTGGGAAGACTGGAAAGCAGGGGTAACCAGTGGGCTGGTGCCTGCAGTTTCTGAAGGCTCAGGTACTCACCTGTTTGGGGCTGCAGCCAGGAATCATTTCTTATTCATTTTAACATCAGTTCACATAGTCTTGGCTTCCCTCACCCAGCATGAAGGCAGAGCTACCTGGGGAAGCACGTTTTGGAGGAGGAAAAGGAAGGGGGCACCTTCACTGGTCTTGGAAGGGAACAAGGGGGACCTCTATCTTTAGCTCCAGGGTCAGTTGATCACGGGACGGGGCTGGTGTCCAGCTGGTGAGGAATGGGCACCATCTCCCCGCCCATGTGAGCAGCCGTGTTTTCCTGCTGCTGCACGTGTTACATAAACGCCCCAGCAACACCATTGAAAATGGTAAGTCTGACACTCAACTTGAACTCAGAGGTGCAACAACGCAAGTACGAAACCTGAAAATGTTACACCACAGACTGGTCTATATCCCAGTCAGCATTTTTTCCCCAGCTCGTGTACACTGCAATGAAAAATCAACAAACAGAACTGAGAGCTGTAGACTCCTCATCGTGGAAAATTCGCAATTGCATAAAGGTGTTTTGTGTGTGTGTGTGTGTGTGTGTGTGTGTGTGTGTGTGTGTTTTAACTTTCCAAGCCTTGGAAGTTTTTATGCAGAATAGCAAAACTTTAGCCAAAAGATCAAACTTATTTTCAAACTCCAGCATGAGTAAAGTAGATTTATAGGAATTGTTCCTCTTCTTGTTCATTGATGTTTTCAGAGATCGGATGTCAGCATAAAACCAATAAGACCTTCACTGAGGAGTTCGAGCCCCATGGAGACAATTTAACGTCATGCTAAGAAAATCTGTGCCTGGACTTGACTCTGCAGAAACCCAGTAAGTTACGTGATAGCCAAATAGAAAACTGAAAAGGAAAACAAAACATTTTGAAAAAAAAAATGCCTATTTCTGTAGAAAATAGTAACTATCAATAGCTTTCCTTTTGAAGGCTAACTATATGCTGGGTGCCATGCAGGCGTTCTCTATGATATCTTCAGTTAATTGTATAACCGCCCAACGACTTAGGTGGAAGTACAGTCTACATTTTTTTTTTTTTTTTTTGAGACGGAGTCTCTCTCTGTCGCCCAGGCTGGAGTGCAGTGGCGCGATCTCGGCTCACTGCAAGCTCCGCCTCCCGGGTTCATGCCATTCTCCTGCCTCAGCCTCCTGAGTAGCTGGGACTACGGGCGCCTGCCACCAGGCCCGGCTTATTTTTTTGTATTTTTAGTAGAGACGGGGTTTCACAGTGTTCGCCAGGATGGTCTCAATCTCCTGACCTGGTGATCCGCCTACCTTGGCCTCCCAAAGTCCTGGGATTACAGGTGTGAGCCACCACGCCCGGCCTAGTCTACATTTTTTAAGACGAGGAATGTAGGGCTCAGAAAGGGGAAGTAACTTGGCAGTCACATAGCTGCTAATCCTATCCCCAGCAGGGGCTCCACTTGAGCCACCCTGCAGCACTGCCTCGAAATTGCATTGAGTGGGGAGGCCGAGGCAGGCGGATCACCTGAGGTCAGGAGTTTGAGACTAGCCTGGCCAACATGGCGAAACTCCATCTCTACTAAAAATACAAAAATTAGCTGGGCGTGGTGGCACATGCCTGTAGTCCCAGCTACTCAGGAGGCTGAGGCAGGACTATCGCTTTAGCCCAGGAGGCAGAGGTTGCAGTGAGCCAAGATTGCACCACTGTGCTCCAGCCTGGGTGAGTAAGCAGGACTCTGTCTCAAAAAAAAAAAAAAAAAAAAATGTGTTGAGTGAAAGAAGAACTGGTAAATAATAAGTAATCGTGAATTTCATAGGGACTCCCCTTCCATGGGAAAAAATACAACCGGGGCAAGTCATTTGCTTCTCTCAGTCTCAGCTTCCCCATAAGTGAAACGGGTGGTCCGATGAACTGAACTTCACCCTTGAGTTTATTGAATGTTCACTAAGCTAAATGACTGTTTCATCAAAAAACAGTAGGTGAAGTCTCCTCTTCAAATATGAGGAAGAACACATTTTCTTTCAGGCTGGGTGAAGTAAGGAGGTGGGAGAAGAAAAGCCATTGATTGAGGAATTGATTTTAACACTCTTACAGGGGGTCTGCATGATTCTCCAGTGTCCTGAGCCATAAGAACAGACCAGTAGACAAAACAGCCAAAGCTATGGCTCTCAGGGAGCTTAGATTCTAGCTCTGGGGGAGTGGGGAGTGAGACATCGAACAAATAGGCTATTTAGGTGTTGATGAATGTCATGAAATATAGCACAGGAGAAGATAGAAAGAGATGGGTGATGCTAGGCAAATGTCAGGTCCAGGGAGGGCATCTGTAATAAAGTGGTATCGGCCAGGTGCGGTGGCTCACACCTGTAATCTCAGCACTTTGGAAGGCTGAGGCAGGTGGATCACTTGAGGTCAGAAATTTGAGACCAGCCTGGTCAACATGGCAAAACCCTACCTCTACTAAAAATACAAAAATTAGTCAGGCGTGGTGGTGCATGTCTGTAATCCTAGCTACTTGGACGGCTGAGGCAGGAGAGTCGCTTGAACCCAGGAGGCGGAGGTTGCAGTGAGCTGAGATCGCACCACTGCACTCCAGCCTGGGCGACAGAGTGAGACTCTGTCTCTAAATAAATAAATAAATAGTGATATTCAGCAGAGACTAGAATGACGTGAGAAAAGAGAATCTTACGGGTATCTGATGGAAGGCTGTTCCCAGCAGAGGGAGCAGTCTCTGCAGAGGCGTCTGTCAAGTACGATGCTGGTGTCTGATGGAGGAGGAGCCTGGCTGGCTGAAACAGGAGGCAGCTCATGTACAGCCTTGCAGGGCATTGCAGGGACTTCAGCTTTGCACTGAGTGGGCTGGGAGCTATGGGACAGTTTTGAGCCAGAGTGACAAGATCTGACTCCTATTTCTCCAGTATTTGTTAAATCAGGATGGAAGCAGGAGCCCAGCAAGGAGGTTGAGTTAGATGAGAGATGACAGATGAGAGATGATCTTTTGGTAGTGAGAGGATAACTCAATCTAGACCAGTTTAAGCAAAAAGTGGCATTTATGGGCCAGATGCAGTGGCTCGTGCCTGTAATCCCAGCACTTTGGGAGCGGATCACTTGAGGTCAGGAGTTTGAGACTAGCCTGGCCAACCTGGTAAAACCCCATCTCTACTAAAAATACAAAAAATCAGCTGGACATGGTGGAGTGCACCTGTAATCCCAGCTACTCAGGAAGCTGAGACAGGAGAAGCGCTTGAACTCAGGAGGCGGAGGTTGCAGTGAGCTGAGATCGCACCACTGCATTCCAGCCTGGACGACAGAGTGAGACTTCATCTCAAAAACAAAAAAGTGGGATTTATGTGGAAACTGAAGTGTTTCATGGAACATGAGTAATGATGAGAACTAGGCACTACAATGGCAGCCAAACTTTCTCTGTCTCTTAAATATCCTTCTTCACGTGTTACTTCCTCTAGTTCTCCATCCTGGGGCAGGAAATTTGAGCAGCAACGTCCCTGTTTCGCATCATATATTCCAGATATCCAAAGCGAGATTCTCATTCCTTCCAGGTTCAAAGGTCCTCAGACAGTGCTGCGCTTGGTCCGACTTAGGTGCCACCTCTAGACTAATCTTCTGCACTTGGTCCGATTTAGGTGCCACCTCTAGATTAATCTTCAGCTACTGCACTGTTTTGCATTTGAAACACAGTGGGTTTCATCCAGCACGAGAAGGTGGATGATCAGAGCATCTGCAATTTATTAATAGGCATCCACTCAAGGTAGGCACATATGTGATGAACACTAGTTTTGTTAGCAAGGAATATTTAGCTAAATTGTCATTTTTTGAAGGCTAATTTTAGAAAGCATTTTGAAATATCTGATAAATACATGTGTTTTAAGCACAGATTTTTCATAATGGATTTTATAGAAGTTATTTCCAAAGTGGTCCCAGTTCAGGAGTTCCAGATTAAAAGGAAAAGAAAAGAGAAGAGAAAAACAAACCTAAACAGCTTGGAGTTTAGTTCACTTGAAACAGTCCCTGAGAAACAGCCAAGGATACTCATGAATAGCCACTTTCAGATCAAACTGAAAATATTGACTAGGAGAGGCCAGTTTTGGCAATGAGAAGTGTTTTCTTGTTAGATTTTTTTTTTTTTTGAGACAGGGTCTCACTCTCTCACCCAGGATGGAGTGTAGTAAATCATTGCTCATTGCAGCCTTGAACGACTGGCCTCAAGCAATCATTCTGCCTCAGCCTCTCAAGTAGCTAGGACTACAGGAATGTACCACCACACACAGCTACTTTTGCTTATTATTATTATTATTATTATTATTGTTTTAGAGATGGGGTCTCACTATGTTGCCTAGGCTGGTCTTGAACTCTTGGACTCAAGCGATCCACCTGCCTCGCCCTCCAGAGTAGCTAGGACTGCAGGCGTGTACCACCACACCCAGATAATTTCCCTTCCTTTTTTTGTTTGTGGAGATAGGGTCTCACTAGGTTGTCCAGGCTGGTCTTAAAATCCTGGACTCAAGCAATTCTCCCACCTTGGCCTCCCAAAGTGCTGGGTTTACAGATATGGGCCACTGTACCTGGCTGGATTTTTATTTTCTAAATTATTGTATCCTTATGGCAGTGTTTTTAAAAGGCAACAATAACTGTGTCTATGACTTTCCTCTTTCAGTTTTTTTTTTCCTCAGCTCTAATGTGAGAAGATTGTATTAGGTGATGGCTGGGATGCTCCAACCCTAAGATTCTCCACAATACTGGCATGATTCCGAATTTCTTACAAACCCTCTTGTCTCTAACTCACACGCAAAATCATGTTCTTCCAGGGCAAGACATAGCGTGCTCCCTGACTCTTCCCCACTGCTTCCTTCCTTCCCTCCCTCCCTCGCTCCCTTCCTCTCTTCCCTCCCTCTCTCCCTCCCTCCCTCTATCCCATCCCTCCTTCCCTTCCTTCCTTCCTTCCTTCCTTTGTTCCGTCTTCCTCTCTCTCTTTCTTTCTCTTTTTCTTTTTTCTTATGCAACACTGAAGGAATCAGTATTTTTGCTTTTCTTCCAGTGACTCATTTTATCTTGGAAAGCAGTTGCTATAAACTATGTATCCCCAGAATTCATCTGTGGGAATCTTAAGCCCCAGTGTGATGGTGTCAGGAGGATGGGGCTTTGGGAGGTGATTAAGTCAGGAAAGCAGAGGTCCAGGAGCCCCCTGGTCTCTCCTCTCCCACCGTGTGAGGTTATGGCAAGGAGAAGGTGCCATCGACGGGCCAGGAAGCAGGTCCTCACCAGCCACTGCATCTTCTGGCACTTTGATCTTGGACTTCTAGGCTCCAGAAGTGATAAATTAAAGTCTGTTTTTTTTAAAGCCGTCCAGCCACGGTATTTTTGTTATAGAAGCCTGAGCAGTCTAAGACAGTAGGGTGGTGATGGAGGACAAGGGAAAAGTGGAGGATCCTGCTGGCAGCCTCTAGTCTGGAAACGATCCATGTGAATAACCAACATTATAAAATCTCAGTGTTGGGTGGCTGTACTCACTGGAAAGTGATCAGTTGTTTGGCAGATTTTAAAGAATGACTGAAGTTTGACTCAAGAATGTATATGATATAAATTCTCATGTTTCAATTTTTAAGTCAATTGCAAGATAATTTATATTTTAGGCAGCATGGAGGGTGCAAGATAATAGCTGTAGACACCGAATTGCAGGATTTCCTGAATGAAAGCGTGTGAGCTTGGCCATGTTATTTATTAATTTGGGATGATAAGACTCATTGCCAGTTTTTAAAAATATAATTTCACCCATGAAGACCTGACAACGTGTGCATGTTGGGTATGAAGGGAGATGTCAATGCGTTTGTTCTTGGAGGAAGAAATAGTTGTCCTGAGCTGCCACCTCTGGAGCACTAGGGGTCACTGCAGGTCCACTGATGCCACAAGCAGGGCGCCTGAGCGCGCCAGGTCTGCTGCCAGCTGTGTGTGGGTCCCACTGCCAGGCACGGCTGCTCTCCCTGGCTGTGCACAAGAAAATGTTTTAGGATCCAATCTCCAGGTGCCCCCCTCAACCTTTCTGACCTGTTAAAATAATAATCTAGTGTCAAATACCATCAATCTGGTGTCACATATTCTACTATTTGGGGTAATTTAAAATTACCTTGTAAGCCAAATACAGAAGAATACCCTCCTGCTGCTGCGTTTATTTCCAGACCCAGAGAGCTCACTATTGTCCTCAGTCACTTTTTTTGAGACTGGAATCTCTCCTGTGATGAGTCAAACATTTGTTGACAGAGAACTGGCCATATTTCATCCCAAGGGAGTAATCCCAAGCAGATCCGTTTCAACACCAAGCCAACACAGGCTTTCTGACAAAATCAAACACTGGCATGTAAGAATTGTTAGATGCAGGCTGGGCGCGGTGGCTCACGCCTGTAATCCCAGCTCTTTGGGAGGCCGAGACGGGCAGATCTCTTGAGGTCAGGAGTTGGAGACCAGCCTGGCCAACATGGTGAAACCCCGTCTCTACTAAAAATACAAAAATTAGCTGGGTGTGGTGGTGGGCACGGGCACTTGTAGTCCCAGTTACTTGGGAAGCTGAGGCAGGAGAATTGCTTGAACCCAGGAGGCGGAGGTTGCAGTGAGCTGAGATCGCACCGCTGCACTCCAGCCTGGGTGACAGAGTGAGACTCTGAATCAAAAAAAAAAAAAAAAAAAAAAAAAAAGATTGTTAGAGGCAGTCTTCTTAAAGACGTTTGTGCTATGTGGAGGCAGGGTCTCTTCGTTCCGACTTGGACTGGCTCATCTGTGGGGAGGGAAGAGGACAAAAGTGGCCCTTTACTCTCTTACCATGGAAATCTCACACAAAGAAAGGCACACCGCTCAGCGAAGTTAGTTTTCACAAAGAAATTGGAGTGAACATTAAGTTAATTACTTGAGGAAATTAGGGGGCTTTTATTAAGAGAAAAAATTGAGTTCCTCTAAACCAGAAGTAGCCACAACCCTTTTATTTCAATTCATGTGCTCACTCCCCAAAGCACCCTTTAATAACGTCTAAATTGGGCCATTGACACTATCCTCAGACTTCAGCTTTGAAGCTGGTGTATACATTGACAAGCAACAGCATCTTGCGTGTTTACGTTCTCTTTGATGTTGGCAAACTCAACAAATTGCTGGATAAACCCTTTCCCTTGTTGGCCACTAAGAGCTCCTCTAGGGCAGGATTAACTCCCTGTGTATCCATTTCATAGACACTTTTTAATTTTCCTTTTTGGTACAGTAGCAGAGGAGCTATTTTCTTCAACAATAATCGTGGGATGTGTACGTCTGAACTGAAGATCTCTGCAATGGGTTAATTGATTCCCTGACAAAGGCCTCTGTCATCTAAGAACCCAGCCCTTCAAGTCCATTAGACACATTGATTTTAAGCGGACAAAAGAAATCAAATCGTTTGGATGCTTAGCTCCGAGAAGTAAATTGATCTTTTTGATGCACGTCAAATGGACTCATTACGGGCTCGTGCTGCAGGCCACATGATTGCCAGTTTTCTCTTTTGTTTGAGGTCAAGTCCTCTTGGAGGGATGGACAGGGACTGAGTCTGTTCCTGGGGAGGCCGATCTCTGGTGGGACACCCCCTCTTCCTTCTTATTGTGTGCTGTTAGCCGAGCCCCCATAAAGGGAAGGCCCACACCCTGCAAGTGGGCTGCAGAGTGCCAGTTCTCAGTGATCACAGAGGGAGACACCCTAAACAGAGCTCACAGCTGCTCACACAAACCACGTGCTGGCAGATGGATTTCCAAGTCCGGCCTGGACCTCAGTGTCAGTCAACCCCACCACCTCATTTTCTCCATCCTAGAAAACCCCACCGGCCCAGCACAGGGCATGTTCTGAAACCGCAGGGTCGGGACTTGCTAGATGAGAAATTAATACAGGCGTTCTTGAGAAAGAAGAGAGAGACCAAACATCAGAGTGGAAAGGAGACACAGGTTCAGCATTCCAGGGGCCACTACACACTCATAGCTCTGAACGCCGACAGGATGCCCCGGCATGTTGTGCTGTCTCTGAGCTGTGCGGGTCTTGTCTGGCCGGCCTCCCTGGGCTGGGCCTGCGATTGTTCCTGCAGCCACCTGCCTGGCACACGCAGAGGCCTCTGGATTTGGCCCAGTGGGAAGCAGAACAGGGGCCCCGTGGAAGGGATGGGAGTCTGGCATGCTACATTTTACCAGACGCACCTGTGCCTAGCCCCTGCCTCTGTGGTACTATTGGTACGCCAAGAGATCTTCCGAAAATGTGAATGGGCTCCTACAACTTCCCCGCTTGAAGCTTCACTCTGGCTTCCTGAGTCCTGACGAGGCCCCTGCATCCTCTGTCTCCTGCGCCTCCCCTGTACCTCCCCTCCCACCATGCTCTCCCTGGCTCACTAAGTTCAGCCACATGGGGCTTTCTGCTCCTCCACCCTTTGTGATGCCTCATGGCCTTTGCACCTGCTGTCCCAGCCACCAGGCAGGTGTATGACCCGGGTCTGCACTCTGAGGATCCTTCTCATGAGAGAGATTACGCTGCTCCAAGAAGCCTTTCTCGACCTCTCCAAAGGGCAAGTCATTATGATACTTGAGTTCTTCACAGGTTCTTCCTGAAAGCATCTTGTTCTTTGGTGTGCTTGTTTCCTGTCTGTCCCCATGGGAATAAATTTCGTGAACGGCTTGTTCACTGTGAAGCCTCTAGGGCCTGGCCAGCGGTACACCCTGAATAAATAAGTATTGAATGGAAGGAGGAATCCATATAAATCCCATTCCTCAGACTGCTCCAGCCCAGGAGGACCCTCTCTTGGAACCGATGATACTTGTTCTCTGCAATATTCTTTGAAGACCCTAAGAGATCGAATTCCAGCTCTCCAAGGGCATCCTTTGCCTTCTCCCTGGTGCCTGGTAGAGGGGACAGAGCACCTCATGCGTCCAAGAGATCGAATTCCAGCTCTCCAAGGGCATCCTTTGCCTTTTCCCTAGTTCCTGGTACAGGGGACAGAGCACCTCATGCATTCATTAGCTGGTGGTGGTTGGTGGTTCCTCCCTCCTTTGGACTCTCTTCATACTGTAAAATGGGCCAAAGCTTCGCTGTAGTCTCAGGAGCTGATAGAGGTGTTTCCTTATATCCCACTCCTGCTTCTGTTGGCAGTGATGAGATCAATACACCCTGTATTGCCTGGAATGGTTCATTCTAACAAACAAAGCCCTGAACCTCCATGACTTAACACCATGTCATCTTATTTCTTGCTCACCCAAAATTCCATGCAAAAGAAGTGGCATTCCACATTTTCGGAACCAGACTCATTCCAACTTGCAACTCTGCCATTGCTGAAGGCTTGGGGGTTCTCCCTTGAATTTTTGCATTCAGCTTGAAAAGGCAGGAAGAGAGTTTGAGGGTTTCACAGGCTCCCAAACTCTCCCCCTGAAAGGGAGGCACATCCCTTCCTCCCAGGTTCTTTTGGACATAACCATAGCGACAGTTAACCTTAGGAAGGCCAGGGCATGTGGTCTGGCTGTGTCTCCAGCAGGTAGAGGAAGCAGGGGTGAGGGAACATGCTTCTGTCACAGGTTCCAGTGCATGCAAAATCCAGGCAGTCTTTACAACAAAGGGTTTCCTGCAGAGGCAGCCTTGCAGCTTCTCCTTGACCTCACCCCTGACCGAGAAACACTCAGGGACTAATCAGGCTAGAGGTACAAATACATAATTTGTACCAAGAAGTCCAGCATGTGACTTCAAAGAAGACTATTCAAGGCCTGCTGACCTTTCTGTATTGATCCATAAATCAGTAACTTAAGGAAAATGCAGCAGTATCCTATTGGTCTTTGCAGAAGAGGCTGCTCTGCGAGGTTCACCTGGCAGTTACCTGGTGACACCATGGGTCACCTGGGAGAGCACGAATATTCCAACTTTTTAACATCTGCTTGTGGAGCTCTGGGAAGAGATGAGAAAGGGAGAAGGACAGAGAGAGGAGAGTAAAAGTAGGTCTGGATTTTAGTATGGTTAACCTGGAAGAACCAAGAAGTTTGATGATTTAACACAATAAAAATTAATTTCTTTTACCATACTTCTTAATGTGGATTGACGGGGGACTTTGCTCTCTCATCAACTTGCTGGACTGCTGGCTGGAAGGCTCACCTTGTAGCAGCTGCACCATCTCAAACACAGGGTCCACTCTTCTCCCAGGGCAGGGCAGGTGCAGAATGAGGAGTCACAGGTGAGCTTTTCACTGCCCCACCAGAGAAATGACCCCCATGACTTCTGCTCACATTTAGTTGGTCAACTGCAAGGGGCTGAGAAGAGTAGTCATCCATGCGCTGGGAAGGAGAGAGTGACAGGTCTTGGCAAACACACACCTTCCTCAAGGGCACAGCATGGATTCCGCTGAGGTGCTCCTTCTGGAAGGATGATCTCCTGCTGGCCTTACCAGGAAGGGTGTGCAATGTTCCCAGTGTTTACAGTGCCCTCAACATCAGAAGGCTTTCCCCACTAGTGAAAGAGACAGTTGATTGAACCAGGCCTTTCTATTTCCCAGTCATTTCATGAATTTTGGAAAACTGGGAAGACAGGGAGTTTCAAAAAGTCTCTTCTGCATCTTCAGGAGGGATTGATCTGGTAGCTCTCACTTCATGCTAAGGTTTCCCAAACTTCATTTCTCACCATCTTCCGGAGTATTGTCATAGAGAGAAGACGGTGCCTGCACCCGTGTCAGTAGTGATTGCTAAATCCATTACTCATTTCCCATCTTCATAAACATACATAACTTGATATTTTTTAAACAAAATGCATCACCAAGTAAAAGGAGAGAAAACAAAAATAATAATAATCAAAATAAAAACAAATCGATGTTAGTAACTTGAGCTAGATGTTGTCATTGTGCAGAAAGAGCTTCCTTTTTTGTTTAAAAAACATGGACATTTGCAATTACTAAAAGGCTGTTCCGGAGTAGCTCAGGCCTGAGCCTTTCTCCTGGATGCAGTCAGAAGGACTGGAAGAGAATGGCTTCAGTTTTACAGGAGGCCCCATCTTTAGAGGGCCTGAAAGTGTCCTCTCATCCACCAGTGGCATAGCCCCTGCAGTACTTGAATTCCAGCTCCTTTCTGCCTTTATCAACGCTCAAAGTTGCCATTTCTCAAAAACTGCTACAGGGAATGTTTTTGTTTTATTGAAAAATAACAACAAAAACTGCTTAGTGTAAAAGCCTCATCCACACAGCATGAACAATTAGTGCAATTTAATTACCGACAAAATTAGGCTTACAGCTTGATTTATGGCCCCGCAGATGAAACACATATTCTTGGAGGAAAGCAGATTTCTTACAAGTAACTTGAGAGAGACAAGGCAGGCGATTTTGATGGGAAGTTGTCCTGGGGCAGGGGCTGGAGTTAGGGACCTATGAGCCCTCAGTGTCCATCTCCAAGTCTAAGTTTTGCTTCCCCACAATTAGCTGTGTTAATTACCCAAAGAAGATTAGATGTACCAGGGAGAATGGCATACTGGAGAGAGAAAAAGTAAGAAGCCATTCTTGCATCTTATTTTAGCCACTGATTAGGTATCTGAAGTTGCATCTTCCCAAAAAATCTTCCATACCAAAGAGTGGAAAAAACTTTTGTTTCGCCAACTACGCATAATGAAGAAACCGTTTAACATTTTAGGCAGCAGCTGGAACTTGACAGTCACCTTTTGTCTTCACATTACAGATAGAGAAACCTTCTGCAATGGCAAAAAGAAAAGTTATTTGATGATTGCAATTCAGGGGAAAAACTCAATTTGATTTAGAGAAACATAAAATGATTGTTTTTAATAAAGAACAGGGACCACTTGTTTCTAGTCAATATGTCTGAGAAATGTCTTACAAATAGACTCAGTGTCACAAATAGATGATTTACAAATAGACTCAGACCCACTGTAGCGTTAAGGATGGAACCTGGATTATGCATTCAGTGCGGGCATCAATTTTGACACTCAGAGACCAGGTGAAGGTGTCCAAGAGACGAAAGCTCAGCTCTCTCATCACTCAGGTGAAGGAGAAAGGGGACCAGTGGTTCCAGCACGTGTTCCGCAGGCCGGCAGCATCAGCATCACCTGGAACTTTTTAGGAACGGAGATCGGAAGTCCCACCTTGACCTGCCGAGATAGCTCTGGGGTGGGCCCAGCAACCCAGGTCTAACAAATTTTCCAGTGACTCTCCTGCTGGTTCAAACTTCAGAAACAGTGAAAGAGACAATCTCTTAGGGTCTTTGCAGCGTCGACTCTTAGGAATTTTACAGGAGAGCAATACAAAGAGAAAAGGCAACAAGTTTAAGAAACAAACAAAAGAAAAAACAGAAAGACAGATATATTCAGATAAGTAGATACAGAATAAAAGACAAGAGCACATCTCAAAGGACATGAACCCAGAAAAACAATCTTCGGTAGAACAGCAGTGGCTTTTTTGATCTTCCTTGAAACTTTGAAAGCTAAAAACTCTTAAAGCATTGGTATATTTCTGCAACTACAGGCATACAGGATAAAAAAGTCCATTGCCCCCTCAGTCAGATGATAACGACCCATTTTTATCTACTGAGGTGAATTCACCTCATTAGATTCAGGGCTTGTTGGTTTACAATATTCCTTAAAAATTCTGAATGCTTTTCTTCCCTCTGAGCTTTGATGGGGTTAATTTAAAGGCTCTCGTGGAGCAAAGCAGTTCTTGGGCTACAAATTACAGGACGGTGCTTAGGGATCTTGGTGTGGGAATGTCTTAGTTGGAGATTCCGGGCGGTGTTGAGAATCATGTCTTTTATCTTCTCAAAGCAATGTTGTCTCCTAATGGATCCATTTCCTTTCCCAGTGAGCCCTGGGGAGCACACGACATGTTTCTAGGGACACTAACTTGGGGGATCGCTCTGGGAAGGGGCTTGGGGCCAGCATGACCTCAGTGTGGCGTGTCAGAGACTTCCTCACTGCGATCCCTGGGAGATGCGCAGGGCGGGGCGAGGGCCCTTCTCCAGCCATCCTTGCGCTCTCCCTGGCGAAGAGCCTCAGGTGCCCCCGGGCTGGAGGACCTCCCCTGGGCCTGAGGTTTTGATGACGACGAGAGGCCGGTGGCCAGCTGGACACCTGTTGGGAGAGTGGGTGGCTCCGTCCCCGGGGTGCGCCCGCGCTGGGAGCCCTCGCCCGCCGCCACCGCGCGTCCGCGCTCGCAGGGAGGGTGGCCGGGAGGCTGGGCGTGGGGCGGCCAGGGGGAGGTGGGATTTACTTTGCGGATTGGGGCTCACAGCTGTCACTCCGAAAGGGTGGGGCTTTTTAAAAGCAGACAAATTTTTAAGGCGAAAGCCCCAGCCGGCTCCGGGCACCGTGGCGATCGCCTCCGTTCCGTTCCGGATGCGGTCCTTGCGGAGCGGAGCCCCCGCGCCTGCTGGCAGGAGGCAGCTGCGTTGCTCGGCCGCGTCCCCGAGCCGGCGGGCCCTCCTCCGCGCACATCTGGCCCGCCTCCCCCGGGCGCAGGGGGGAGCCCCGCGTCTCCGGAGCCTGCAGTGCGCTCGGCGCGCGTAGAGCCCCGCGAGCCCCAGCCGGGCCCGGGGCCGGGCGGGCCGAGGCGGCGGCCGGGGAGCAGCCGCACCCGCCAAACTTTGGGTGCCGGAGCGCGCGCGCGCCCGAGCCCCGAGGCGCAGCGGCCGGCCTGGGATGGGGGCTGCGGGCCAGGGAGCCCCGGGCCGCCCAGCGAGCCCGGCCACCCGCCCGGGGGGCTCCGAGCCGCCTCTGCCCGCGTCCCGGGCTCCGCAGCCCCGCCACCCCGGCGCCGCCTGCGCCAGCGCCCGCTAGCCAGCCCGGGAGCAGCTGGAGCCGCCGGAGCCCTGCGCCTGGAGGCGCCCCTCCTTGGGCCACCGGGGGCCACTCTTCGCTCGGGTAAACAGGAAAGGAAATACCCCCTGTGGATTAAAATTTAAAAAAAATTCTGTTGGGGTCGAAGGAGGGAGGTGGGGTTTGCCTGCGCGCGTGTTGGACTCCGGAGAGCAACTCAGGAGCCCGCGCGGTCGTCGCCTCCCGGCCTGGCCATGGACTGGCGGGAAGAGGGAGCAGGGCGCCCGGGCTGCTCGGGCCCCTAGCCGGGCGCTCCCTCGCCACCGGCCCCGCTGCGGGCCTCTAGGGGACTGAGACGGTCTCTTGTTCGCCTGGACGGCGCCGGGGAGCGGAGGATCTGCGCTCCGGGTCTCCAGGATGTGCCCGTCTGAGATGGGGACGCTGTGGCACCACTGGTCGCCGGTACTCATCAGCCTGGCCGCCCTGTTTTCCAAAGGTGAGGACGCCGCGGCCGCCAGGGCCCGGGGACTAACTTCGCCTGGAGTGAGTGTGTGGGAGTGTGTGGAGGATGGGGGCGGCCGGGAGAGAGGGCTCGTGTGCAAGTGTGTGTGCGCGCTTGTGTGCATGTGTGTGTGCGCGCGTGTGAACGTGCGCTCGTGCGGCAGCCAAGCTCCTCGGACGCCCCTTGGCCGAAGGTGCTTGTCCTGGAGCACTTGGGTGGGAGGCCTTAGGTGAGACTACTAAGGAGCCGAAAGGAAAGGAAGGCTGTTTCCTGAAAGCCTTTTCTGTAAAGGGAGAGGGCGTGGGGACCCTTGAGAGGAAAGGTGGCCTCTGGAGGGCCGAGCCGGCTGTCGGGGGAGGAGGGGATTGAGATGACCAGGGAGATTTCTGGAATTTGGGATTGACTTTCCCTGGTGGCACTGACCTATTTGGAAATAATTTTGGAGCACTCCTGTTGTATGGGAATACTATTTTGTGTATTATAGGCTGCCAAAAATATAGCCTGGGGGGCGGCTCTGAAGAAGGGGGATGGGTTTCTCCAGGTCTGCCGCTGTGAGGTTTGGGCACAGGGTCTGGCGCTCACCCTTCCGTAGGGTGCTGGGAGCAGCAGCGGCCCCGCAGGGTGCACGTGGAGTTTCAGCTACAAGTTGTGACCCGAATTTTCCCAGCGGAGCCCTGACTTGAAGCCATGTGTCAAGGCAGGAATTCCTCAATGTTTCCTCTTCTCTTCTGCCAGCATCCCTGTCTGTCATGGGAAGAGCAAGTTTGGAAGCTCTGGACAGTCATTCTTCCTTGAAGAGAAATGGTGTGATTTGTGCGGGAGATTCTTTCTCATGATTGACCTGGGCTGCTTGTGTGTGGTTCCCCCACCCGTGCCCCTTTCCTGCAGATAGATACACTGGGAGGAGAGTGAAGCGTCTCAGCAGTCTCTAATACGTGCTGCAAGAACCCTGTACCCATATTTTTCTGCAAAGATTTTTGAGATGAGATCTCTCTCAGAAACTTCAAAGCCAATTATCACGCACAAAGTCTTTTAATTACATGAATTGTCTGTTCTCTGAGTTCTTCCAGAATCACTGAGGTTATGTTGCTTTGGATCTGATAATAGATGAAGACAGTTGAAATGCCGAGTTCTGTGATGGTTCGATTTAGAAAGAGGAATTTACGTTCCCCCTCCTTCCCTGTCTTTGAAGTGTGGTTGAAATGGGCTCACGTTTCCTAATTATGAGTTAGAACAATCCCTGGGATCAGAGCCTTCTGGATTTATAATGTGCACAGGAAACCAAAGAAAAGGTTGATGAATTCAGTGAACCTGACTCAGGCAGACGTGAGGTTAAAAAAACCAAAATCCACAGCAACAACAGCCCAGCATTTTTTTTTTGGGGCGGGGGGGGTTGGTTCTCACTTGGTTTTATAATAGGTCCAGACTTCTTTGTGTTTATGCTGCAATAACAAGGTTGTATTAAGAAAGGTACAGAATAGCTTTGGAAATAGGACCTCACTATTGTGTTTTTTCACTTAGGTACATAGGTCTGTTACTGATTTCTTTATTAGACTGAGCAGTGTTGAAGAGAATTGTATTTAGCCTAATACTTGTGAACTTTTTCAACTGGGAACACTGAACATGTCCTTAAATGAGGTCCTGTGTGATGTGGAAGCCTCTTTACTAGGTGGCCAAAAATTAGCACGTAAAATGTTTACGATAAGCCTAGCATATGACATATTTTGTGTATTGAACTTAAGCAAGTCAGCCAGACAGTTCAAAAGTGAATCAGTTCTGTGTGGAGACTTTGTACAGCAATTAGCAGAGTCTGAGCACATGGTAGATGATTCAGGATTAGTCACAATATGTCAAAGAACAAGAAAAAAATCAACACCCCTATTAGCAAATTGCATAAAATGGAATTTCATGATGCAGATGTGATTTATACATTCAGGGACAGGGCCATTCTTTTCCCAATGTGTTCATATCACCTCCCTCTAAGATTCTCTGATCACTTGAAAGTTCTCACCCATCTTGCAATCAAGTATGGACTATATTGAAAAGGATTTTAATTGAAAGTAAACACACAGACACACACACATACACACATACCCCAAAGTGCCTCATTTGTCTGGGGCTGATTGAAAAAGAATATTATCAAGTATTAAATATCTGTTTCCACATATTATCATTTCTACTGTATTGTCTTTCCAAATAGGAATTTTTGAATGAAACAAAGGGCAGATTTTAATACCAGGTTAATATGCTTGAGCCTTACACGTTTATATTTCATAAGCAGAAAATGATTAGTTATAGAACAAACCCACCCTCTTGTAGATATTTTTTAAAAACAAATAAACATAAAGTTTTGTTGCTTGTATTTCTATGCCCCTGGGACCTAGGAAGTATGGTATGACACACGGAGTTTCCCCAGCAGCCTTGTCCTATGGCCCCTAATTTTTCTGGGGAATGGCCTTAAATGTTTAAGGTCTAGCTTTGCTGGCAGCTTGATGTAGTTTGCAATGGTGCTAGCCTGCAGATGAGCTTTAATGCATTACTGTGAACTTTATGGGAGGGGGCAGGTGTATGGAGGGTGGGCTGAGAGGAAAAATGGGTGAGGAGATTGGAGTTGGGCAGAGGGCAAGGTGATTTTTAAATACAAAGTCAAGAGGGTTGCCACATTTAGGTTGCTTGTTACAGTCCTCACGTGCATCCTTCCCAGTTATGTTCCCTTGCACATGCTGGTAGGAAAGAAGCAGACGCTGAGAGACCTGCAACATTGCGAGCGGGGCTGCGGCAGTGTCGTGCTCCCTGTGCCTAGGGTGGCGCTGGGCACGTGCTCTGCCTGCTTCCAGCTGAGTGCAGCCAATGGCCTGGGCAGTGGGCTTCTTGGAGCGCCTTCCTGAAACTGCTTCCATATGTAGAGCTTCTGGCCTCTAATAATATGCTGAAACGGATGTTTAATACTTGGTAATATTCTTTTTCAATCAGCCCCAGACAGTTTAGGCACTTTGCATTGTCTGTGTGTGGTGTGTCTGTGTGTTTACTTCCAATTAAAATCCTGTTAAATATAGTTCATATTCGATTTCCAGCTGGGTGAGAACTTTCAAGGGATCAGAGAATCTTAGAGGAGAGGTGATATGAATACATTGCGACATGAACTGAACTGTCCCTGAGCTTATAAATAATATCTGCATCATGAAATTCCATTTGACACAATTTGATGACACTGGGGTGTTAATTGGGTCAGAGTGAAGCTTCTGGGTAGGACAGCACCACCCTTATTGAAGGAAGCTGTGGACCAAAAAGAGCTTCAAAGTACAGTGATAACTTCTTTAGGGGTCAGGAACTTTTTGGGAGAGGAAAGAATATCAGAAGGGAGCCAGTTAGTGGGGGAGAGAGAGAGTGTGGCTTTTTGCTTACATTCAAATTCTGTCAAATTGAAAAGACAAAGAATGAAGAGACCACTAAGTTTTGTTTTGTATGAATTAAAGAGTTAAATCAAAATGTGATTTTATTAAAAATATTTATGTGCATAGAAAGGTAGAATTCCAAGTTTGAGGATCTGTTTAACTTAGTTATATTCTAAGAGCCAAGAAAAAATGAGTAAACAACAAAAATTTCAAAAATATTTTATTATAGAAGCTATGCTACACAATATTTAGAATTTATCTATCAATTTTTCTGTTAATCCAGGTGTTATCCGTCTTTCCACCCATGTATTCACCCATCATCCCATCCACCCATCCATCCACCCGTTCATTCATCCGTCCATCCATCCATCATCTACCCATCCATCCACCAGTCCATCCACCAGTCCATCTACCCATCCACCCATCCATCCATCCATCCATCCATCCATCCATGCATCCATCCATTATCCACCCATCCATCTACCAGTCCATCCATCCATCCATCCCTCCATCCATCATCCATCCATCCATCCATCCATCCATCCATCCATCCATGCATGCATCCATCCATCCATCCATGCATCCATCCATCCATCCATCCATCCGTGCATCCATCCATCCATCCATCCTTCCATCTGTCTGTCTGCCCATCCATCCATTCATTCATCATTCCATCCTTCTATCCACCCATCCTTCCATCTATCCATCTATCATTTCATCCATCCATTCATCATTCCATCCATCTGCATATTCATTCAACAAATGTCAAAGGCCACATGCCTTCAGTGAACACAGAGCTCAGCAGGAACTATTTCTAAGTGTTGTGAGGACACAGGACAGGTACTAAAGCGTCCTTAGGTAGGGATGTTTAGTGCCAGTCATTCCTCTAGATGTCAAAGTGCCTCATACCATTACTCCGTTGCTTTAAGTTGTAAGCTCAGACCTGGGCAGTTTCGTATTCATCATTCCCCTCTTCCTTTGTTCCCTCTCCTTTCCTATTTCATAACAGTAACTGCCTTCTGAGCACCAACAATGCACCCCATACCGTGCTGGGCACAGGGAGTACCGTAGTGAGGAAAAGCACAGGTTGATATGGTTACTATTCCCAGAGAACTTGCCATTTGTAGGAGAGATAGGGGAACATGTGAATTACACAGAAAAACATAAAGTTAGCACTGTGGGTGTGCTCTGGAGGATGGGGCGAGTGTCTCTGGATGCAGATAATTTGGCAGTTGACTTAGAGTAACTGGGAAGACTCGCCTTGTCTGAAGGATGGGCTGGCGTTACCGGATGGACTGGGAGGATCCCAAGTGATCCACATAATCTCCCATCTTGACTTAGTCACGTCGCCTTTTAACATTTCCAAATAAAGTAACCAACATTCCCATATTTCAGGGATTTGGATGTGAATATCTTTTGGGGGAGTGCACTTCTGCCTTTCACAAGGTTGACATTCTACAACTATTTTCTGCCTCCTCTCCTAAATTTTAAGTTCTTCTAGGGGACAAAAAAATGGGTATTTTTTCTATCTCTGATTTCTCTCCAGTATTTTTAGCTTTGTGCTTTGGACATTGCAGGGGCTCAATACAATTTTTAACTGTGCTTCCAAGAGTGTGAAATATTGCTGGAAATCATTTACCTGACAGTGCAGTGGTTTGATGCTGCCTTTTCCAGTAATTCAGAGCGCCGCAGGAAATACTTTGGTCAATAATACCAGCTAATGTTTTGAGTAATTGTTGTATGGCAGGCACTGTGCGGAGTGACTTATGAGGATAATTTTTGTGAATTTGCAGATAAACTCAATGGGGTAGATATGTACTGGACCAGAAGTTGAAGTTCAGAGATGTTAAGTAACTTCTCCAAGTCATAGCAACATAAAAGACAGGCAGAGTCTGAATTCTGATGCCAGAACCCATACCCCTGGCCATTCTGCTGACTTCTGATAATTATATGGAATAACTAAAAACCAGGCGGTTTGTCAGGCAGAATTGTTACATGGTGCCAGGCTTGCCAGGGGCTGAGTGCAGAGAGGTCTTGAGACCATTTTAGTTTTTAGCTCAGAGCCTGGTATACAGATGACCCTTGATATTTGTTGAGCAAATGAATAAATGAACATCATGTTATTTAGTTTTCTCAGCATTATTTTTTCCAGCAGCAATCAGAAATAACACCTGAAAGGGATTAAAATGGGGATTTACTTCCAAGACCACCAGGGAGGTAGAAGAGATTCTCTGATGGTGTGGAATGGTTTGGTTATCTCCTAGGTCAGCTTCTTTTTTGTTTTTTTTATTTTTATTTTCCTCCTCCCCCACCTCCCTAGGTCAAGCTTCTTAAAGAACTTGCAGACATGCCCAGTGGACTGTCTTCAGGACCTGTTTATTCATCTATGTCCCTAACATGTGTAGGGTCCTGGGCAGGGAAGACTAAGACATGGCCTCTGGTCTTCCAGGACCAAAAGTGTAGGTGACACATCAGTGGTCTCTGGGAAATTATAAAGAATGAGGAAGAAGCATGCGGAATGAAGACACAGACTCTTCCTGTTTGCAGAAGAAGGATGCTTGATGCTGTGAACATATGCGTTGTTGATTTTGATGTTTGACGCCAGACAGCACACTTGAATGAATTGTGGAGATGATATGGTGCGGCCTCTCACAAAACGAAGAGGAAACCAGCATGGATTTGTTGTGACATGGGACCAAAGACTCGGAATATTTTTAGATGACTTTGTCATTTATTTAAAAGAAAAATCTGCTGTAGGAAGAATTAAGGGGTACATACCACAGTCAGAGGCTAGGTGCTTCCGTCACCTCTGTCCTTAAACATTGGTTTCAGGAGTCACCCAAGGTGCACCCCCTCCATAAATTAAGAATTGATGGAGAAGGAAGGCCCTTGACCTTGAAAGTAAACAAACCTGTGGCATGCATCTGAAAAGCGACTGAAGTACATAGTTTTAGAACAGATCAGTCAACAGTTATAAAGGTAAAAAACATGCCTTTGAAAGAGAATTCAAATAGCCACTTCTCCTCCCTTAAGAAGTAAGTAAAGTATATAAAGTAAGTAAAGTATATAAATAAAGGGAAATTCAGATGTACATTTGGAAAGACAAGAGGTTCCACTCTTAGGAAGTAAGTAAAGTATATAAATAAAGGGAGATTCAGATGTACATTTGGAAAGACAAGAGGTTCCAAAAAAGTGTTTAACTTTTAGTGACATTAAGTTATTCTTTTCACGAGAGTGACATTAAATGTTTATGTTTATGGGAATCTCCCTCTGCAGATTCACTAAGAAGATGTCTGTCAGATTTCATTGTTGTTATTTGTTTGTTTGCATTTTGGTCAGGAAAGCTATACTGGTAGATGGGAAGACGCTTCAGTGATAAAATAGCCTGCCGAGACTCAAAGAGTGTTTGGCAGGATATTGTGGCAATAAAGTATTTTGATATCAAAACAGATGGCGACATTGCCCTGCCTGCTCTCATTCCCTGCTGCCCTGGCCTCTCCTTTCTCGTGCAGATGAACACCTGGCAGCCACTGCCTCTTGGAACAGCAGAAGGCACGAGACAGGAAAGTCAAGGCCAAGCATGATGGCTCATGTCTGTAATCCCAGCTCTTTGGGGGGCCCAGGTGGGAGGATCACTTGAGGAGTCCAGGAGTTCAAGACCAGCCTGGGCAACAAAGCAAGACTCCATCTCTACAAAAACAAAACAAAACAAAACAAAAAAAATGAGCCAGGTGCAGTGGTGTGTGCCTGTTGTCCCAGCTACTCTGGAGGCTAAGGTGGGAGGATTGCTGGAACCTGGATGGTGGAGGTTGCAGTGAGCTGTGATCATGTAATACACTCTAACCTGAGTGACAGAGTGAGACCCTGTCTCCAAACAAAAAAAAAAAAAAAAAAAAGAGAGACAGAGAAATCAAATTCCTGACTTTTGATTTCAAAAGCTGGTATCCAGCAATAGAGAAAAGATTTGGAAGAACCTATCTTCCCAGGCATATGGTTTCTCAGCCTTTCTCTTCTTCCTTCACCAAGTAATTTTTTTTTTTTACTAGGGGAAAGGGCAGGAGAATTTGGAGGGCAGCTTAGATGCTGGTGGGCTTTTCAGCTGCTCTGTGCCACGTCACTCCAATGACAAATTAAAAATATTCTAGATTGACTTCGTGAATATATTGGGAGAGCCACAAATGAAGACACTCTGTCCTAAATAGCCTGGAGATGAAGCAGAAGGAATGTTCGTATGAGGTGACCAGGCAGCATGCCCGAGCATGGCTCAAATAGCAGAATCTTTTCCTGGCAGCCAGGGCTGTGCAGGCATGGCTGAGGAAGCCCAATTGGCCCGAGGAGGCCTTGTGGTCAAGACCAGGGAGGCACAAACCATAGTCTGTGTGGACTGACCACAGGAGACAAGATATCATTTGTACCAATCACAAAGCCCTCCTGGTTGTTGTGGTCACTCCGAACCTCTCAAAACTTAGAAGTGATCCCTGAAATCATTGGGTGGGGTGGGAGTGTGGCAGTATCTACAGAGCTTTGTTTTGCTACTGGATAGAATGTGGAGTAAAGATAGAGATTTCAGTAACGTTACAAACAAATGAAGAGGTCTGTATTCGGTGCTTACTGATGCTGGGCACTGGGATTAGCGCTCACCCCAGCACTGTTGTCCACACAACGGTGACGTGTACCTGGGGGGTGCTATGCTTTGGTGGATTCCCAGCAGCTCAGATGGTAGCAGATGGTGTGGTATGAACCTTGAGCACGTTCCAAGGAGACCCCAGGACTCTGTCCCCAGCCCTGCCCAGGTGAACATTTGTATCAGAGGTGGCTGTCCAAACAGATGAGCTCCTTCGCGCAAACCTCAGAAGAGCAGCTACACAGAAGGGGTGGAGTGGTAAGGCCTTTGCGTGGCAGAGTTGTGACCAAAAGCTCACCTGAGATGAGGACAATCTAACATGTGAGACAAAGGGGATATTGCAACATGCTGAACGTAGATCACACACGCTGACTTGGGAGGTACGAGAGAGGAGTTTGAGAGGAACACGTGTAAAAAGACTTGGAGATTCGTATGAAAATAAGCTTAATAAGAGTTGACAGTCATGAAACTGCCAGAGGAAAAAAAAAAGAGAAACTACAAGAAACCAACAAGGAAGGTGCGAGCTCTGTGGGGTGTCTTGTCAATGTGTCTTATGGAAGCGGAGGCCTGGAAGGCCAGGAGCACTCATGAATAATCATAGTTTTATCATTATGGATGTGGAATATCCTCATGCTTTATCCTGACTCCACACCATCAGGACTCTGTTACATGAAGCTTCGAATTATCTTAAGAGACTTAGGAGTCCAGAGTTGTGCTGATTTTAGATGAGGCTGACCCGGGGTCTTTAAGGATCCCACCAGAACCTGCTTCATCTCTCTCTACCTTTCAGACCCTCTTTGTTTCTGCTCTACTGGTGGATAGGCCTTGATATCCCCTTGGCTGAGTCCCCTCCCAAATCTCACCTTGAATTGTAATAATCCCCACATGTCAAGGGTGGGACCAGGTGGAGATAATTGAATCATGGGGGGCGGTGTCCCCCATACACTCTCATGGAGTGAATAAGTCTCACAGGATCTAATGGTTTTATAAATGGGAGTTGTCCTCCACACGCTCTCTTGCCTGCCACCATGCAGGCTGTGCCTTTGCTTCTCCTTTGCCTTTTGCCATGATTGTGAGGCTTCCCAGCCATGTGGAACTATCAGTCCATTAAACCTCTTTCCTTTATAAATTACCCAGTCTTGGATGTGTCTCTTTTGGCAGCATGAGAACAGAATAATACAGGCCTGGACAGTGTGATGGACAAATGACTTCACGCCCAGCCTCATCTGATGCTGGTGGGGATCAGAGAAGGCTTCTTTCCCATTTCTGTGGACAAGCCTCGGGATAAGCTCTGTAGGGCGTGAAAATCATGCTCCCCTTCGATCCATCCACTGAGGGATGGGAAGGTGTGGAGCAAGGGTCAAGTGCCCCATGGCAGGAGGGCTGGACCCAAGGCAGGACCAGGTGTGGTTTCCAGATGTGTGAGTGAAGGCTGAACAGAAAATAGGGCTGCTGTCTTGCTGGCTCAGTTCACACAATTATAATTTATAGGACAAATAAAGTATTTTCACCATATTGCATTGGCAATGGATGGATGATATCAAATCCAGAGAATTGTGCTACATTGGTCTCCTTCTGCTGAAGGGGAAAAATGGAAAATTTTAACTCATTCAGAAAATGAGAAACCTAGACCCCTTATCATAGCAAGTAATATTGAAGAAACTCCATGAGTTTGACTTGGAAAAGCGATGACTTCTTTTAACTACAGAGATGTCTGTCTTTTGAAAGAAGGATGTGCCTGTCTCTGTGGCTTCAGATAGCATAAGCAGATCCAGCTGGAACACCAGAGGAAGGTCCTGTGAATGGATGGAAGCTGAGCAGGGTGGGTAGGGTGGGGAGGGTGGGAGAGCTTCTTACTCAAAAGAAATCATAATCCTGATTTTTATTATCATTGATCGAATGCTCATTTAGGCAAGGCAGGGTTCTAAATGTTGTACTTTCATTCACTCATGAAATCCTCACCACCATCCTTTGTGTAGTAGCATCTCCATTTTACAGAGGCAAAAATTGAGGTACAGGAATCTGAAATAACTAGCCCAAGTCAACAAAAAGGAGTCCTTAAGCCAGGCGTGGTGGCTCCTGCCTGTAATCCCAGCACTTTGGGAGGCCGAGGCAGGCGGATCACGAGGTCAAGAGTTCAAGACCAGCCTGGCCAACATGATGAAACCCTGTCTCTACTAAAAGCACAAAAATTAGCTGGGCGTGGTGCCATGTGCCTGTAGTGCCAGCTACTCAGAAGGCTGAGGCAGGAGAATCACTTGAACCTGGGAGGTGGAGGTTGTAGTGAGCTGAGATCATGCCACAGCACTCCAGCCTGGATGACAGAGTGAGACTCTGTCACAAACAAACAAACAAACAAACAGAGTCCTTAAAACAGGCGCCATTATGCATAAATCAGGCCACTTCGTGAGTGTGTCCATTTTGAATGTGTCCAAGCAAAGACTACAAAGGCATGGATGGCCCAGGGTTCTGGGCTCCTAGTAACAAATTGTAGCATCTCCAACACAGCTGCTTGTAGCCATAAATGATGGGGAGATGATGTGGCCTGCGTGTATAGAGATTGTGTTTTAGTTAAGTAATTCCTATTATTACTTAGGAAATAAGTAATAATACTTGGGAAAAAAATCCAAATTTTACAGTTATGCAAGTGCATTTATGAAAGGTATAGAATGTCCATAAAGGTAGTAAGAAAAAACGAGGAGGAGGAGAGGGAGGAGAAGGGAAGAGGGGAGGAGAGAAAGAAGAAGAAATATCCTTCGGCCCATCTGTTCACTCAGATCAAGCCAGAAAAGTAGAAAGCTAGGCAATTTGACTCTCATAAAATCCTTTAAATTGAATTATACTTTGGCATGAGGTTATTAGACAGTATTGAGTGATAGTCAAGAAAGATTGGTAGAGATGTTTTAAGAATATTGTCTATTAAACATAGATTTTTCCTCTTCTAGGACACGTTGGAGAAAATTTTCTTGGGCCTTAGTATCAGGAGAAAAACAGCTGCATTAATCCTGGGAAATAGTTTATACTTTATCCAGAGAGCACTGTGAAGTTTATAAGTGGCCACCTGTTTAGCTTTGCTTTAACTTTTAGGACTCTCAGAGCTAAATTTGCTGTTTGTAAGGATGGGAATTTAAGACAGGCCTCCTGTGAATAAGTTTTTTCCTTGGCTTTATTTGATTTTTCTATCCTTGTTCTGTCTGTTTTCTTGCCTTCTTAATTTATCCCATTGCATTTATTTTTTGTGAGCTACTTCAAATTATTTTTGAAATGAGAAGTAAAAAGAAACAATTTCAGTACCCAAAGATGACTGCTTCACATTTTTGATATATTTCTTTCTAGTTGTTTTTCTATGAATTTTTAAGCCAGTTTTGTTCACTCTCTATGTGGTACCTATAATTTGTTTTCAACTTTTTCGAGTTCATGTGTTTACATAAGTATTTCCTCATGTTTAAAAATGTATTATGAGTATAAATTTAATGTCTGTATCATGGCTTCAAAGTTTCTATGTTTGCTGGACAATTACATAATTTATACTTTTCTACTATTATAAGAAATAATTATCTTTGTGCATAATTTAAGTTTTGAGTTACTTCCTTAGATAGCCTCACAGTTACTTAATCTCTGGGCCAAAAAAGTATGAGGAGAGCTTTCGCTGCCAAGTTCTTTCCTGAAAGGGCTGCACCATTTTGCACAGATATTAGCCGGATTTGAAAGTGTCCAGTCCGCTGAACCTGATGCTCTTAGCAATGGCAAGTGTCAATTTCAGCCGCACCCAACGGCATTTCCTCAGTGCTTCTGTATGCCTAGAAAACTATTCAAAAGTCTTCATGAATAGAGGTCTTGCTCTTTGATGATGTTGCTCTCAAGGCCCCCAGAACTCTGTTTTGGTCAAAGTGTGGTCCTTTGCCCCGAGATGAGTTGGCTCTTGAGGGGTGAGGGATTAGAGTGGATGAGGTCATTGAGTCTGATCAGTGAGGAGGACCCAGAATTGCATCCAGCAGTTTCTTCCAGGTGTGCTTTCTGAAGTGGGCCCCAGTGAGAGGACGTCAGTGGACAGATGACGTGGAGGTAAAGAGACTTTGGCTTCAAGGTTATGAGGAAGAAGGAGATGCATTTAAAGATGGAATGGCAAGGGTGCCACCGAGTCACCGGGGAAGAGGAGGCTCCTCTAGGACCTGCTGTTTGGGCGTCGCTGTTATCAAGCAGTCAGGGCAACAGGTTTCTCTATATTTTCATCTGGAATGAGAGTTCCCTGATTCGGTGACCTCCATGGAATTCGGGAGGCCCCTGCTGCCTTAATGCCTGCATGAAACTTTCACGTTCCGTCCTAGGATCTATTTGGTTCGAGTATTTTATCTTCAACAGGAAACATCAGAGGTATAAGGAACCAAGCGTATGAATCTATTTATTCAATCATTTTGAGGACAAATTATAAACGTAATATGATACACTCTGAGGATACAGAGATGAATATGAGATTAACTCTGCCCTCATGAGATTAGAGTCTAGTGGGGGAAAATGAGGCATGGACAGTGATAAATATCTCTGGCAAGCTGTATAATACAGCTGCAGAAGAATTCGCTGATTGCGTGATGTGAGGAAGGACTGACATTTTTGGCTTTCGTGTAACTCTTTAGAAATCTCTTTTCCACAATTGTGCTTCTTCTGTGTTGGTCATGGTCTTCACTGCTGACAACAGATCCCACTGTGGTAGAGACAGTTTTATTAGAGCATAGGAGGTAGCAGCTAGACTCCTTGAGTACCAGGGAGCCAGGGTTGGGTGCCAGGAACACCAGCAGCCAGTGGGAACTCCCAGCCACAGTGTGTTCCTATTCTGGCCCCAATCCCAATAGTACCATTGCCTTCCTTTCAGCACCTATGGTGTAGGGCCCGGCAGGACTACCCGTAAATAACCAAAGACAGCACTCTAGAATATGTAAGCAGGGCGGATCCCATGTGAAACCATGGCCTCATGTCACTCACTGCCCTGCGCCAAGTTCCAGATGGATGCACCTGCTCAACAGGACCTAGGCCAGGCCAAAAACCCAAGCTCTGAGAGATCCCTGCACATCCAATTTATAGGACTGGGGCTTCTTTGATTCAAGGAGTTACTCCAGAAGGGACCTAGAACTGGTGTTCTGTGTGCCAATCTTCATACTCATCATACTCACAGAAATACTCATCTTATTAAAGTTGATTTTTGATACTATTGACCTTGCAAAAAGCCACGTTAGAATATCTCGTACATGTCATGTTTCTCTTTTCATGAGGCTTCTAGGAAAGGATGCAAGGATCCTAATTTTGTGTTTCTCGCATTCCCGTTCATGATATTGACAGATGCATACTCAATAAATGGCTGATTTGGTTATGATTTTTCTAGATAGGTTCTTACTTTTCTAGCATTTCAAAGTATTCTTTGTGTTTCTTTGAACAGGAGGCCCTCAAGAGGAAGAACTGTTCCTTTTTTTGTCATCCCAAAGGCCTCTGGACTACTGTCCTGGTCAGCATTGAACAGATGCTATAAAGAGAAAAAGCAAAGCAGATCTTCCGTTACAAGGATCTTTCTTTAGAATCTGAAGCAAACTATAAGATAATGTCCAAGAAACTGTGGATTAAATGGAAGAGTTCCAGCTCATTTCATGGATTTAAGGAAAACTTTTCTAATAATATTTTAGTAGCAGGTGAAGAGGAAATTCTCAAATTGCCTAAGGGGTACATTAGTTAGGCCAGGTTGGCTGTGCTGCAGGAACAGGTAATGCCGGTGTCTCAGTGGCTTAATATGGGAAAGGTTCATTTGTTGTTCACTCAGAGTCCAGGTCAGCACAACTGGGGAAAGGAGGGTTCAAGGACCATGTAGGATGCATTTAACATCCAGATGTGGGCTCTATTACTTCTGCCCACATCTCATTGGCTGGCATTTGGAAACGTGACTGCCATCCAACTGCAGAGAGGACTGGGGAACGTAGAAGAACATATAGGTATCTGGTCAACACTACCAGTCAAAAGGAGACGTATTTGTTCACTTAACTGAGATTCTGGGGACAAAAATGGCATCAGGCAAGGCTTGATCCAGGTGCTCAAGTGAGGCTCTACGGACCTAGAATCTCTTAGCTGTCCTTCCTGTGTTCTATTCAGACACTCTCCCTCATCTAGACAAAATGGCTTCCTAGCTCAGAATTACATCTTATCCTAACTTTAGTAAAAAGAAAGAACGTTTCTCTTAGTTCCATCAAAGCTCTGGGCCTGCCTCTTATAAGACCATAATGCTTCTTGGGACTTCCCCGACTCAAGTCACTGTGGCCAGAAGGATGGGCTAGTTATGATGACTGGCTTAAACTTATGCAATAAATAAATAGAACCAGCTCACTTTAGAGCCTGGAGGGAGGACCTACCTGAATCACGTGGTATGAAAGTAGGGGAAGAGTTATATTATGGAAAACAAGTTGGGACACTGTTACCAAAGAGAAGGTAGTGGGTACCGGGTGGTTAACAGGACAGCAACAGTCCACCCTTAGGGCTGTTAGAATTTTGTTTTTAAACGGAGTCTTGCTCTGCTCTCCAAGCTGCAGTGCAATGGCGTGATCTTGGCTTACTGCAACCTCTGTCTCCTGGGTTCAAGTGATTCTCCTGCCTCAGCCTCCTGAGTAGCTGGGACTACAGATGCATGCTACCATGCCCAGCTAATTTTTTTTATTGTATTTTTAGTAGAGATGGGGTTTCACCATGTTGTCCAGGCTGGTCTTGAACTCCTGACCTCAGGTGATCCTCCTGCCTCGGTCTCTCAAAGTGCTGGTATTACAGGTGTGAGCCATCGCGCCCAGACAGGGCTGTTATAATTTTTAATCTAAGATTCAAATATTCAAATTTTCTCTAATATTTAACCAAAAAGAGGGCTTTATGTTGTTGCCTCAATAGTGACTTCAGTAGAATTTTACCCTCCTGGAGAAGTTACTCTATCCTTTGGGTGTTTGTGTAAATGAAATGTAAGCTTTTGTTTTCAATGATTGTAATTTTTCAGAGTCCTTAATTAGATGTAAAAACTATGCACAATGGAAATTACTGTTGTGATTAAATATTTGCATTATGTGCTGTTAAAAGCAAGCATCAAAACACACAATTGCTTGTTTTACAAGCATTCAATATTTTGAAATGTGAGATCAGTAAAACTACTGAGAATTCTATTGAAAGAGAGAGAACAGCTCAAATAATATTATTTACATTTTCAGGGGAACAGTGTCAACAATAGGAGGGAAAACAGTGATTTTGAGTACAGCTGTGTTAAAAAAAAATCCCAGCTTACAAATGAGTTCTGCCTTATCTCGTTAAGTTCTGCATATCTGATTCCAATAAGGAGTTTTTGCTTGATTTACTTAATTAGGGAGAATACATTAGGGAGTTGTTTTTTGCCTGTAGTTTGGATAAATGCAACCCTAAGACAATGAGGACAATGATTTCCTAGATATGCTGATATTATAGATAGCCTGATATTTAAACTTTGGAAAGAACAAAAACTTGCAGCTTGCATTTGGACCCAATGTCACATTTTTTTACTATCTTAAAGTAATTTTCCTAGAATTGTTTGCATGTGTTAAAGAGATTTTTGATAGGAAAAGGAAACTATTATTATTATTATTTTATAATTTAAAATTAAAGTGGTGCCACGTGAATCAAAAGGGTAGGAACCGAACTTCGCAGCAGTGGAGGCTATGGGGCAATATGTGTTCAACAAATAGAGAGGAAAATTTTATTTTGTCATCCAGTTTCTTTATGTACTTTGATGTCAGAGGTGTGGTTTGTGATTGGCAGACAATGTCAAGTGTTATACTGTGGCTTACAAATATGTTTAATGTGGCTGCACTGTGAATGTCTTGTCAATATTTTGAAACCAGAGGACTTTCATAGAAGTGGATTTTCCTGCTTCTCTGGAGGTAGGAGCAGCACTAGCCTGGGATTGCCACGTGTGAGTAATTCACTCCAGCTGAGCAGCTGCCTCCACGGTAGACAGGGAGGGGCGGGCGGTCTGCACAGGCTCCTCTCCTCCTGCCAGTGCTGTTTTTATGTTTTCCCCCTGGTTACTGATCACTGGGTTTTAACTCATGTGTTTCTTAGAGTGGAGAAATAGTTCTCTATACTCAGATCTCTTTCAAAAGTAGGGATATGAAATACAAGAGTGTATTAGTCTGTTCTCACACTGCTATGAGGACGTACCCGAGACTGGGTAATTTATAAAGGAAAGAGGTTTAATTGACTCACAGTTCAGCATGGCTGGGGAGGCCTCAGGAAACTTACAATCATGGTGGAAGGAGAAGTAAACATGTTCTTCGTATGGCAGCAGCAAGGAGAAGTGCCCAGCAAAAGGGGGAAAAGCCTCTATAAAACCATCAGATCTTGTGAGGACTCACTATCAGGAGAACAGCAGCATGGGGGTAACCACCCTCATGATTCAGGTACCTCCCACCGGGTCCCTTCCACGACACGTGGAGGTTATGGGAACTACAGTTCAAGATGAGATGTGGGTGGGGACACAGCCAGACCATATCAAAGAGTGCCCTGTGTTTCTTGACTCCTAAGAGCTTCCCTCATTTGTGTTCTCCCTGGCCCTGGCGATGCATGGCAATACCAAGTTATTTACCTTTAGTGTGAAGGATTGTTTAATGATTTGTTAGGTTATTTATGTAGATCAGTGCTGTTTAAACTACATTATATGAATGGAGGGGCGATGCAAAGACCTTCCTAGGAGTTTGGGAATGGGGATGTTTTAAAGGGAATTTGTTTTACATCCTTAACGTCTGTATATTTTCTGATATTCTGTATATTTTATGATCTGTCCAGGTTAATTCAAAATCACCTGTTCATCCTCTGTCTTCTCTCTCTCACACACAGTTCTTTGATTTTACAATAGCAAGACACTTCTCTTCCATCTCCGGTCTTACTATGATTCATTCCCCTCAGAAGTAAAAGCCTCCACAGTTGCAAAAGTACAATTAGACAGTTCCTTTAATCAAGGAGCTTAACACTACCATCCCATAGCCCATTAAGAGATACATTTGCAATAAAAAATACTTTTTATCTTAAAAGGTATTTATTAAAATGTGTTATATATGTATTTACCTTTCATTGTTTTGATTGTGTAACAGTCATAATTGTAATGACACCAATCCAAAGAAATTTTTGCATAATGAGAATCTTACAGTGAGGAGAAACTTTAAAAAGTTTAAGTTCAATATATAACCATACATTTTTGTGGTAAGAAGACATAATAAGGTAATGGACAGTTACTTTCAAGGTTATTACATTAGGTTAAAATTCTGTGAAATAACTGGAATGGAAACATGAGTTCAAGGAGAAAATGGAACAAAGTAACATTTCTTATTAGTGAAGAGTTTTTCATGGGTTTTATAAGTGGATGGTCGTGGGTGTCAAGCCATTCTGTTATTTATATTCCAATGGATACATTTAAAAGAGTGATGTAACAGTTTCATTTTAAAATGTCAAGATTTACAATACACTAGAAACTTCATCCTTAGCAACTATTGAAACTGGATGAAAAATATTAGATACCACTTTTGAAATTTGCAAGTGGGTACAGAGTTTAAAAAGTGTTCTATTAGGAGTTGCAGGAGCAGTAGTGTGGGAAGACCATTGTTTTTACACGAGTGGTTCTCAGCCTTGGGTACACATTAGAATCATTTCTAGAGTTTTGCAACAGTCCAGTCAGCACCTGAGCCACGGTGTAGACCAATGACATCAGAATATGCCAGGATCAGTTCCAAGCATTGGTAGTTTTCAAAGCTCCCAAAGTGATTCTGATATGCAATCAAGGTTGAGAACCCTGGAGCAGGTCCTTCAAGGGAAGCCATCTGTTGTGTGTACAAGGGTTGAGGCAGTGATTCTGCACTCTGGCTACACGTTAGACTCACATAAGAAGATATGGTGAGTGGAGAAAGTCAGGCTAATTGAAGTATAATTTGCATAGAGTAAAATTCCCTCTACTATTGAACAGTTCTGTGAATTTTGAGAAATACATATGGTCTGGTAACCGTTGCCAAAATCAAGATACAGAACATTTCTGTAACCCTCAAAAGTTTCCTCTTGCCCCTTGATAATGGGCCCCTCTCTTTTTCCTCATCCCCTGGGAACCACACATTTGATTCTGTCCCTATAGTTTTGTTTTTTCCAGAATGTTAAATAAACTGTCATACACTATGTAGCCTTTTGGGCTAGGCTTACTTCACATTGCCTAATGCATTTAATATTCTTACAAGTTGTTGGTATGCTGGTAGTTCATTTCTTTTTATTACTGAGTAGTATGCCATGGTATGGTTGTACCAGAGTTTGTTTACCCATTAGCTATCTGAAAGACACCAGAGTGGTTAGTATTGGTTGTTATGAATGAAACCACTATAAGCATTTGTGTGCAGGGTTTGGTGTAAACACATGCTTTCATTTCTTGGTAGGTATGTAGGTAAATACCCAGGGATGACATTGCTGGGGTCACATGAGATGTGTGTGTTTAACATGATAAGAAACTGCCAAACTATTTTGCAAAATGGTTGAACCATTTGGCATTTCTGCCAGCAATGTGTAAGGTTCCAGCTGTTCCACATTCTTGCCAACACTTGATATTTTCATATTGTAATTTTATTGTAGCCATTCTAATACATGTGTAGTGGTACTTCATTGTGATTTTAATTTGCATTCCCCTAATTACTAATGATGTTGAGTGGCATTTAGTGTGATTATTTGCCATCTGTAGATGTTTTTGGGTAAAATATCTGTTCAAATCCTTTTGATATTTTAAAATGGCCAAATAATTTGGGTGGCTTTACTATTCAGTTTTGAGAATTGTTTGTTTATTTTGTAGACAAGTCTTTAAACCATATACATGATTTGAAAATATTTTGTCTCAGTCTATAGCATGTTGTTTATTTTAACATGTCTTTTGCAGAGAAGACTTTTTATTTAGAAGACATCCAGTTTATCTTCTTTTCTATTATGTAACTGATATTGCCATATCTTAGAAGTCTTTGCCAAACCAAATGTCATAAAGCATTTCTTTTTTGTGCTTTTTCCATAAGTTTAATAGTTGTGTCATTTTGGGCAACATAGTGAGACTCCGTCTCTACAAAAAATCAAGAAATTAGCCAGGCATAGTGGTGTATGCCCATGGTCCTAGTTTCTTGGGAGGCTGAGGTGGGAGGATCGCTTTAGCTCAGGAGGTTGAGATTGCAGTGAGCTACGATTGAGCCACTGTGCTCCTGCATGGGTGACAGAGCGAGATCCTGTCTCTAATTTTATAAACACTGTTACAGATTTTATTGCATTGAGGTCTATAATCCAGTCTTGGTTAATTTTTGTGTATGGTGGGGTGTATAGGTCAATATTCACTTTTATTGCATTTGAGTATCCAGTTGCTCTGGCATAATTTATTGTAAAGTTTGTTATTTCTCTTTTAAATCGACTTTACATTTTTGTCAAGGTTGTCTGACCGTATATGGTAGATATACTCTGAGCTCTCTTTTGTTCCCCCATGTGTGTCTCTGTCTTTTCACCAATACAACATTGTCCTGATTAATTTTCTTTAGAAGACATCTTGAAATGCTAATCAGATATGTGAAACTTTTAACTTTATTCTTATTCAGAAATGTTTTGTCTATTCTAAATCTTTTGATTTGAAATGAAATTTTGGAACTAGCTTGTGAATTTCTAAAGCAAATAAAAACAAAAATATCTTGCTGGGATTTTGATTGGAAGTGTATTGAACCTGCAGAAAATCCACCTCAATGATAATGAGAACTGCCATCTTAATAATAATGAGTTCTGTAGTTCATAAACATGGTATGTCTGACAATTTATTTAGGTTTTCTTTGATTTTTATCAGCACTGTTTTAGTTTCAGCCTACAGATGCTGCACGTAGTTTTTAGATTTCTACTGGTCTTCCAGATTTTTGGGTGCTTTGGGGAATAATATTCTTTAAAAAATTTGAATTTATAATTCTTTATTGCAATTTTATAGATATGCAATTGAGTTTTGTATGTTGACCTTATGTGTTAAACTCACTTGTTTTAGTAATTTTTTTGTGAGACATCTGTTAATGTTTTGCATGCATGACCATGTCATTTTTGAATATAATTGTGTTTCTTGCTTTTCAGTCTTTATGCCTGTCCACACCCCTCCTTCTTTCCCTTTTCCCTGTCCCTTGTGTATTGCACTGGCCAGGGTCCCCAGAACGGTGTTGAATAAGAGTGGTGAGAGCATACATCTTTTCTCTATTCCCAAACTTAGGGGAAAGACATCACATTTTACAACGTTAAGTATGATGTTAGTTGTAGGTTTCTTTTAGATGCTTTTTGTGAAAATGAAGAAGTTCTGCTCTGTTGCTAATTTGCTGAGAGTATTTTTTTCATAAACAGGCATTGAACCTTGCCAGACTACTTCTATTGCACCAATTGCCATGATCATCTGGTTTTCCTTCTTAAAAACAATGTTATGTGTGTTTTCAATTGACATAATAATTGTACATATTTATGGTGTACATAGTGATGATTCAGTACATATAATGTATAGTGATCAGATCAAGATAATTAGCATATTTATCATCTCACATGTTTATGATTTTTTGTGTGTTGGGAGCATTTAATGTCCTTCTTCTAGCTATTTTAAACTATGTATTATTGTTAACTAGTCATCTTACAGTGGTTTAGACCACTAGAACTTATTCCTGACTTGTCTTAGTAAGCTGGATGACGTGGTGGATTACACTGATTTATTTTCAAATACTGGACTATCCTTATTTTCCTCGTCAAACCCAATTTAGTGATGGCATATAATTATTTTATATATTGATATATTTGATTTGCTAATATTTTGTTGAGGGTTTTTCTGTCTAAATTCATGAAAGAAATTTGCTGTAGTTTTCTTTTATATACTGTCTTTGTCTACTTTTGGTGTTAGGGTACTACGGGCTTCGTAAAAGAGATGAGGAGTATTTCCTTCTATTTTCTGGAAGAGACTACACATTTGGAGCTAGAACTTCTTTAAATGTTTGGTTTACATTGTCTGGTGAAACCATCTGGGTCTGAATTTTTTTTTCAGAAGCTATTAAATTGTAAGTTCAATTTCTTTGATAGTTTCAGGATTATTCAAATTATCTACTTCATAGTGGCTGAATTTTGTTAGTGTTTTCTTTTTAATGAATTGGTTCATTTTATCTACATTGTCAAATAGATAGAAATAACATTGTTTATGATATTGCTTTATTAGCCTTTTTGTAGTTTTAGATCTGTAGCGATAATTCCCTGTTTCATTCCTGTTATTAGCAATATGTTTCTTTACTCTTTTTTTCTCAGTCAGTCTGGCTAGAGATTTATGAATTTTATCTGTTAACTCAAAGAGGCAGCTTTTCATTTTCATTGATTTTTCTTTATTATTTTGTTGTTTTATTGATTTCTGCTCTAATACTATTTTTTCTTTTGTGACTTTGAGTTTAATTTTCTCCTCTTTATCTTACTCCTTTATGTGGAAGATTAGATCAGTTTTTGAGACTTTTCTACTTACATCAGTTCCTAATAGTCTACATTTTTCTCTAGGAACTCTTTTATCTGTGTCCTAATGTCCCTTATAACTTCCTTATGATTCATGTTATTTAGATATTTGTCATAAATTTTCAGATGTTTGGGGGATTTTCTAGATACCTTTCTGATATCGATTTTTAGGTTAATATCATTTTGGTCAAAGACTATACTTTGTAGGATGTTAATGCATTTATATTTTTTGAGTTTTTTTCAGTTTTCCAGAATGCAGTCTACCTTGCTCAATGCTTGTTGTGCTCTTGAATAGAATGTTATTTTGTGCTGTTGTGAGGAGTGCTCTGTAAATGTCAATTAGATGAGTTGGTTCATACCAGATAGTCCATATTCTTATGAATTTTCTTTATGTATATTTTCTATTACTGAGAGGAGTACCTCTTCAACATTGCTCTAATAGTTATGGATTTTTTTGTTTCTCTTTATGGTTCTGTGAGTTGTGGCTGAATGTATTTTGAAGTTCTGTCGTTAGTTGCATATACATTTAGGATTATTATGCATTCTAAGTGTATCAACTCCTTTATAAATATGTAATATCCTTTTTCCCCAGTGTTATTGGTTATTTGGAAGTTTATTTTTCTTATATTATTAATATAACTACTTCAGGTCACTTGGTGTATTTTCCCTATCCTTTTATTTTTAACTAGTTAATGTCTTTGTGTTCATAATGTGTTCCCGTAGACAGCGTGTAAATGGGCGTTACTTTATACTCATTCTGACAATCTGTATTTTTTAATTGGTCTGATTAAACAATTTGCATTTCATATAATTTTATATGTTTGGATTTACATCTACAATCTTCCTAGCAATGTTTTATTTGTTCTATCTGTTCTTTGTGGCCTTCTGGCATCCCCCTTTTCTCTGCATGCTTCTTAGAATATGGTTAATAACTCTATTTTATCTCTACTAATGGGTTATTATTTATCTTTTAAAAAATTCTGCAGTGGTTGCCATAGGGTGTTCAATACAGGCATTTAATTGATCACAATCTAATTTCTGAGCAATATTACTACTTCGCGTGTGGTGTAATCACCTGCCAACTGCATATTCCAATTCCTCTTTCCCACTTTTGGTTTTACTGATGCCATTTATTTTATTTTTGGGCATGCTATAAACCCAAAATACATTGTTGTTATTTTGGCTTCATACAGTTATTTTTAGAGCAATTCAAGATAAGACAAAATGGATTTTATATCTCCCTACATTTTAATCACATCCGGAAGTTTTCAGTTCTTTGTGCAGATATTCATTTCTGCCTGTAACACAGTCTTTCTGTCTGAAGACTCTCCTTTAACATATCTTATATCAGAAGTCTGATGGTTATGCATTTTCAGTTTTTACTTTTCAGAAAATATTTTTATTTTACCCTCATTGTTGAGAGCTGTTTTTACTGGGTATAGAATTCTGGGTTGATGATTTTCCTTTCAGTACTTTAATGATATCTCTTCATTGCCTTCTGGCTTGTATAGCTTCTGACAAGAAGTCTGCTGAAATTCTTTTCTTTGTTGTTTTGTGTGTAATGTGTCTTTTTTTTTGCTGCCCTCAACATTTTCTCTTTTTCTTTTTTAGAAGTTTAAACATGATGTGTCAAGATGTCCCTTAAAATTTATTTATCCTGCTTGGGATTCTCTGAGGTTCTGGGGTCTGTGGTTTGAATCTTTTATGACTTTTGGAAAATCATCACATGTTTCCTCTTCAGATAGCTCCTCTTTCCTGTTTTCCTCTCCCCTCCTGTTGGAATTCCAGTTGCAAGTATGCTAGACTGTTTCATATTGCCTCAGAGGGTCTTCAATGCTCTGTTCCGTTTGTTTTCTTGGTTGTCTTCTTTTTCAGTATTTCCATTATTAATAATTTCTTATTGACCTACTTTCCTACCACTGATTCTGTTCATAGTCATTTTTAATCTATAAATCAGCCTATTGAAGGTATTCTTCATCTCTGATTGTGAGTTTTCATGATTATATTATTTCTAGCATTTCTGTTGGCATTTTCTTAGTTTCTATGGCATCGCCAAATTCCCCCTAGGTGTTTCAGAGTTGTCCACCTTTTCCACCTTTTCCACCATCGTCTCCTGGCATGGCACCTGGAGTCTCTTCCTCCTGCTGCAACTGAGCCATTACTCACGTTTCTTCTCGCTTTGCAGGACTCTGTTTTTCCTTTGATTTCACGCTAATTGGTTTCTCTGCAACTTCAGCTCTTTGATGTGTTCAAGAAACTATTATTTTGTAGTTTATCCCACTTTGATGTTGTGTTAGGATGGAAGTGATACTTTTTCCAGTTCTCTGCATCTTACACAAAGCCTTTTAATAAACATTGTTTTCAGCCAGCAGACCCAGAGATTCTGATGTATTTGATTTGAGGTGGGACCCCAGTCTGTTTTAAAAATCTTCCCATCTGACTCTAATGTGTAGGACTGAGGCATAGACTTTTTGGGGAAGTGAGACTGTGATCTAGGAAAGGAACACAAACTCTTATGTCTGGGATTGATTTTATGACATTTATTTCCCCAGTGGAGTTTTTAAATATATCACTTGGGGCCTAACAAGGAAAATAGACTGCATTTCACATATTTCCATCACAGAGAATTTGGTAAAATAAATTGGTTCTACAAATGATGAAGAAGCTGTGTGTCAAACAGTGGAAGGGGAAGAAACTGAGAGAGTAGCTACAACAGGGAGCTGCTGCCCTCTCTAGGCTGGAGGGCAGAGGGAGGAGATGGTGTTTCCAGGGTCCAGGTGCCAAGACAGGTGTATCCTGCAGGTGCTTCCAAGAAGCAATCTGTAGGCCGGGTGCAGCGGCTCACACCTGTAATCCCAGCACTTTGGGAGGCCAAGGCAGGTGGATCACTTGAGGTCAGGAGTTCAAGACCAGCCTGGCCAACATGGTGAAACCCTTTCTGTACTAAAAATACAAAAATTAGCTGGGCAGGTGCCTGTAATCCCAGCTACTGGGGAAGCTGAGGCAGGAAAATCGTTTGAACCCGGGAGGTGGAGGTTGCAATGAGCTGAGGTCATGCCACTGCACTCCAGCCTGGGCACAAAGCGAGACTGTGTCTTTAAAAAAAAAAAAAAGCAATCTGCAGCAGACACTTGGGGTGACACCCCAGGCCTAGGGCAAGGGGGACAGCCCTGGGCTCTCTTTTCCATCCTCTAGTCTCCTGCCAGTAGCTGTCATTGGTCCATCCCAGCCTAAAACCAGCGACATGGAGCCTTGGGATGTAACTTGCAGGAGTCAGTGAACCCACAGCACAGAATAGGACAGAGAAAGTGAAGGTGGCAGCTGTCCACCTCCCGATCACCATACTATAACTCCTTCATTAAGCAAAGCTTAATTACAGTAACGTAAAGCAATCACTGAGAATCTCAGTAGGATTTCAGGAAAGGAAGGTCGAGAATAGATACTTAAAAGAGATTTGGGGTTTGAGCCCGAGTAGCTTAAGGTAGGTCCTTCAATAGAGGAGACACACCAAAACAAGGGACCTGAGGTGAATCCTGATGCACAGTCTTTTCATAAGTGAGCTTTTAGCCCAGGTGAGCCATTTATTGTTTAAATAAATCCGTTTTCAAAAATTTCCTGAAGCAAACAGTGAGATCATGTATTATTTCACAGTCTTGTATTCCTGGGCAGGAATTTCCTGGAACAGACAGTACAGGCATTTTGATATATTAAATAGCTGGTCTTAGTTCTCGCCTTGTGGATGCAGATGGTCTCAGTTCTCAGGGCAAAATTGCCACAAACTGACCCCAGTCTATAATATAGATTCTGTGCTTTAGGAATCACTCCAGGCTTGAAGATCATTTCATGCAGCCTTACCAGTGTTTCATGGGGAGTGGTTAATATGAAGACATTAGAATAACTTATCCTGGCATGACTGGAAGAGAAACAGCTACCTCTGTGCCAGTATGAAGACACCCAGGAGTAAGCTTTCCAAAAGGAGTTGTCATCACTGCCTAAGAGCTCTCTAGAGAGGCTGCAAGATGGGCTTCAGCTTATAGCGCTCTCTCTCTCTCTCTCTCTCTCTCTGTGTGTGTGTGTGTGCGCGCGCGCGCGTTTGGTTAATAGGTATTATTAAGCCGCTATTCTCAAATTGCTGTCCCTGCTGTTCTGACCCATGTCTGTTTGCAGGCTGACTGTGGGAAGCCAGATGAATGAGATTCTCTGTGACCTTATCTGTTTTACGCGTTTAAGGATGTTTCTCAGCTGAACAAATAGGAATGGGTGCTTCCTTCTGCTAGCCAGCGGCCCTTAGAGTCAGCTGTTGATCAGGTGGATTCTTGGTCTGACACGTGTACATGAAATGCTTGAGATTTAAGGAAGGTCACAGAAATCTCTTTGAAGTTCTTCTTACCCACAGTGTGTGGTTCTCTGAAAGTGTTTGTACCACGGCCATGGTGAACTTTCTATTTCATTCTGTCTCAGCTCTGGAATAATATTAATAGTTTTAATATAGTATTATACTATAATATTACATAATTATAAATATAATATTCATAGTTAAACTAATATTAATAGTTTCCTTTTCTTCATAACATCTGAAGGAGGTTGTTTCTTTGTAAAATGTGTCTTGTTTTGGGCTGGGGAGGGAATATAGTCTCTTCTTCACGGATAGAAGTTGCATTTGCACACTCCATTCCCACGCTCTGCATCTATTCCCACGCTCATAACAACAGTTTGTTTCCTTTTGGGGAACCCTCCCTTCCTCTGTATCAGTTCATATAGTGAGGTTGGGCTCAGCCCATCTTTGCTTCCAGAGATTGAGAACTAGGAAAGGGCAGTCAACAGATTGACTTGGCTACAGTGATTGAGTCAGGCGTTAATACCTGACCTAATTCCAGTAGAGGAGAGAGAGCTTCATGACTTTTGGTGGAAATCTTGGAAGAAATAAGGTCCCATTTTGTGGACACTAACAGCAGTAAGGATGAGGCCAAGCTGAAGCTGCTGGAAGCCACCCCAGAGAGCCTGATAATGAAGCCAACACAAAGAGACAGAGAGAAGACAAACATGATATCGTTGTTGAGGCTTGATCCAGCCATACCTGAAGCCATAACCCATACCTCCAGAGCTGTTCAGTTACATGAGCCAATAAATTCTCTTGTTTTTCTTTAAGCAAGTTGGTCTTGGGTTTATGCTACTTGTTGCTGATAAGGTCCTGACAAATGTGTTCATGAAAGAGGTAGTGTAATAGCCGTGGAGATTACTGTAGAGAAATCACAGTCAACCAATAATCCTTAGCCATCATTTCTGCTGCATCTCAAAACAAGCTTCCAGGTATGGAAAGATTGCTGAATTGGAAATAATGGTTTGCTTGTTCTTTCTTTTGGACTTTGTTAGGATCAACAAAACGATGGCAGTTCTTCTTCCCAATGATAGGATTTGGTGATGAGGATGCTAAGACCCGAGTTTAGATCACCAGATAATTGGATTTGGAATGGAAATAACATTTCTCGGCTCACTTCTTGCTGCTTTAGTAGTAAGAATCTACACGCAGCCTAAGGGCCTCCCTTCTGTCGATTTCCTTAGGTTTTTTATTTATATGTCTTGTTTCTGGAACTAGGTAGTGAGCTATTGGAGACCAGGAACCATGTTTTAGGTCTGTCGAATGAAGTCTCAGCATTTTAACAATGCTGAAAACACAGCCTAGAATACACTGAAGCTCTTGGAAATAATGAACGGATGGCTGGATGGATGGACACTACCATGTTGATTAAATTGGAAATCTCCAGGCCAGAATTAACAAAATGGAAGCTGGTCAGCCACCCGCTGCTGATGGACATGTTGTGTTTGATCAACAGAATTTTGTTGGTGTTGTTTTCTTAATTGAGTTGTCAACATTTTTTAAATCAAGAAAATTAAGATAAATTTGGATTTCTGCTGTCTCTCGAAAATCGGAAGCCCTGGCTGGGCTGGCATTCTCACTGCCTCCCTGGGATGAGGCGCATGCTTTTCCCGTTGCCTCCCTGCCAAATCCCCAAGCCAGCCTCCCTTGTTCTGTGACTTGAACTGCAGCTCCAGGCCACAGAGTAGCCACAGAGGCCACGCCTCTCTTCCCCGCCATGCCTGCTGGATGTCCGTGTGTCTCCCTTTAACATTTGTTAAATTTGAACCTACAAATCCTCTCTAAATGGGACTCAGGATAGCACCAGTTCCATGACTTGGTGAGAATACCACAAGCAGTCGGACGTCGGCAACGCAGAGCCGGGCCCTTACCAGGAACTAACCACGCTGGCACCATGGTCTCGGCTTTCCAGCCTCCAGAACTCTGAGAAATAAA
Organism: Homo sapiens; assembly: GCF_000001405.40. NCBI lineage: Eukaryota > Metazoa > Chordata > Mammalia > Primates > Hominidae > Homo > Homo sapiens. The sequence goes on along the minus strand of NC_000012.12, from coordinate 129,875,380 downwards.
TGTCTGTTGTTTCTAAGCCACTGGTCTATGACGGTTTGTTAAGGCAGCCTGAACAGATAGCACCTGAGGCACTTGTGAGGCCATCGGACATCAGCGCTTTCTAGGGCCAGTGTGAAAGCCCTACAGGGTGAATACAATGTGGCTTCTAAGCCACGACCTTGCGCACTTTGTCTGTTAAGGGCCAGCCAGCACGCACTTTCAGCTTTGCAGGCAGGCCATGCGGTCTCTGTCACTACTGCTCAATTGTCGTCTTGGTGCAAAAGCACCCAGGCAACATGTAAGCCGATGTCTGTACCTCTGCTAGAATACAGCTTGATTTACTTATTGAAATTACACATGCTTTTTATATGTGATGCAATATCATCCTTCTTTTCATTTCTTTTTAGCCATTAAAATAATGTGCAGCCCGGGCATGGCGGCTCACGCCTGTAATCCCAGCACTTTGGGAGGCCGAGGTGAGCAGATCACCTGAGGTCGGGAGTTCTAGACCCCGTCTCTACTAAAAATACAAAATTAGCTGGGCGTGGTGGCGCACGCCTGTAATCCCAGCTATTCGGGAGGCTGAGGCAGGAGAATCACTTGAACCGGGAGGTGGAATTTGCAGTGAGCCGAGATTGCGCCATTGCACTCCAGCCTGGGTGACAAGAGTGAAACTCCATCTCAAAAAAAAAAAAAAAAAAGAAAAATGTGAAAAACATTTTTACTTTTGGGGCTGTATAAAAGTAAGTGTCAGTTTGCATTTAGTCCAGGGACTGTAGCTTTTTGACCTCCGTTTTTTTTTTTTTTTTAACCTAGCTTTATTGAGGTATAATTGACAAACAAAATTATGTATATTTAAAGAGGATGACATGATGATTTGATATACATATGCATTGTGAAATGATTACCACAATCAAGTTAATGAACGCATTCATCACCTCACACAGTTACTTTTAAAATAATTTATTTATGTATTTTATTTTTTATTTTTTGAGACAGAGTCTCGCTCTGTCACCCAGGCTGAAGTGCAGTGGTATGATATCAGCTCACTGCAGTCTCCGCCTCCCAGGTTCAAGTGATTCTCCTGCCTCAGCCTCCCGATTTATTTTTAAACTAAGTAAAAATTGTATGTATTTATGGTGTACGTCATCATGTTTTGCTATATGTGTACATTGTGGAGTGGATAAGTCAAGCTATTTATCATATGCATTACCTCACATATTTATCGTATTTTGTGGTAAGAAGACTTAATATTTACTTTCTTAGTGAATTTCAAGTCCACAATACGGCCTCATTACCTACAGTCAAAGTGCTGCACGTTGGTGCTTCATGATGTATTCATCTTAGAAAGTTTGTAGCCTTCTGTTGTAATCCCCGTCTGAGCAGGGCCTGAGGTTTAGTGCGGGAGAGGAAGAGTGGTAGATCATGGAATCAAAGATGGGTGGAAACAAGTCACTTAGAGCAAATGAATGGGGAGTTAGTGGAAGGATTTTTTAAAAGTTGCCTGATTCACTTTACATTTTTAAAATTTATCGTCTCATGAATTCTCAGTTCAGCCTAGAATACTTTTCTCTGGCAAATGATATAAAATCTGTACACAAGAAAGACCCTCTCTAGTTCTCTCTGTGTGTTTTTTAACCACAAAAATGAAAAATGAAAACAAAGGGCATAGTTTTGCTTTTGTGAAATCAGGCCTTTGTGAGTTTTACTTCTGGCGCATTTGATCCCTTGTGGTTGACCCACTCATTCAGTCTCTTTGTAAAAGAGGTAATTTGAAACAAGGTAGTAAAGATTCTCAACAAGACAGATCCATTCTTTGTGCCCAGGTTCACGCTGGTTCAGCGTCTAGCCATTGAAATGGTTCTGCAAAGAACTGGGATTTTAAAAATTCTGTTGCTGAAATTTCCTGCTGCTTTTGACGAATCAGCTTAAATTCCTATTGTTTGTTTTTATAGTAATGTAGGCGACGGCAGTCTGGTTCTCTTTTAATTGTCTTCATTTCTGCCCTTATTTGAGTTGCAGCAAATCAGCGAAATGGTGTGATAATGACAATCCCAACAGCTTTCTCCCCTTGGCACACACTCTTCCTTTCCATTTTGTTAATCACAATCAGAATAATGCATCTGTTCGGAGGCCCCCTCTTCTATCAGATCTTAGAGCATGAAACAAAGAGGCCTGAAGATAGTCCGTGCTGCATATGTCTGATGCGATAAATTAAAAGAAAAATAACCGTCTGAGCAATTCAATCAAAACGGTGTCCCCTCTGCAATAATTGGGGCGCAAGAATTTCATAGCGTCTCCCTACCTTTCTTTTTGTAATGGGTCTATCAGACTCCAGGCGCGTGACTTGCTCAGGGTCTTTCAACAAGATTAAGAGTGAGGTGTTCATAGGAGAGCCGCCTTCTTCACGCTGAATGAAGGATCATTTTTTTCACAAGGGAATAATGCTTTTTGCTTTTTATTGAGAGGCACCTAGGCTTCTCTTTCTTCATCTGCCTCGCGTGAAGTATGAACAGCATCATTTCCAATCTCTTGCCCAGCTCTAACATATTTGAATCTTGCATGAGGTACATGTTTTATTAACGGGTTTGTTGACATGGTGGATATTAGCTTACTCATTCACGCATGGACGGTCAACATCCTGTGCGCCATTTAACCCAGAACCTTGGAGCTTACGTCGGTACATTACAAAGGTACTTGAAAATGGTGCAGGGATTGCTGCTTACTGACTTTCGCTCCAAAGATTTAACCACATTAGTTGGTGGCTTTCAGATAGACACAGACCCCAACAACATGACTCTTCTAAACAGCATCCTTCGTGTTTGTTTTCTCCCTTGGTGGGAGCAAGTTTGACCTTTGCAGCTTTTAGACTTGATAGAACATTAGTTCTTAACGTTATTCTGCAGTCAGTTGAAAAGCCTTTGTGAACAGTGAATGCTGAGGAGATAATGCCACAGCTGGGGACCCCAGGCAGGGGATGCACGGCAGGGGATCGTGATGTTTAATCTGGAGAGCAGGAGAGTTGTTCCATTGGGAAGTTCACGTTCACGATGCTGTCAGTGTCTCCTATTTGTCCTCCCCCTGTGTAAACTGGATTAGGAGTTCTGTGCCTCCCAAGGCCCACTTTGTCTTGGGGAGATTTACTCCTATCAGGAAAAAGAGATTGGGTGTTAGGAGAGGCTTTGTTGTCTGTCTCTTTAGCAACTGAATAGAGGAATTTAATCCTATTTGTGTCACCCGCTGTGACACTGAGACGTCACTAAACTGGAAAGTGATCTTTTATTGGTCTGTGATTGAGGTTGGTGGAAGGGACTTGGCAGGGTATGTCCTGGAAGCATGGGAGAGTTGATAGCATTAAGGAGCCGCCTCTTTGCTGAGTGGAGCTGTAAATGAAGGGAAGCAGCTCGCTGGGGAGTGTGGACCCACACAGGCCTTCCTGCAGACATTGTCTGTTCCATCCCTTTCCTCTTCCGTTCCTGTAGGCCTGGCCTATGGAGGCTGCCTATGGAAAGATCACATCCAGGCCGGAAGGGCCATGGGGGATTTTTAGTGGGGTTCAGAGACTGGCTTGGAACTTCCCATATAGCCTCTGAAGATAGGTTTTTGACCCTAGATCTGGAGCCCATGGTGTGCTGGTACATGTTTAATAAAAATTGGTTCTCACGCCCACATGGCTAATTTCAAACTACCGAGAGTTCAGCAGCTGACTTGCTAAATTCTTGAAGATTTTACAGTTGGCTTTTGCAAGCCAGTATGAACTAGTTCCAGGATACCACAGAATAGAACCAATATTGAGACACTTCCTAAGTTGCTTCTGCTTGCTAGAAACATTTAAGTGGATTTCGACTTGGTGTATTTTTCAGAAACCATTCAGATGCAAGTGACAGAAAACACAACTCAGACTATCTGAAACAGAAAGGGGGATTCGTTGCCTTTTTAACTACAAGGCTGAGGTACTCTGCCTTCTGTCTCAGCTGGACACACACAGTGTGAAATATGTCATCGAGACACCCTCTTTCCACAGCTTGCCTTATTTTATTTTGTGTTGATTTCACTCTTGGGCAGACTTGCCCTCATGATATCAAGATGACAGTCAACTTCAGGATGACCTCCATCCTCCCAGCAACTTCAGCATAAAACCAAGAGAATGTTTCCGAAGAATTTCTGACTTCACTCTCACGGGATTTGAAAAGGAGCATGGGCGCACCTGGAACGAATCACTGTTTAGTTCCATATTAATTTTCTCTGGCTTAAGGCCCACATTGAAATTGCAGGTGTGGTGAACAATAGATTTCTGCTACCCCTCAGTCAGCAGGCTAATTCCAAAGGGAAATGGGCACATTTCACAGGACCAGGATTTCTGGGACAGAAGCCTCATTAGCATTTGAGCGACTCTGCCTGCTGTCTGTGTCTCTCTCCACAGGTGTTCTAATGTCAGCTCTGATACCAATGGTGTGTCCTGCGATTCAATGCAATTCTGACACTGACCACCTAGAGTTAGTGCAGACCCCGTGGGTTAATGGCTGGGTCCCCAACAAGACTTCCTTCACTCCAGATGCCAGCTGTAGGGGGCGAGGGGCTTTGTCCATTGATTCCCTCTATTTTAAGGTTATACCCTTAACCAAACCTGAGCCAAAATACCCAAGGTACCTGCACTTCTGTCCAACGTGCCTACACATTTTGGGGTTCCTACAACCTCTCTTTAGGTTCAATAAAGCAGCCCACAGAAGCCACCAAAAGCATGCTGTGCTTCTGATTACAGTTTTCTGATAAAGGATTTAACTCAGGAAGCGCCACATGGAGGAGATAGCTAGGGCAGTTTCTGGGGTATGGATGGGAGGGATGCCGAGCTTTTGCGCTCTCTCCTCATGGAATCCAGGGCATCATGCTCAACACATTAAGATGTTCACCACCAGGAAGCTCTGCTGAGCCTGCAGTCCAGAGTTTTATGTGGGGTTTCATTATGTAAGGGCAGTCGATGAAATCACTGTGGCCTTCCTCAGGGGTTTGGGGAGTGGAACTGTAAACCCATGCATGGTCTTTGTGGTGCTGTCAGCCCCTCCCTTGAAATTATCTAAGGGTTCACCCATGAGTCACCTCCTTAGCATAAACCCAGGCGTGGCTGGCATGGTGGCTCATGCCTGTAATCTCAGCACCTTGAGAGGCTGCTGTGGGTGGATCTCTTGAGCCCAGGGGTTCTAGACCAACCTGGGCATTATGGCAAAACCATGTCTCTACAAAAAATACAAAAATTAGCTGGGCATGGTGGCATGCACCTGTAATCCCAGCTACTCGGGAGGCTGAAGGATTGCTTGAGCCCAGGAGTTCGAGGCTGCAGTGAGCCATGATCACACCTCTGCACTCCAGCCTGGGTGACAAAACAAACAAACGAAACCCAGGTGTGGTGGAAAGAGGCTCCTCATGAATACCAAGAACACATCACTCAGGAAGTGCCAGGGGTTTCTAAAGCTCTCTGCTGGGAACCAGTGACAAGGAGCTGATCTGTTCTGTATGATATCAGTCAACAAGTGGATGTGGCTCTAGAGATGTCTAGATGGAGACATGCATATTCATGTGTATGATACTGTGCAATGACCCATTGGCAGAACGGTTATCATTAACCATCTAAACCTCCTCTTACGTAAATCTCCACTTGATACTGCAGAGTTCAAGAAGCGCCATCAAGATAATTGCTCCTAACTCAGACAAAAAAAGGATTTTTATGACTCCTTAGGAAAATACTTTTTGTTGTTCACTTTCCAGACAGTGCTCTGTATTCGTGGGTTCTGCATCTGCAGAGTCAACCAACTTCAGATTGAAAATATTCAGGAAAAACCCACAAACAATAAAAATAACAATATAACAATAAAAATGCAAATATGAAAGCAATACGGCGTAACAACCACTTAAATAGCATTTACATTGTGTTTGGTATTATGAGTAACCTAGAGATGATTTAAAGTATTCAGGAAGATGTGCATAGGTTATATGCAAATACTATTTCATTTGATATCAGGAATTGAGCATCCGAGGATTTTGGTATCCATGGAGGTCCTACCACCAATGCCCCCAGGTATGCCAAGGGATTGAAGCTGAAAATGCAGGTAATTTCACAACTTGTTGCTCGTTTTCACTGGGTGTCTGGTGGCTTCAATGCCTGTGCCCCAAGAAGAACATGCTTTGTCTAAACCAAAGCTGAGAAATTCAAAGATATTTACGCACCAGGAATGCAGCTTAATATGGGAATCAGCTGGGCATAAGACAATGTATAATGGGGTGCAGTGGGAACCCCAGATTCCTGTGCTGCCTGAAGACATTCATATTAAAAAAAAAAAAACACAAAGCAAAATAAAAACACAGTGGCTGAGGAACCGGTTCTAAGGGCCAGATATGATGAAAACCCAGCCAATTTGCAACCCACAGATGCTAAGCAGAGTTCAGATTCTTGGAGGTCTGCGGCTGGGGTTGAGTCTGTTATGCGAAGCTGGTTTTCTCTTTCCTGGATGTCCGTCTTCTTGCCCTGTTCCCTGCCTGGTGATTGCCAGATGAGGCACCTCCGAACCTGGCTCCTTCTGCTGCATGGTAGCCAAAACACCCTGGGGGCAGGGTGGGAAGAGAGGCCGCGTTCCTTGCATCGCAAGCAGCTGGACAGTGAACTTCTAGAAGAACAGCTTGTCCCGGCCCTAGAAAGCCAGTTCTGCAGTCCCACACTTTTGAAACACCTGCTGTTTGACTTGAAGCACCTGAATGTGCAGATGGCACCTGCTTACAGGGGTACAGGGCATAGAGAATGGGTTGAATCAACTCAGGTGCTGCTGCTGCATGAAATTGTGCAGATGGAGTTGACTTGACCACAGCGGCTGACACAGGAAGCCTCGACTCACGATTATGTCTTCTAGGGGGTTCAGCTGGAGGCTGTAATATGGCTTGTCATCGTGCATGGAAGATATACTTGAGCAAATCCTAATACGTTATTTACTACAAGTTAGTATTGATTTAGAAAAAATTTAAATCAATTTTGTTGTGGTATAATTAGCATATCATAAAATGTACCCGTTTCAAGTATATAGTTATTGGCTTTTTGGACAGATGTATGTACCATATAAACGCTGTCTCATGTGTGTACCATAGAAATGCTGTCTCATGTGTGTTCCCTAGAAACGCTGCCTCATGTACCATAGAAACGCTGCCTCATGTGTGTACCATACAAATGCTGTCTCGTGTGTGTACCATGGAAACACTGCCTCATGTATGTACCATAGAAATGCTGTCACATGTGTGTACCATACAAATGCTGTCTCAAGTGTACCATAGAAATGCTGCCTCATGTGTGTACCATAGAAACGCTGTCTCATGTGTGTACCATAGAAACGCCACCTCATGTATGTACCATAGAAACGCCGCCTCATGTGTGTACCGTACAAATGCTGTCTCATGTGTACCATAGAAACACTGCCTCGTGTGTACCATAGAAACGCTGTCTTAGTAGAGACACAGACATTTCCATTGCCCTAGAAGTTTCTTCTGCTCCTTTTCCAGCAACCCCAACCCATCTCTGGCCCCTGTCAACTGTTGTTTTTCACTAGGTTAGTTTTGGCTTAAATATATACCTTTTAAAATTTATTTTAGCTTTTAAGCTTTATTGAGGTAAAATTGACAAAAATTGTATCTATTGAAGATGTACAATTTGATGATTTGCTGTATGTATACATTGTGAAATTGTCACCACGGTCAAGCTAGTTCACATTATCCCTTTCTACAGTGACGGTTTTCTTTGTTTTACTTTCTCTTTTTATGAGGAAAACACTGAAGATTTATCCTCTCAGTACATTTCAAGGACACTATACAGAATTATTAATTTTAGTCCTTCTGCGGTTCATTCGAACTCTAGAACTTGCTCATCTGGCATAATAGAAGGTTTTCCCTTTTTCATCAGCATCTCCCTATTCTCTCACCAGTGTTGCTGAGCCCTGGCAACTACCATTTTACTCTGCTCCTCTGAGTTTAGCTTTTTTAGATTCTGCATGTGAGTGAGATCATGTGGTTTCTGTGCCTGGCTTATTTCACTTAACTTCGTGTCTTTCAGTGTCATGTATATATTGTTGCAAATGGCAGGATTTCTTTCTTTCTTTTTCTTTTTTTGAGACAGAGTCTGGCTCTGTCACCCAGGCTGGAGTGCAGTGGCATGATCTTAGCTCACTGCAACTTCTGTCTCCCAGGCTCAAGCCATCCTCCTGCCTCAGCCTCCCATGTAGCTAGGACTACAGGCACATACCACCGTGCCCAGCTAATTTCTGTATTTTTTTTTTGTAGAGACAGGGTTTTGGGGTTTTTCCGTGTTGCCCAGTCTGGTCTCCAACTCCTGAGCTCAGGCCATCTGCCTGCCTCAGCTTCGCAAGGTGCCGGGATTACAGGCATGAGCCACTGTGCCTGGCTGGATTTCTTTTTTAAGACTAAGTAATATTCCATGTATATATACACCCCACATTTTCTGTATCCATTCGTTCATTAATGGACACATAGGCTGACTCATCTTGGCTATTGTGAATCCCCCTGCATGATGAGCAGAAGTTCTGAACATGGGAGTTCAGATGTCTGTGCAAGGTGCTGACTCATTTTCTTTGGATATATACCCAGAGTGGGATTGCTAGATCATATGGGAGTTCTATTTTTAATATCTCGAAGAGCCTACGTACTGTTTGCCGTAATGGCTTTACCAACTTACATTCCCACCCACAGTGTGCCAGGAGTCTCTCTTTTCTACATCCTGTCCAACACTCATTTTTCTTTTTTTTTTTAATATATTTTTATTATACTTTAAGTTCTAGGGTACATGTGCACAACATGCGGGTTTGTTACATATGTATACATGTGCCATGTTAGTGTGCTGCACTCATTAACTCGTCATTTACATTAGGTATATCTCCTAATGCTATCCCTCCCCCCTCCCCCCACCGCACAACAGGCCCCGGTGTGTGATGTTCCCCACCTTGTGTCCATGTGTTCTCATTGTTCAATTCCCACCTATGAGTGAGAACATGCAGTGTTTGGTTTTTTGTCCTTGCGATAGTTTGCTGAGAGTGATGGTTTCCTGCTTCATCCATGACCCTACAAAGGACATGAACTCATCATTTTTTATGGCTGCATAGTATTCCATGGTGTATATGCTAACACTCATTTCTCATCTTTTTGATAATAGCCATCCTAACAGGTGTGAGGTAATATCTCATTGTGGTTTTGATTTGCATTTCCCTGGTGAATAGTCATGTCGAACCCTTTTTCATATACTTCTTGGCCATTTGTGTGCCATCTTTTGAGAATAAGCATACAGTTTTAAACCCAGGGGGTGTGGAGTAAAACCACAGCAGTGTGAGAGGAAAACCAAACCAAAACAAACACCAAACTTAACGATGTCTTAGTCGTTAGGCACACGATCTGAGACAGCCAGACAACCCCAGACCTATAGCACTGCAAGAGAGTCACACCACGATGTAGCTCTGGAGCCTGACTTCTGGTTCAAATCCAGGCTTCTTGACTCATTAGTCCCGTGACCACTGCCTTCACTGTACCCCTGTTCCCTTGCCTGCTGAATGCAAGTTATAAAATACCTCCATCATGGGACTGCAAGAATTAAGTGACATAATATCCATCAGGCATGTAGACCAGTGCCGGGCATAGAGGATGCCCAAGCAGTCATCAGTTGCGATGCGTTCAGTATATTCCGTGTGTCAGACTGAACACCCTTGCTCCCCACAGTTCATTCTTCACACAACAGCCAGGATGCTTAAAATACAGAAGTCAGACCATTGCACTCACAATGAAACCCAGATTCCCTCCATGCCTGCTCATTGCAAGACGTAATCACTCCTGTCTCTTGGAGTGTTCGTAGAACTGTTGAGCAGAAGTTGTATGATTGCAGGCTCCGTGATGAGCTCACACGGAGTTTGGAGGGAACTCACTGCTGTGGACCCATCTTGCACAACCAAGCCTTTGTGTAATTGGTTGTGACCATAGTAGTAGGATTGTGTTTACTCATATTCTCCTGGTATTCTCCCTTCTGCTCTCTATGCTCCAGCCACACCGGACATTATTCTGTTCATGGAACCCCTGCCTCCAAGTTCATTTCCTTCTCTGCAGTTCCCTCTGCCTGGAACTCTGTCCTGCAGGCTTCTGCACCATTGCAGAGCTACCCCTCAGCACTCCAGTGCCAGCAGACTGTCACCAATGAGAGAGGTCGCCTCCACCCAGCCTGCTCACAGGGGTTTCCAGTGCATCACTTTTACGGCACTTACCTCCACCTCAGCTCATCCTGGGCATTTATTTGTGTGTCTGCTTATTATCTGGATTTCCAACTTTTTCCACTGGAAAATAAGTTCTGACATTGGAGGCTCCATGATGAGCATAAGTTCTGTGATTACAGGCTTCATGATGAGCTCACATAGAGTTTGGATGGAGCTCACTTCTGTGGACCCATCTTGCACGACTGAACCTTGTCTAATTGGTTGTGGCCACTTTAAGACCTAGCCATTGCACTCAGAGGACACGGACTATCTAGAGTACTATGTGAGAGACAGTGCAGAGCATGCTGAATGTACAGTGTCAGGGGGCATTGAGTACCTAATGACAGACATCCAACCCAAACTTACTTCAGGTAACAATGCAGGTGGCAAGGGGATTTATTGGCCCAAACAAGTAAGAATGTCAGAATAACCTTCAGGCGTAGCTTGATCCAGGGACCCAACATCAGTGCCACTAGTCTGTCCCCATCTCTTGTCTCTGCTGTCCTCGGGAGTGGCTTCCTTCTCAGGCAGTCTCCTTATGTGGTGGCTTCCAGCAGGTCTCCAATTACATCCTCCAAACTTCAGGTTCAGCAGGAAAAACACCTTATCTTTTTCAGTGGTCAAAATAAACAGCCACTCCTTGAGTCTTATGGGTCTGCCTGTGGGCATGTGTATTAATCAATTGCTATAAAACAGACTACCCCAAAACTCTGATAGTGACTTAAAGCAGGATAGTTACATATGATTTTGCTGTTTCTATAGGAGAGAAATTCAGACGCAGCCCTGTGGGGCTGGTTTGTCTTTGCTTCATGATGTCTGGGGCCTCTGCTGAGAGATTCCAAGGCTGACGTCTGGAATCATCTCAAGGCCTGACAGGGGCTGGAGAATCCAGTTCTAAAGTGGTTTGCTCAAATGGCTGATGCTTTGGTTTTAATTCTCTCCACCTGGACCACTCTGCGGGGCTGCTTGAGTCTCCTCACAAGATGGCGCTGGCTTCCCCCAGAGAGTAAGATAGGAGTGGCAGTGCTTTTTATGCCCCACCTTTGGAACTCACATTCTGTCATCTCAGCTACATGCTGTTCTTTAGAAGTGAACTAGCAGGTCCAGCCCTCACTGGTGCTAGTGGTAGCGCAATTGGGCTCACACTTTAAAGGGATGAGTGATAAAAAGTTTTTCAGACTTATTTTAAAACCCACCATATCCCTAAACTTATCATTGCTGTTAGAGGGATAAACTCTGCCGACTGATGAGGCTATATTAGTTCTTGTGGGCAGTTACCAGAAAATGGCAGAAAAGATTCCTGTTACAATTTCCTCCCCTGCCCCCCCCAAAAAAACAAAAACAGAAACAAACAATACCTAGATGTTCTGATGCTAGCATTTCATGTATTAAAATATCGTGGGGATATAAGACTACACAGAAATCTTGCTTCTTTTCTGGGGAGGACAGCTGATTTTACCCCAATCCCAATGTTTTTGAATTCTTATTTTCTATCAGCCCTTAGGACACAAGCTTTATACGGAGGGTAATACTAGCAAGGCTTACTAATATTTTGCTTGAATGGGAGATTTTAAGGCCTGCTTTAGCAAAGTTGATATTTTAAAAAGCATCATTATAAGGTAGAAAAATTAAGGTGTATGAAAAAACAGAATTCTTCATTTTACAAAAGAGCTGACCAACAGTGAACTTAAAAATACCAGACTCGCCGTGTTAATGTGAGATGCTGTACACTTTGCACCCTGGTCTCTGCACCCATAACTGTGCAGGGAGCAGGTGTACTCTTTGATTCCCTTGGGAAGAACATGGTTTTGCATCTGGAAAACCTATTAGTTTCCATCGGGGCTGGGGGTGGGGGTGGCTGGCTAGCTGATTCCTTAGCACTGTCCACAAATCCATGCCTCCCTGTTCTGTAAAGGCTTCACAATGCTCTAAGACAGACACCAAGGTCTGTAATTTATACTTTTGCCCAAGCTAAAAATTATAGTGACTTTAATGTGACACAGCCCACATTTGTCTGATAACCGGCCTGTTCCCAATTCCAAGCCCAAGCTCCTCCACAATTTTCAATGCCTCGGTTCTCTGAATGAATTGATGAATGGCCTTAAGTTCCCATTTACATCTGCCCTGGAATCCCTCCCTCGCTGAGGAAGGCGGAACTGCACCAGCCAGGGCCGTTCAGTTCCATCAACATGCAAAGCATGTTGTGATGTGTTTCTGTTCTGTGGCTGAGCTGCTATAGCTTTTTTTTTTTTTAACTAAGCTCATCTTGATGCTTCTTAAACATCAAGCTTTTAGCCTAGGCTGTGTCAGCTTTCAGTCGTGTTTTTATTTTATTACAATGGAATGGTTTTATCCAACATGGGGGTAAATGGCTTGGCTAAGTGCTTTTGAAGCCCAGACTCATTCTCTACTTATACTTGTGTCCGCTCTTAATGGAATTCAAATAAACAGTCCTCCAGCATGAAAGGCACTCTATTAGATTTATTTCTAAATTCTTTTAAGGATGTCAACATGCAGCCCTTGGATGTGATGGGAGAGGCATAGCTGATCAACCCCCATGGCTGCCGTGAATTAGTCTGAACCTATTGGAAATGGAAAGTTCAGAGAGCACAGATGGAAAAGATTGAACTAGTGGCTCAGAGTGAATTGAAAGGGCAGGTTTGCTCTGTGCAGAGAGACACCTGTGCAGTGGAGTGTCAGCAAACACACAGCCCCCTGGAAAACGCCTTCGCTCTTGGCTCCTGAAGGCTGGGTCTGCTTTCAGCATGGAAATCCTCAGCCAGCCCCAGCAAGGATTAATTTCCCGAAGTTTGAGGTTTCCACCTGATTTGAGGCTTGAAATTTAGAGTTGAGAGCATCTGTATTGTGTGGCTTCCTAAACCAGCCTTCAAAACCATTCTGTAACTGGCCAACAGGTTTATTTTTCCCACTTCCCAGACAGACCTGATTTATCACCACCGGGGAATTGCAAAGGAGAAAGAGTATCACACATGTAAAGCCAGCTAAACAGGAGACAGCAGCTTTATCATGACTCAGATGAGCTTCCCAGAGAATTTGGAGGCTAGGGTTTTTCAAGGATAGTTTGGTGGGCAGAGGACTAGGGAGGGGATGCTGCTGATTGGTTGTGGATGCAATTGTAGGTATATGACCCTTGTGTGTTGGGTGTGGCTACAGGAGCAGTTAAGTCAAGAGTCTTGGGTCTGGGTGGGGCCATCTGGTCATCAGAAATGCAAAAGCCTGAAAGGACATCTCAAAAGGCCAATCTTAGGTTCTACAGTAGTGATGTTATCTGCCAGAAATTGGGGAAGTTGCAAATCTTGTGACCTCCAGAATAATGGCTGGTAATCCTTTTTTTTTTTTTTTTCTTTGAGACAGAGTCTCTCTCTGTTGCCCAGGCTGGAGTGCAGTGGTGCAATCTTGGCTCATTGCAACCTTTGATTTCAAGTGATTCTCCTGCCTCAGCCTCCCTAGTAGCTGGGATTACAGGAGTGCACCACCATGACCGGCTAATTTTTGTATTTTTAGTAGAGATGGGGTTTCGCCATGTTGGCCAGGCTGGTCTCGAACTACTGTCCTCAGGTGATTCACCCACCTTGGCCTCCCAAATTGTTGGGATTACAGGCGTGAGCCACTGGGCCCAGCCTGGTAATCATTTAACTAAGCCTACATCTTAGCAGAATTCAGGCTCCTCTCATTTTCCTAACCTGGTGGGCTTTCATTGGTTTTACCGAGGAGGTTTAATTTTGGGGAAGGGCTATTGTCATTCCAACTATAAACTAAATTTCTCCCAAAGTTAGCTTGGTCCAAGCCCAGGAGTAACCAAGGGCAGTTTTGGAGGTTAAAGGTAAGGTGGGGGTTGGTTAGATCACATCCTCTATGTTTCTTATAATTTTCTCAAAGTTATCTATTTCTAACTGTTAAAATGTTTGCAAAAGTGGTTTCAACTCTGCAAGGCAGAGCATTTTTCATTTCATTCCACTGGAATGGTCACAGATTTCTCAAAGTATAATTCTATAAAAAAGATTTTCAGAAAGCGTTTCAAAAGGTTAAAAACATAACATAGTGAAGGAGATTCCAATAATTGCTTCATTTGTTGATAAGCAAACTGATATGGTTTGGCTGTGTCCCCACCCAAATCTCATCTTGAATTGTAGTTCCCATAATCCCTATGTGTCATGGGCGGGACTAGGTGTCTATAATTGAATCATGGAGGCAGTTTCCCCAATCCTGTTCTTGTGATACTGAGTAAGTTCTCATGAGATCAGATGATTTTATAAGGGGCTTCCCTCTTTGCTCAGCTCTCATTCTTCTTTCTCCTGCTGCCCTGTGAAAAAGGACACGTTTGCTTCCCCTTCTTTCATGATTGTAAGTTTCCTGAGGCCTCCCCAGCCCTGCAGAACTGTGAGTCAATTAAACCTCTTTCCTTTATATATATTACCCAGTCTCGGATATGTTTTTATAGCAGCGTGAGAATGGACTAATACAGAAGCCAACAAGATGACATAGCTAGATAAAATTAGGTTATGAGAAGTTTTATATATATACGCACATATGTATATATATTTATGCATACATATACACAGGGAAAAAGAACGCTTTAAGAGATTGAGAAGTTTGATGCAGACGAGTTTAATGCCCTGGGGCAATAGAACAGTCCCCTTTGAGGATTTCTTTTCTGTAAGACAGAAATTATTCCCATCTCTACTGGACAAAAGTCATTTGTAATGTATCAATCTACTCCAAGTTAACATCTAAATTGACAGAGTTTGGGCCCTGATCAATAGTAAATGGTATGTCAAATAAAGTTCTCTTTCCCTAGAGTCTCCCATGACATTTCAGTGGACTTGTCGAATGTTCTAGCATGATTTTGAAAGGGCATGCAGTAATCGTTTTGCCTTATTTCCAAGTTTTGCATAGTTTTTCTTAGCCAGTTGCATTCTCAAATGTCCACAGAGGCAGAGTGGGGCCGTGTTAGTCTAGGGTGTGCGTGTCCTGTCTAGGGGCAGCTGCTTCTCAATGCCAAGGGCAGTGTGAGTCCCCTGTGACCAGGACCCCAGAATTTCCATGAGAAAGTATAAATGCACATTTTTATGTGAAATGTTCTGTATGAGTCAGGGTTCTCCAGAGGGACAGAACTAACAGGGGAGATGTATACATGAAAGGGAGTTTATTAGGGAGAATTGACTCGCAAGATCCAAGGCAAAGTCCCATGATAGACTGTCTGCAAGCTGAGGAGCAAGGAAGCCAGTAGTGGCTCGGTCTGATCACAAAACCTTAAAAGCAGGGAGGCCGACAGTGCAACCACCAATCAGCCTGTGGCCAAAGGCCCCAGAGCCCCCAGCAAACCACTGGTGTAAGTCCAAGAATCCAAAGGCTGAAGAACCTGGAGTCTGGGGCAGGAAGCATCCAGCATGGGAGAAAGATGAAGGCCAGAAGATTCAGGAACCCAGCTTATCCCACCCTCTTTGCCTGCTTTTTTCTAGCCGCGTTGGCAGCTGATTGGTTGGTGCCCGCCCACACTGAGGGTGGGTCTGCATCTCCCAGTCCATTGACTCAGTTGTTCATCTTCTCTGGCAACACCCTCACAGACACACCCAGAAATGATACTTTACCAGCTATGCAAAGTATTATAGGCATCCTTCAATCACGTTGACATCCAATATTAACCATCACATGTTGTAATTTTAAAATATTGGCAATTAATTCAGTGAAAAGAAAAGAGAACACTGTCTTAATCATTTTGAGCCGAGTATGTTGGTGCAAAAGTAATTGCGGTTTTTGCTATTACGTTTAATGGCAAAGCTGCAATTACTTTTACACCAACCTAATAAAATTCCATAGATGGGTGGCTTATAAACAGCAGGGGTCTATGTCTATGGTTCTCGACCACAGTCTCTATCCTGGATTCCAGGATCAAGGCAGCTGCAGATTCAGTGTCTGCTGGGAACCTGGTTTCTGGTTCGGAGATGGCACCTTCTCACCGTGTCCTCACGTGGTGGAACGGATGAACACCCTCCCGCAGGACTCTTTTGTAAGGGCACCCATCCCGTTCCCCCGGACTCCGTTACAAGGGCACCCATCCCGTTCCCCCGGACTCCGTTACTAGGGCACCCATCCCGTTCCCCCGGACTCCAAGGGCACCCATCCCGTTCCCCCGGACTCCAAGGGCACCCATCCCGTTCCCCCGGACTCCGTTACAAGGGCAGCCATCCCATCCCCCGGACTCTGTTATAAGGGCACCCATCCCGTTCCCCCGGACTCTGTTACAAGGGCACCCATCCCGCTCCCCCGGACTCCGTTACAAGGGCACCCATCCCGTTTCCCCGGACTCCGTTACAAGGGCACCCATCCCGTTTCCCCGGACTCCGTTACAAGGGCACCCATCCCGTTTCCCCGGACTCTGTTACAAGGGCACCCATCCCGTTTCCCCGGACTCTGTTACAAGGGCACCCATCCCGTTTCCCCGGACTCTGTTACAAGGGCACCCATCCCGTTTCCCAGGACTCTGTTACAAGGGCACCCATCCCGTTTCCCCGGACTCTGTTACAAGGGCACCCATCCCGTTCCCCCGGACTCTGTTACAAGGGCACCCATCCCGTTCCCCTGGACTCCGTTACAAGGGCACCCATCCCGTTCCCCTGGACTCCGTTACAAGGGCACCCATCCCGTTCCCCTGGACTCCGTTACAAGGGCACCCATCCCGTTCCCCCGGACTCTGTTATAAGGGCACCCATCCCGTTCCCCCGGACTCCGTTACAAGGGCACCCATCCCGTTCCCCCGGACTCTGTTATAAGGGCACCCATCCCGTTCCCCCGGACTCTGTTACAAGGGCAGCCATCCCGTTCCCCCGGACTCCGTTACAAGGGCACCCATCCCGTTCCCCTGGACTCTGTTACAAGGGCACCCATCCCGTTTCCCCGGACTCTGTTACACCCATCCCGCTCCCCCGGACTCTGTTATAAGGGCACCCATCCCGTTCCCCCGGACTCCGTTACAAGGGCACCCATCCCGTTCCCCCGGACTCTGTTACAAGGGCACCCATCCCGTTCCCCCGGACTCTGTTACAAGGGCACCCATCCCGTTCCCCCGGACTCTGTTACAAGGGCACCCATCCCGTTCCCCCGGACTCTGTTACAAGGGCACCCATCCCGTTCCCCCGGACTCTGTTACAAGGGCACCCATCCCGTTCCCCCGGACTCTGTTACAAGGGCACCCATCCCGTTCCCCTGGACTCCGTTACAAGGGCACCCATCCCGTTCCCCTGGACTCCGTTACAAGGGCACCCATCCCGTTCCCCCGGACTCTGTTATAAGGGCACCCATCCCGTTCCCCCGGACTCCGTTACAAGGGCACCCATCCCGTTCCCCCGGACTCTGTTATAAGGGCACCCATCCCGTTCCCCCGGACTCTGTTACAAGGGCAGCCATCCCGTTCCCCCGGACTCCGTTACAAGGGCACCCATCCCGTTCCCCTGGACTCTGTTACAAGGGCACCCATCCCGTTTCCCCGGACTCTGTTACACCCATCCCGCTCCCCCGGACTCTGTTAT
Organism: Homo sapiens; assembly: GCF_000001405.40. NCBI lineage: Eukaryota > Metazoa > Chordata > Mammalia > Primates > Hominidae > Homo > Homo sapiens. The sequence continues at coordinate 129,857,571 of NC_000012.12, read as the reverse complement.
AAGGGCACCCATCCCGTTCCCCTGGACTCCGTTACAAGGGCACCCATCCCGTTCCCCTGGACTCCGTTACAAGGGCACCCATCCCGTTCCCCCGGACTCTGTTATAAGGGCACCCATCCCGTTCCCCCGGACTCCGTTACAAGGGCACCCATCCCGTTCCCCCGGACTCTGTTATAAGGGCACCCATCCCGTTCCCCCGGACTCCGTTACAAGGGCACCCATCCCGTTTCCCCGGACTCTGTTACAAGGGCACCCATCCCGTTCCCCCGGACTCCGTTACAAGGGCACCCATCCCGTTCCCCCGGACTCCGTTACAAGGGCACCCATCCCGTTCCCCTGGACTCCGTTACAAGGGCACCCATCCCGTTCCCCCGGACTCTGTTATAAGGGCACCCATCCCGTTCCCCCGGACTCTGTTACAAGGGCACCCATCCCGTTCCCCCGGACTCCGTTACAAGGGCACCCATCCCGTTCCCCCGGACTCTGTTACAAGGGCACCCATCCCGTTCCCCCGGACTCCGTTACAAGGGCACCCATCCCGTTCCCCTGGACTCCGTTACAAGGGCACCCATCCCGTTCCCCCGGACTCTGTTATAAGGGCACCCATCCCGTTCCCCCGGACTCCGTTACAAGGGCACCCATCCCGTTCCCCCGGACTCTGTTATAAGGGCACCCATCCCGTTCCCCCGGACTCTGTTACAAGGGCAGCCATCCCGTTCCCCCGGACTCCGTTACAAGGGCACCCATCCCGTTCCCCTGGACTCTGTTACAAGGGCACCCATCCCGTTTCCCCGGACTCTGTTACACCCATCCCGCTCCCCCGGACTCTGTTATAAGGGCACCCATCCCGTTCCCCTGGACTCCGTTACAAGGGCACCCATCCCGTTCCCCTGGACTCCGTTACAAGGGCACCCATCCCGTTCCCCCGGACTCTGTTATAAGGGCACCCATCCCGTTCCCCCGGACTCCGTTACAAGGGCACCCATCCCGTTCCCCCGGACTCTGTTATAAGGGCACCCATCCCGTTCCCCCGGACTCCGTTACAAGGGCACCCATCCCGTTTCCCCGGACTCTGTTACAAGGGCACCCATCCCGTTCCCCCGGACTCCGTTACAAGGGCACCCATCCCGTTCCCCCGGACTCCGTTACAAGGGCACCCATCCCGTTCCCCTGGACTCCGTTACAAGGGCACCCATCCCGTTCCCCCGGACTCTGTTATAAGGGCACCCATCCCGTTCCCCCGGACTCTGTTACAAGGGCACCCATCCCGTTCCCCCGGACTCCGTTACAAGGGCACCCATCCCGTTCCCCCGGACTCTGTTACAAGGGCACCCATCCCGTTCCCCCGGACTCCGTTACAAGGGCACCCATCCCGTTCCCCCGGACTCCGTTACAAGGGCACCCATCCCGTTCCCCTGGACTCCGTTACAAGGGCACCCATCCCGTTCCCCCGGACTCTGTTATAAGGGCACCCATCCCGTTCCCCCGGACTCTGTTACAAGGGCACCCATCCCGTTCCCCCGGACTCCGTTACAAGGGCACCCATCCCGTTCCCCCGGACTCTGTTACAAGGGCACCCATCCCGTTCCCCCGGACTCCGTTACAAGGGCACCCATCCCGTTCCCCTGGACTCCGTTACAAGGGCACCCATCCCGTTCCCCCGGACTCTGTTATAAGGGCACCCATCCCGTTCCCCCGGACTCCGTTACAAGGGCACCCATCCCGTTCCCCCGGACTCTGTTACAAGGGCACCCATCCCGTTCCCCCGGACTCCGTTACAAGGGCACCCATCCCGTTCCCCCGGACTCCGTTACAAGGGCAGCCATCCCGTTCCCCCGGACTCCGTAACAAGGGCACCCATCCCGTTCCCCTGGACTCTGTTACAAGGGCACCCATCCCGTTCCCCCGGACTCCGTTACAAGGGCACCCATCCCGTTCCCCCGGACTCCGTTACAAGGGCACCCATCCCGTTCCCCCGGACTCCGTTACAAGGGCACCCATCCCGTTCCCCCGGACTCTGTTACAAGGGCACCCATCCCGTTCCCCCGGACTCTGTTACAAGGGCAGCCATCCCGTTCCCCCGGACTCTGTTATAAGGGCACCCATCCCGTTCCCCCGGACTCTGTTATAAGGGCACCCATCCCGTTCCCCCGGACTCCGTTACAAGGGCACCCATCCCGTTCCCCTGGACTCCGTTACAAGGGCACCCATCCCGTTCCCCCGGACTCTGTTATAAGGGCACCCATCCCGTTCCCCCGGACTCTGTTACAAGGGCACCCATCCCGTTCCCCCGGACTCCGTTACAAGGGCACCCATCCCGTTCCCCCGGACTCTGTTATAAGGGCACCCATCCCGTTCCCCCGGACTCTGTTACAAGGGCAGCCATCCCGTTCCCCCGGACTCTGTTATAAGGGCACCCATCCCGTTCCCCCGGACTCTGTTACAAGGGCAGCCATCCCGTTCCCCCGGACTCTGTTATAAGGGCACCCATCCCGTTCCCCGGACTCTGTTCCCTGATTGTCTTGCATAGGGCTCTCCGTCTAATAGCATCACCTCGGTTAAGATCTCAGCATTAATTTGGGGGAGGGGCATAAACATCCAGTCATTGCAAATACCATGTGGGCAAACAAAGTAGGTCCAAGGTTGCTGGATGGTGCCTTCTGAAAAGTCATCTGGTAGACCGAGGCTGTTTCAGTAAGGCAGCACAGTCAGGAGGGAGGGAGTCTCCAGCCAGATGGCTCGGCTCAGATCCCAGCTCTGGTGCTTGCTAGCTGTGTGAAGATGAGCTGGGATTTTATCTAACTGTGTCTCATTTCCATATCTTTAAAATGGGTGCTAGCACAACACCTACCTCATCCACTTAGGAGGAGCTGATGAGTATCAACGATCCAGAGAGTTCCTGGCCCGCAGCTGGCACACAGTCCACGTTACTGTCAGACAGTGGGGAGAAAAGAGTTTCCTCATTCTCCTGGTGGGCCGTTCTCATTGCAATGTTGCTTTTGTTCCACAAGGTCAGTTTTTTTCTCACTCTTTCATGAGACTATTTTTAGAAAACTCAATCCATTTCAGTGCTCTTCCCGAAGAACTGTGGGGAATTGTGGGGAATGATTTTCTTGCCCCACTTGGCGATCAGAGCTTGACATCCCACTCGTGAGCATTGACTGTGTGCCGAGTTCTGGGGCTGAATCCTGCTCCTCTGACTTCCTTGGCCTGTGACATTGGCCCTGTGTCACATTTCCTTTTCTGTACAATGAGGTGATGGTCAAGCCTGCCTCAGAGGCCGGGGTGAGAATTTCAAGAGTGAAATTTGGAAACAGCTAAGGACAGTGCCTGGGACATAGTGAAAGTTCAGTGATAGCTGAACGTTTTGTGTCCCCAGGGACCACTGTTTAAGCCTTAACCACCTCCCACTTTATTCCCCACGTTAAGCATTGTGCACTTAGAACAGCCAGTGACGTAACATGGGAAACGTGGGGTGAAAGTGACGAGGACTGCCATGGGCATTAGTAGTATCCCCGCCTCGAGTTACCAAAGAGGAAACGGAGGCCCATCCCCCCAAGGTGGCTTTTCTTTGCGTTATTGCATTGCTTTTCCAGCCTGCCCAGAACTTTGATCCAGCACTCTGTTACCTGGAAACTTCTGTGTGTTTCTTGACTTGCAGTAGGTTCAGTCCTGTTGCCTGTGGGGGGATGGAGTGGAGTTGCGTGATGAGTGTATTGCAGTAAACTTATGAGTCAAACCTAAGACTCCCCTCTCCCCTAGAACACATCCTCCACTCCCTGGAAGATGCAACTCCTACGGAAACTGAGTCCAATGATCAAAGGCACTGGCATTCAGAGGGGACCCACTGATAATTGCCGACTACACAGGAGCTGTCTTCCATAACTCCTCAGAGAGCACGTTGGCCCTACAAATGCAAATCCAACATTCAGCCACGACCTCCCATGTGCCAAGTGTCATGGGATTCATGCTTTCAAACCATCGGTTCCAGTTAAGACTCATATAATGAAACAGATGGGTTCACATGATTTTAGTTTATATGGGAAGAAGCTTTAGACTAAAGCAGAGGGAGGTAAACTTACAGGCAAGCAGGAAGGCTTGAAGGCTTGAGTGTTCTTGGAGGCTCACGGCTGGGTGCAGGCTGACCTTGGGTGAGAGCCCTCGTTCATTGCCCCGTGACACTGTCCTTCCTGTGTTTTCAAACGGCCTCTTGTTCCTGGTCAATATCCTCTGCGCTTCTCTTTGGGGATTTAGGACACCACGACATTCTCTTCATTGTCCAAGGAAACCATTCTCCTCATCTAGAAACATCATCGATTTCTGAAGTTAAATTGAGACCAGAGTGGATTCTGCACATCAGTCTCTCCCCTTTCCCTCTGTGACTGTGGACTCTGGGAGGGTTGAAGGGAGGTGGTGCCAATGGCAAAGACATGCTCTGATGGTGCGGCTTTTCCACAGGCCTTTCTTAAGCTGTGACTGGGTCTCAGATCTTTCTTCAGACCTGAGGGATGTTTAGAGTGGAGGATGTTTGCAACCATCAGTCTTCCGTCATGTTACACTGGAGTTTCGTGGCAGTGACGTGAATTAAAGAGTAATATTTTAGATTTGATATTTTATTGCTGCATAATTTATTATAATTTTTAGTGGTCAATCTCAGCATCCTGATTCAGCTTCAGAAAAGTTTGGAAAGTCTCCCAAAGAATGAGGAATGATTAGCCTACCACAGAATCTTCTTTTGGAGGCACAGTGAAAAGCGCATAAAACACAAATGACAGTTTATGACTTATGATAAAGCATTCCCTTGTATAAGCCTGATGCAGGGTCATGAATGAAACCTTGTCCTCACCCCTCGATGTCCTGCTTCCAAGATACCACTCCTTCCCCATCTCCAGAGATCACCCCTGATCTGACTGCCATGGGAATCTCTGCCCCCTAAATACACAATAGGCTTGAGACCCACCCATTTTTAGAGTCTTTACAAAGAATTGGTTGTACATTGTTTTTTTTTATTTTTTATTTTTTTATTTTTAGACAGGGTCTTGCTCTGTTACCCAGGCTGGAGTGCAGTGGTGCGATCTCAGCTCACTTCAGCCTCAACCTGCCGGGCTCAAGCAATCCTCCCACTTCAACCTTATGAGCAGCTGTGACTACAGGCATGCATCACCAAGCCCAGCTAATTTTTGTATTTTTTGCAGAGACAGGGTTTCGCCATGTTGCCCAGGCTGGTCTCAAACTCCTGGGCTCAAGTGATCTGCCCGCCTCGGCCTCCCAAAGTGCTGGTATTACAGGTGTGAGCCACTGCGCCTAGCCTTGGTTGTGTATTTCTATGGATAAAAATATATACACTCAGCAAATAAAATAAAACTTGTAAACTCTTCTGCATCCTCTCTCCCCCTCCCCAGACCCTAGAAGTAACAGGTATTAGGAATTTGGCACAGCATTTTTCAGGCTTTACACATTTGCACAAGGCTTTTGTGTGAGGTTGTGCAGGTTGTGGGTGGCATGACATCAGTTGATGACTTCCACATAAACCAGGGGCTGCAAGCTGCAGCTCGAGGGTCAAGCCCAGCCTGCCACCTGTTCTTGTATGTTTTGTGAGTTTAAAAGTCTTTACATTTTTTAAATGGTTAAGAATTCAAAATAAGGTTTTACAATGTGAAAATTGCACAAAATTCCAATTATGGTGGGCAAACACAAAGTTTTATTAAAATATAGCCATACTCATACATTGGTGGCAGAATTGAGTAGTTGTGGCAAAGACCCTGTGGCTCACAAAGCCTAAAATATTGACTCTCTGGCCCTTTATGGAAAGTTTGCTGGCCCCTGACATAGACAGTGTTGCAGGCGTCTCCCTTGGAGTTTTGCAGTGTGCAGCATGCACTGCTGTAGGGAAGCAGTGCTGTAGGGAAGCAGTGCTGTGAACATGGGTGCACACATCACTTAAAAATAAAACAGTGTTAATGTGCTGTCATTCATTTTACTACTGCTAACACTTTGGTTGCCTTGAATTTTTCACTATTACAAATCATGCTGCAGTAAACATTCTTGTGCTTTTGTACAGCCCTTTGCATGTCACTACAGTTCCAATTATCTCCAACCTAGAGCAGTGTTAATGCTGGCGTGCGTACAATTTAATCAACATTGTGGCACCTTGTGGTAAATGAACAATTTTTCAATTTAATATTTATTATAGTAGCCTGCGAGAAGGAAATCTGTTCTGACTGGTTTAAAAGAGTCTCTATAATGAGCTAGGAGATTTTAAAATTCTAAATGTGAAAAGCAAGTCAACTAATTTACAAATAATTGGGAAACTATTCAGCATAAAGAAAATGTAGCTTTTCATGTGCTTGGATTAGCTGTATACGCAAATTAGATGCTGATGAACTTTCTAGAAGTCAGTTTTCCCTATGGATAGGAACATCTACCTGGCTACATCTGTGCTAGATATTTGGAGAGAAGCATTCAGAATGAAAGCTATATTTTCCGAGCTAATATTTGCATGAATATTGAGATGTCGTTCCCTTTTTGAAGTAAATATTGACCTCAGTTTCACCTTTATTTCTGTGTTCTGATCAACACACACCAATAACTGCTGATGACTGGATGTTCATCCTGGTGGAATCTGCTGGAACCAATAAAAAATGCCTAGCTGCTGTTATTTTTGGTGAGCTTTTTCTTTCAAAAGAATCTAATTTCTAAGAAAAGTATTTATTTTGTGTCCTCACATGGAAAAGTCCCCAGTGTGTGTGGCATTGCATAAATATGAATAAATCATCGTTGGTAACAATTAAAAGCATTTGTGCTAAACATGTAGCCTCAGCTTGTCCTCTCACTGGAAGATGCTGATGGATTTGCAGAAAGTTTCCTGATTGAATGATGCCAATTACTGATCTTTATTCAACTCTGGGAAGTATTGTAGAAAACGTCCTGATTCCTATAGAAGACATATGTATAAAATACCCTGTCCATACCTAGACCCCTGCAAGCAAACAAACCAAAGCAAAATAATGTTAACAACTACAGGAACCAACCCTCACCCACCCTGAGGCCCTTGAAGTGTGCATTGTGTACTTAGAGGAATCTTGATGTCGCCTTTGCTGACATTTTTGCCCCACCCACATCCCCTTAACATGTTTCATCTTTGCGTGGCCAAGTTTCCCGTGAACTTGGAACTAAGTGCCTGGTGCACATCCTCCGTGGGGGCAGGCCTGGCCCCAGTCAAAGACACATTTGTTAAAGGGCTCAGGGTTGAATTATGACTTGGGGGCCCTGTGGAGTGTTCTCCACCCAGAACTGGGAAGAACTCCCCTAGCTCCTTCCTCCTGTCTGTGAGTCACGTGTTCCTCGTCCTTCCAGATTGGAGCTTTGCAAAAATCAATGTGAGCACAGGAGACAGAGAGGAGAGAGAGAGATCCACCACTTCTTTCAGACTTGGGCCTTTCGCTTCCTCAGCTCTCCCACAAAATACCTTCAGAAAGAAACTAAGTCTAGGATCATAGTTTTCAAATCCACAAATATATGGGAATTCCACATTTCAGTGGAGGCTCTTACCAAATGGAAGACTATTGCTATATGCGTGAGCATTTTTCTCTTGCTGTTAAGAACTTATGCAAATATCCCCATCCATTTGACAAGACAGGCAGGCTGAGGTGGTGTGGAATGGTGGGAAGCCCCTGGGTATATTCAGGGGTCACGCAGCACCAAGATAAAACCTCGGCTCTGGTATTTATTATTGTTTAATCTGAACATTTTCTGATTCAACTCCCTTATCTGTGTAATCGTGTATACTGATATCATAATTTATAGGACTGTTGTAAGATTCAGAGGAGAGAATGTGTATGCAATGGCTACCGCGTTGCCTGGCAGGGAACTGGCCTCAGTAAAGCTCAGTTCCTTCCCTGCAGTTTCTCTCCCCTGCTTTCCTCACCAGCAACAGTCACGGGGTGACCAGTTAGCTTTTGTAAATGATGAAGCCAAAACTTTTCTTTGGTGGGAGTGTCAATGGTATTGTAATTTAGTAATTATGTGGTATAAATAGTCATCATCTATAGCTGTGTTCACATAACTCGAGTAGATTCAAATTCAATTATTATATAGAAAGGAATTCGATTTTTGTAAAGTCAGAGCAAACTGCATCTCAAGGCTTTTATTTTCAGTTTTGGATTGATGACTCAAACTAAGCGGGGAGATTTGCTTTTTCCCCTAGAAAAACAAGTATGGTTTATGCTTGTATTTTTTGGTATTTAGGCATGTATTTTAGAAAACCTTGCTTATATTCTTTAAAATGTTTTAAAAAGCAGCGTATTTATATATAGAGATGTCAAAATGGGATACACTTGGGTTTGGGAAATGAAAATTGATTAAACATGACTAGACCACTACTGAAGCTCTGAGATGTCCCTTTGTAAAAGTGGAGACTGGAAAGCCAGGGATGCTTAAGGTCTGACTGCTTGCATTATAAACTCCTGTCCGTGACCACATAGAATGTGTTTTTCTCTGGAACATTTCTCCTTAATTACTAAGCCCCTACTCCAGTCTTGGGAGTGAATGAATATTCCAGCCTTAAAATGATAATTTGCAATTATACGAGAGGCAGGAAGGGAAATCAACTTGGCTGGGATGAGGCAAGAGGGTGTGAACGGGAACAGTGGGATGAAGTTGAGGGAAGCAAAGAGGAAGATGAGTAGGACAGATAGTGGTGGTAGGAGAATTCACTTCTTCACGTGGTTGTCCTCCCACTTCAGGGATGTGTTGACTCACATGTGCTGATGGGACCTGAACGTCTCATTGGTTTCAACTCAAGAGACTCCAAGAATCAATCTTTGGGAGAAATTAAAATGATCCCTCAGAATTATTTTGAATTTTCATGAAATTGAGAAACAGGAGAAATTAAAGTAACTCATCAAAAAGACAAACCCAGTGAAAAGACCAAAGTGCCCACATTTTCCTGAACAGAAAATATCTAATTTGCAAATGACTGTCCTACACCTCTACCCAGGATAGTCCTTGCTAAGAGTCATGTAGACTATTTTACCTTCTTGATATAATTTTCTACTTTTTCCCCATTGGAAAACGTGTCTTTTTGATGTTCAGATTTTTTAAGTGCTAGGACCAACTTACTCAAACAAGACATTTTTATCTTAAGACCAAGCTGAAGCATTCCGGTACCGGGAGACAGTTCTTATTATCTATCGAAGAAGAAAAATTGTCACTTCTGTGTCCCAATTCCTTCATGCTTCATTTCAGGATGATCCTTTAGGGACCATATGCCCTGGAAATCTTTACAGAATCGCTGTGGTGATTTCTAAAGGAACCATTAGGAAACGATTTTTGAGTGTTTTATTGGCAAAAAACTGCAATTACTTTCGCACCAACCTAATAGATGTCAGGTACAAAGGACGCACCCTTGGTTCAGAGAGGAAATCCTGCTGGAAGAAATCACAATGCTCAGCATCCAGAGGGGAGTCAACTCTCACTTATTGGAGTTAATTGAACAGATCAATCAACACATTATGCAAAGTCATTGCTAAACCACAACTTACATAAAGTGCTTTTAATTTGAGCAGACACACCCCCATTTCAGGTTCTTGGAGCCGATGAGCTCAGCTGTGTCATTCTGCTTGGAGTCCCTAACACTACTGCGGGCAGGTGGTGGCTGTGGCTGGAGTCCTCTGAAGGCTGCCCCATGCATGTCTGGGAGCTTCTCCCGTGGCAACCTTGGGGTTCCGCACTGCGTGATAGTTTTAGGGTTGTCAGACTTCTTGCACGACATCTTTTTTTTCCAGGGCAAGTGTTCCAAAAGACAGGAAGTGGAAGCTGCCAGTCTCTAAGGCTTGAGCCAGGAGACTAGCAGAACGTCACCTCAGTCCCGTTCTGCAGGGAGGTCAAAGCGGTCATAGAGCAAGGACGTAGACCTCACCCCTGGATTAGAGGAGTGTCAGGTATCTGTACTCCACTACAGAAGAGAAATGCAGTCAGTGTTCCTAATATTCGGAAATGCCTTTTGAGCTGATGCCTCTGCTGATTTTAAGCCATGGCCAAGGGTGAACAGAGCTGACCAGAGCCGTTGGAAGCCCCTCAGACCTGGGAAGACTAAAATTGAAGTTCAAGGCTATCACAGCAGCCAAGACTGAGGGTAAAAACCTGGAGAAGAGGAAAAAGCCTCAGAGTGATTCCAGTGTTTTGCACCACTGTTTCTCTTGAAGCATTTCCAATTAATCACAGCAGACAAAAGGCTGGGGAATTGAACAGAAAGTGCCAGCAAAGAGGCTGAGGAGGTAAGCAACAACTCATAATAACGTTGACCTAGAGAGACAAAAATGAAGTTCAGGACCTGCCCAGGAAGATGGGCCAGTCAACATCCAGGCTCTTGGTTGCAGTTGCCAAACAGCCAGAAGCCAGGAACACAAGTGAACCAGAAATAGATTAATCCTCACTGAAACTCAACATCTACTTTGAAATAGTTCAAGCACAGGCTGGATTAAGAATCTCTCCTCTTACTCTAATTGCCTGCTTGCAACAAAATAAATTCTCTCTGGGGTAAATTAACGTAATCCACAGTATTTATAATTTTTTGTAATACATTGTCTGGTGTCCAGTGGAAAAGTTTCCCAGGCATACAAGAAACTAAGGCCAAGGGAGAGGGGGCAGAAGTCGACTCATGGATGATCCAGATACTGGAATTTTCATAGTGGATTTAAAAATAACTATAATAAATCAATAAAAGGAAACATGACAAGATTAGCAGGAAATTAAAATATATACAAAGAATCAAATAAAAATTCTAGAACTGAATAATAGAATAACCAAAGTTAAAAATATAATACTTTGGCTTAAGAGAATATTAGAATGAGTGAACTGGAATACAGGTCAGGAGAATATATTCTCAAGAGCAAAGATGAAAGAGAGAAACAGAGAATTTTCCAAAGCTAGTGAGCAACATCAAGCCACAGATTCAAGAAGTGATATGATGTCCAGCCGTAAAGGAAATCACACCTGGGTATATCATAACGGACTTGCTAAAAAGAGGAAAATGACAATTAACGTAAAAGAAAGCAACAATAAGATTAAAGTTGACTTTTGAACAGAAATAATGACATTCAGAAGACAATGGAGTGATGTGTTTAAGATGAAGAGAACCCAAGGACCTAGAATTCTATATATAGAAAATATATTCTTTAAAAATGAAGACTAAATAATAGTATTTTTGAAAAACCAACCAGAAAGACTTTGACTTAGTCAGCCTTCAGTGAAAGAGATGCTAAAGGCATTTTCAAATAGAAGGAAAACCAGCTCTAAGAAAGCATGCAAATGCAGGAATGAATGAAAGGCCATGATAAGTGCATGGGTAATTAAATGAAAATTGATCACACAGAGTAATAATTAGATAAACTTAGGTCAGTTTGAGGTAGGAGGTGAGACTTGACTCCAGAAGTGGGGCTTGGGCTGTGGACCAGATTGAAGACTACCTGAAACAGGGACAAGGCAAAAGCACCTCCCCATAAGAAATGCCCACCAGTCCATGTTGGTTTATCATTGCCATGGTAACACCCAAAAGCTGCCTCCCCTTTCCATGGCAACGACCCAATGACCTGGAAGTTACTACTCTATTTCTAGAAATTGCTGCATAACTTGCCCCTTAATTTGCATGTAATTAAAAGTGGGTATCAGTACGACTGCAGAGCTGCCTCTGAGTTGCTGCTCTGGGAGCACGGCCTGTGGAGCAGCCCTGCTCTGCCAGGGGCAGGACCTCTGCTGCTGCTGTTCACTGCTGCTTCAGTAAAAGTTACCACTGGCTCACCCTTGAATTCTTTCCTGGGCAATGCCAAGAACCCTCCTGGGTTAAGCCCCAATTTTGGGGCTTATCTGCCCTGTGTCATTTTGATTTGAATTTTACTAGATACTGTTTATAATAGTGATTTTGCTTTGAGAATCACTTTAATTTGGGTTAAATCTAATATGAACTTGTAATGAAATTTTGAGACAGACCTTACCAGTGGGGCAGCTGAGGGGCTTTTGTAGGATAATATTTAAACACAGTCAGTATCTCTAGAATTTCCATGTAGTAAGAGAAAGAGCAAGTATAGTATTGCAAGCGTGGCCCTTTCCGTCTCAGACGTGTTTCATTTCCCAAAAAGGTTGTGAATGGTTTTGTTGTTATTTATTTCTGACTAATGTAAAACATGTTGCTCTTGATACCTCTAAAACAGCGGCACAAAGAAAGACATTCAGGTTTTATCTGCCTTTAGAAGTTCCTCTTAGGCTATAACATTTCTCAGGAACATAAATCTGCATTTAAACATTCTTATAGGGAAGTGTTGTTTTGATTATTAGTTAGCCCTGGGATATTAGCCACAAAACAGATTTACTTGGTATGCGTATTTTAAATATATGTATCCATACATATTAATTTCATGTTATTTCCCTTGAGTACGTATGTTTTTCTTCTAGATATTGAAATAAAATCACCGTTTCTCTGTACACCAAAAGGTAAACTTCTCGTTTTGAAAACACAGGGTAAGGTAGCACTTTAATTATTTTACCAGCTGGCTCCGTGGGAGTTGGTTGGATCTCATTGCACTTGCATCAGAGGTAAAGGAAGTAGAAATGTCAGCTGATTATAGAGCATAATCATCACCAGATGTTTTGAAATCCCTCCTGTCTCATGAATAGGTGACTCTATCCTTCCTTCAAATGGATGGTGCTTAGTGTGACCTCCACCACTCCAAGCCAAAATGGAAAGTGGATTTTATGACTCAAAATCCTATTGTTACTAGTTCATTAAGGACTGTGATTCAGCCCCTTGACAATGCAAAAGATGAGTTCTGGGACCATATAAGGGAGAGGTTATGATTCTGTTGGAACTGAAAGCATTGATTTCACTACTGTGGCCTTCAGACACCTGCTTACACTGAAGAAATTTCTCCAAGCACAGCATCGTTCTTCTCATTATTTAGAGGTGCATAAGGGCTCACAGGCTTTGCTTAGAAAGTCCAGCACTGCAAGATTTTCTTTTAAACCCGATGAGCTTTGTCTGTTCAGATGAACATCCGTGAAATTGCTGGAATCTTTAATAGTGATGAATAATCTCCCTAAACATTGGGATTACATTTGTCTTGGCAAGATACACTACAAGAGATATGGGGGATCCGGAGAGTGGAGGGGGTAGGCATGAGACCTCATCTCACACACACTCCAGGTCAAATGCCCACCTGGCAGAGTGACTTGCAGGCTCACCTCTTCTTCAGATTATATGCTTCTCATGCAAGCTCTCTCTCCTTCCCCCTTCCCTCAATTGTTTCAAGCATGTAAAGATGAATTGGCATAAGTTATTGTATGTCATTAAAAATAAGTGTCATTCATAAGATTTATCCCCTCTTCAGATGTGTTGAAATATGCGGGCTAGCATTGACCCAATGGAAGAATGCCTGTTCCATGGCACTTCATAAGTTCTTTTTATTTGTTGGTTTCCGAGACAGAGTCTCACTCTGCCACCCAGGCTGGAGTGCAGTGGCATGATCATGGCTCACTGCAGTCTTGACCTCCTGGGCTCAAGTGATCTTCCTGCCTCAGCCTCCCATGTAGTTATAACTACAGGCACACACCACCACACCCAACTAATTAAAAAAATTTTTTTTTTAATTTTTGTAGACACAGGGTCTTACTATATTGCCCAGGCTGGCCCTGAACTCCTGGGCTCAAGCAATCCCCCCACCTCGGCCTCTCAAGGTGCTGGAATTATAAGCATGAGCCATCATGCCTGGCCATTTGATAAGTTCTGATAGGTTCAGGGAGAGGTCAGTTAGATGGTAGTGAAAGTGTCTTTCAATATCTATTTTGTTAGTGTGTCAGTAGTAGTTTTTTGAGTAGCTGGTATTTTTTGTTGTTGTTACAAATGTGATGTATTTGTATTATAGACTCTAATACTGTGAAGGTCCCTTCCTGCCTGTGTCCCTGTTTCCGCTCGTACAAGGTCAGCACCTCTTGAGATTGTTTGCTTATTTTTGTTTCTGCAGGTTATTTTGATCCTTTTTGTTTTTGATTGCATAAATAATCTGTCAATATCATTTAGCGTGTAGTGGTTTTCAATAAATCATTTTTGCATTCTACATTCCATGTGTTTGATTTATGTCTTGTGATTCGATGCAATTATGATCACTTATGGGGTGGAATCGTGTCATAAATTTGACATGGTCTATATGAGGAAGAATCTAGTAAATATTTGACAACGTATTTATAAACTCTAATATTTTAGATAGATTTATCTTCTAATTGAGGCTTTCTGAAAATTCTTAATCTATTATTTGGTCATATTCTTTTTTTATTAAAATGTTTTTTTATTTTGGAAAACAGTCTTATGTGGATCAGACACACTGGAGATTCTCCTTCAAAAAGTGGGCTCTATGGGCAAGTATATTGAAAAAAATACTGTTAGAGTTAAACAACATCTTACAGGCAGTACTATTTACAGAATATACTATATTCGTAACATTGTTAGAGACTTCCAAACTTAACTCATTTGTGTTTTACGTTTTTTGCCATATCTGGAACCAACAGTACTATTATTTGCTGAATGTTCTCTTTTGTAATGAGACACTTTTTCAATAATAAAATATTTTATCATAAAATTTTACATAACTAATATAAGTGGAAAGCCAGGATTATTTATGAAAAATAGAGGCTAAAAATTGAACACAACAAAAGCAAACAGGATGACTCGTCTCTTAGCAGATACCGTGTCCTGCTCTGTGTCCACTGAAAGGGGAGATCGGCAATGCTGGGGAAATTAAAGATACACCAGCAGGAAGCAGGAATCTCTCCCTCGCCTGAAATCTCAGCTCTTTGGGAGGTCAAGGCTGGAGGATCGCTTGAGCCCAGGAGTTCTAGACCCGCCTGGGCAACATGGTGAGACCCTGTCTCTGCAGAAAATTAAAAAATAAGCTGGGCATGGTGTCATGTGCCTGTAGTCCCAGCTCCTCAGGAGTCTGAGGTGGGAGGAGTGCTTGAGCCCAGGAGGCTGAGGCTGCAGTGAGATAAGATCACACTACTGCACTCCAGCCTGGGAAACAGAGCAGGACTCTATCTCAAAACAAATATAAAACAAAACCAAAAAAAAAAGAAATATTTCTGCCTCAATGGCATCAGTAGGATTGGCAAGACATCGGAAAGAGAATAATTTCTTCACAGAACGACCCAGTCCTATTGAATGCCAGCGTTTAAACCACCTGAAATCTCTGTGTCTGTCCCCAGGGGTCTCCATCACTTTGGGAAAATGAGATGTTGCAATTGTGGGGTCAGACATCCAGGTGAAAACACAGGAGTGCTGGCCGGGCGCGGTGGCTCACGCCTGTCATCCCAGCACTTTGGGAGGCCGAGGCGGGTGGATCACAAGGTCAGGAGATCGAGACCATCCTGGCTAACAAGGTGAAACCCCATCTCTACTAAAAATACAAAAAAAAAAAAAAAAAAAAAAAATTAGCCGGGCGTGGTGGTGGGCGCCTGTAGTCCCAGCTACTCAGGAGGCTGAGGCAGGAGAATGGCGTGAAACCAGGAGGCAGAGCTTGCAGTGAGCCGAGATCGCGCCACTGTACTCCAGCCTGGGGGACAGACCGAGACTCCGTCTCAAAAAAAAAAAAAAACACGAAAACCACGAGTGCTTAGAGCAAGGGCTGGCTCTTAGGAGGTGCTCAACGAATATCAGCCATTACTATTATTACTTAATTTTCTTATATATTAATTTTATTTTTATTAAAAGGACTAGAACCCATTTATTCAGTAGACTATTCCTGAGTTGATTGCTTTGGTATTTTGGGGAAAAGAGAGGACATTCTCATTTAAATACAATTAATATTTTAGCAGTGACGCATTCACCTTCACAACTTCGTCGTTGAGTTCTCCATCTGTGCCTCTCGCTTGGCAAAACATCACTTTGCCTATTAGAAAAAGAGAACTTAGGGCAAAAGTTTAAGAAAGAGTTTAAATGAACATCCCAAGTAATATTAACATTTCAGTGCACCTCATTACTATTACAGAGGGAAGAAGGAAATACAGAAGCTAAAATTAACACGCTCTTGGCAGAAGTTCATGGCTTTGAGGAAAAGTTTTTTTCTGAGCAGCCCTGGGACCAAGGGTTGATTAAACTGGGATTTCATCATGTCTCAGCCCCGAATGAATGAAATAAAAACTCATTCAATCTAATTAGACAATCTTACGAGGGCTTGGAAGCAACCACCTATGGCAATTTCTTTTTTTTTTCTTTTTTAATCTTAGAAATAGATTTTTTTAGAATTATGTGAATCTTTTCTTTCTTCCTTTTGAGATTTGATGCTCTCCAAGGGGGAAAAGGATAGTAGAGAGCACGCTGAAAACTTTTGGTAACTCCATTGTTGAGGCTTTAAAAAAGTAGAATTATGTATATACACAGGGGTGCGCACATGTCAGATATAGTATTTAATATGTAATGTGTTAACTCTGCGTGTTTATGCATCCGCAGTGCCAAAATTTGATTCTTTTTACATTTTATTGTGACAAAGTTGAATACACTTAATCTATACTCTGCCAGAGACTCCCCCAGTTCTGTAACCAAACAGCACACTCAGCTAATGATTGTTCTTAAATTTAGTCATCAGTGACGATAACCATTCTAGGTGATAATTATTAAGCATTTCATGCTTTCCTTATTAAGCTTTTAATGCTATATTTATTAAGCATTAAGCAACCATTGCATTCGAGTATTGTCTTATTTAATTGTTACAAATCCCATGAGGCGGGGGTCCTTGTTTGATGTTTGAGGATGAGGAACTGAGGTGCTAGTGGCTTCAGAAGCTCGCTGGTGTTGCCCAGGCTGCCAGGGTGGGACTGGAACACAGTCTGGAGTTGGCCTGGGAAGCGGGCGGCCGCACTGGGAGCCTCCTTGCTGGAGGAAGGCCTGAGGGCAGGCTGCGCAGCCCCCGCCCTGGGCTTTTTACTTTCTGTGTGTGCCTTCTCGGAGACATAAAAGATAGATACATAAATATTTTTTAAGATTATAGAAAATTAAAACTAAAACATATTTTATTTTTCTCTAATTATAATTCATTTCATGGATTGAAGTTGGAGAATTTTTGTATTTTAATTTCCGGGGAACCGTTTACTGAGAGCTTACAATGAAGGGCCGCCGGACGTGTGCTCAAATGAAGGAATTTAACCCTGGGTGCCAGGGACTTGGCATGACTCCTCAGACAGGCTGGGAGGGGCATCCTCGGGGCCATAGTGGGGGAGGGGCCTGAAGCTCTGTTGGGGGGCAGTGCCCAAGGTCACTGGGGAGCCCGGAGGATGTGCTCCATGCTTCAGCCGACACCTTTCACCACCCCAGGTGTGTTCTGCAGAGGACGAAGAGCCTCCGGGAGCGGCGGTCTCTCACCCAGGGTGTGTGCAAGGAAAACAGAGCTTTGATTTATATGTAATTTACATTGTATCCTAAACACTTAAAAAATTGAGGTCATATTTTTTAATGTACATAATATATTAGTACATTCATAGGTGTAATAATACACATATTTAGGGGGTGTATTAAAATAGTTTTTACTGATCAGGGGTGCATTTGAGTTTAGCAAAGAGGAGTGTAGATGCCAGGGAGTGACACACTGCATGAACCCTGTGTGAATCAGACACTCACGGACGTTCTGTGTGGGAGCTGGGTTTGATGAGCGCTCACCTCACCTCCCAGTCGCCGCAGGCTTGGCTCTGCAGCGGGTGATGGCCTCAGACGTAACCGCACAGCACCCAGTGGTTCCTTTGGATCCGGATCGCCTCTGTTGAAGCTCCTATTCTCTTTCCCTTCAGGTCTTCCAAGTGACCTGCTATGGACTGGTTCAGTGTTTGTAGTGTTTTCAATAGTGTGCTGTGATAGCTCTCCTTATATTCATATATGTTTTTAAAAATATGCTCAGTCTTTTTTTAAGGCATATTCCCAGAAGGGGAATTCCTGGGGCCAAAACTACCTATGTACTTTAAGAGTTTGAAGTTTAAGGCCGGGCACAGTGGATCATGTCTATAATCCCAGCACTTTGGGAGGCTGAGGCAGGCGGATCACCTGAGGTCAGGAGTTCAAGACTAGCCTGGCCAACATGGTGAAACCCTGTCTCTACTAAAAATACAAAAATTAGGGCCGGGTACGGTGGCTCACACCTGTAATCCCAGTACTTTGGGAGGCCGAGGCAGGCGGATCACAAGGTCAGGAGTTCGAGACCAGCTTGGCCAACATAGTGAAACCCCGTTTTTACTAAAAATACAAAATAGCCAGGCATGGTGGCACACACCTGTAATCCCAGCTGCTCGGGAGGCTGAGGCAGAAGAATTGCTTGAAACCAGGAGGCGAAGGTTGCGGGGCTGAGATCGCATCACTGTACTCTAGCCCAGGCGACAGTGCGAGATTCCATCTCAAAAAAAAAAAAAAAAAAAAAAAAAAAAAAAATTAGCCAGGCGTGGTGGTGGACGCCTGTAATCCCAGCTAATTGGGAAGCCGAGGAAGGAGAATCTCTCAAAACCGGTGGTGGAGGTTGCAGTGAGCTGAGATTGCACCACTGCACTCCAGTCTGGGCAACAGAGGGAGACTTCGTCTCAAAAAAAAAAAAAAAAGAGTTTTAAGTTTAAAAGTTCCTATTCTTAACTGACCTCCAAAAAATGACAGCAGTTTATACTGCTAAATGGAATATAGCAGTGTGTGGAATATCAGTTACCTTGTTCCCTTGCCAACAGTAAGTTTTATAATTAAGGGGAAAAAAGAATATCTCATTAGTCTTTTAATTTGCTTGTCTTTGATTACTACTAGGTTAAATAGTGTTCTTGTTTGCCGCTGGCATTTTTTCTTTGGAGAATCACTCTTTCCTATTCATATCCTATGAATACTATTTTTCAATGTTAGGGTATTTCTCTTTTTGATTACTTTCTAACAGCTCTTTCTATATTTAAAATAACACTTGATCATATATGGCACAAATATTTTTTACCCAGTTTAACCAACAGTTACAGAGCCACATCTGTGTTAAGCCTGTCTTTTCTTACTCCTCTTTCTTTGGATTCAGTGGAAGGGGGTTAGGCAATCTAAAATTTAAGTAACTAAGGAATCAGATGTAGGGAAAAGTGCAATGCCTGAACTGGCCGCTCTGACAGACAAAGTTTTATAAATGTTTTGTCTCTCTCTTTCCAGATAAGGAACCGTTGCATTCTCTCAAATTGCATCTAGACCATAAATGCAGTCTTTCAGATTTTTCGGAAGAGAGTTGGAAAGACGCTTTCTATTCTAGAGCATACCTTGGGCAGTCCTTTTTCCTTGGTCATACCTGGGTTGATGAGTGATTTAGGAAAGACAGTGTGGACATTCTGAGTTAACAGCAGCTCACCTGTGGCTTTTAATCCTGATTTATGGTCATCCTTTAAAAAGACCAGGAATCCAGTGCAGCAGTTTGTGTAATGGAGAGAGCAACTGCTCCTGAAAAGCACGTTGAATGATCAAATTTTATTGGTGCATGAAAACGTCAGAGGTGAATATCGTTGTTTGGTGGGGCAGCTATTTAAGCTCAGGTCTGGGCAATTGCTTTATTCTTGTCTGAAGAGAGAAAGAAAAAAATAGATGTTTTGGATTACATTTTGTGTGTAATTATATATGACAGATGTATTAACTTAGCCGTTCCAGGGTTTTTGGAAATCTGCCTCCAAACTATAAATTTTATTTGACTTTTTCATTTGCAGGTGGCACGAAACCATTTCATGTATATTTCGTGGGCTCCGGAGAGGCAGGAAGTCCAGGAACTATTGTGATGCTGTAGCTCATTCATTCTGAGAGAGACATGGGTGTGTGGTTGGGAAGTAAATCATCTGCGTTTACGTTTTGGGTTAAAAATGTTAACAGCAGATCGAAGACATTGAAAGCAAGCTTTTCATTTGGTGGGGGAAAATCACTATTAGAAAGGTCTGAGCAAGTTTGGAGTGGGAATAAATTACTTCTCCTTGGTTTTCACCTTTTAAAGCATAAATCCTTCTATTTGGAGAAGTTGCCTCATTGAGGAAGATAAAGGTGCTGTTCTTTTTTGTGTATGTGCGTGTCTTTTGTTTGTATTTTACCTGCAACTGTAGAAAGTTTTAAAAAGCAATTGTTTGTAAACCTAGCAACTTAACAAAATTCATCTGGACGTGTGAATTTTGTACTAAGATCTTCAGTACAGGACTCTCTGCCTTGTAAATAGCACCGTGGACCTGTGTTTAGTTTTGGTATTTCCAGGCTTACTTCCCATGAAAAGGGAATATCCTTGAGAATAAATTCTTTTAGGGAGATGTCAACAAAGAAAATTGTCACAAAATACTTTCCACAAACATGCATATTTTAAATAATGCAAGCAGCATCTATAAAAAAATAATTACTAGACTTGGGTAACACATATGTTACTGCCTGGATTACATAATTATTTCTGGAATACATTCCTTTAAGTGGCAGTGGTCACATACAGCGCTGTTTATCGACAACAAACGTGTCATGGTTTCCGTTTCCTAGAGAGTGTCTTTGAACCTAATTCCTTTCTCCTGTAGGTTAAGAATAGATTTCTTTTTCATTTACATTTTCTTCTTTGCTTTGCAAAATTTGGAATCAATTAGAGGGATAGATTTGTTAATGATTGCCTTAATTAGTCTGTAAATGGCTATAGCTACAATGTGTTTTTTAACAAGCTGTCCAAATCTTTAAGTTTGTAGAGATATAAGTACTGTACAATAATCGTTGCCTCAGACTGCTGGATTTTAGTAGCTGTGTGTGTAAATATCAACACACACCTAGAGAGTCATTTTACTGCAGTAATTCATCTCTTTTTATGGTTTTGGGGGCCCTTTTTATGATTTAATGATTCATGGGAGATGTTTATTTTATGCACATAGAAGGAAGGTAGTGCCATTATGTTGTTATAGAAACACTACTTTTACTTAATAAAGAGCTAATGTATACATCTTTACATTTATGAAATGTAGCATATACTTGGGTAATATGACATTCTCTCAGTATTCGGGGTACACACACACACGCGCGCACACACACACACACACACACTCTGCATTCCTGGAGACACAAGCAATCCACTTAGTTATCAGAATCATTTAGTTAACAAATACCAATTCTGCTGATCATAGGAAACACTGCAGAGATACTGAGACTCAGCTGATGGAGAACTCTCTCTCTCTCCTGTCTCAAGAGGATGCTGAGATCACAAGGTCTCAGCTCCAAATGTCTGCAGAGGTCAGGGAGCACATTAGACTGGAGGATTAAGCCAGATGTGAAATGGTAGTTGGAGCAGACAGAGCTTTTTAAAGGATTTTTAAAGGATTGTAAGATCTAACCATCCTTCCTTTGAGAGGCTCCATCACAGTCATATTAAACATGTGACATGCACTCACACTCCATATGAAACATGACTAACAGGTAAATATATAACCAATCAATGGCAATTGATGCATTGACACAGTTACATGAGCTGGGAGTATTAGGATGTGCTGGGTACTGGGACATCCCAGGACATAACAGAGTTGTATTTCTCATTTCAGTTATATGTTTAGTACAAGACAGTGGAGTCCTGCTGCTCAGGGAACAGGCTGATGGAAGCTTGAGCATCTGGGAGTTGTACCATCTGGCCCAGGAGGGCTCCACACCTTCCCATGGTGGGGAAGAGAGCCCCTAGAGGGTCAGACTGAAGCTCTGAGGTGCTCCAGCAATGAAGGGGCTGGATCATTTCTGCTCAGAGTGAGTAGGAGCATAGCTGGTCCCAGGGACTCATCCCTGCAAGGCATTGGGGAAAATATGGGAAGGCGCGTGAGTATTAGGTGTGCCACAGATGTCCCTGCCCCGTTTAATCACACAACTATACTATACATTTCAAGGATTTAGCATTTTACAACCAACATAATAATTTTTCATATTACAGTCTTTTTTGCGCATGATTTTTTAAAACCTCATGCACAGGCTCGGTGTGGTAGCTCACGCCTGTAATCCCAGCACTTTGGGAGTCCGAGGCAGGTGGATCATTTGAGGTCAGGAGTTCGAGACTAGCCTGGACAACATGGTGAAACCTTGTCTCTACTAAAAATAAAACAATTAGCCGGACCTGGTGGCGCTTGTTTGTAATCCCAGCTACTTGAGGGGCTGAGGCAGGAGGATCGCTTGAACCTAGGAGGTCGAAGCTTCAGTGAGCCAAGATCACGCCACTGCACTTCAGCCTGGGTGACAAAGTAAGATCCTATCTCAAAACAAAAACAAAGACGAACCCCTCAAAACCCCAAAACCTCATGGACAGAAAATTGAGTTAACCTAACAGTTTGAGGACAGACTGTCATTAACCCCAGCAAAGCCCTTTCCTTGCTGTATTTTCTACTTTTCTTGCATCTCCTTGCACTAGGGCTGTTTCTCATCTCCCATGGGTGCCGATCCTAATGCCTTTGCTATTGAGCCTCAAATATCCCGTGTCTTTGTAAAATAAAGACAGATGGCCATGTGGGCATGTGTCCTAGTGCATACGGCTGATGTTACACTCTATCCTGGCTTCCTTTTTTACCTGCTTCATTCAGTAAGCATGTGTTTCCTAAGATCTGGGCACGTTGCTGTTTGTTCCTCTCCCTTCTGTTCAATTCTCCATAGTATCCATTTACCATCTTTATCAGTTCTTGTTCAGATACCAAAAAGCTCATAGGTTCCATCCACCATGCCCCAAGTTCCTGATGAATAAAACGGCCCAATGTGCAGCCTGTGGGGAATAGAGCATGTGGTTTCCACTTCAAAATGGTGAGATTCAGATGATTTTAAGACGCTGTGCTGGCCTGAGCCCTCTGTGGACGGGGTTCCATTTGTGGGTCTGCACTGTGAGCCCTGCCGCCTGATGCCTTCATCACAGGAATCGTGCTCATCCTGAAACCGACTCAGGTCCTGCTGCTCACTGCCCAGGGACCAGAACAGAAGCGAGGAGTGGTGGAAGGAAAGCGGCTTTATTCCAGTGCTAGCAGCTGGTGCATGGTCAGGCTCATGTCCTCAAAAGACCATTCATCTTTCAGGGCTGAGAGAGGGGGTTTAGGAAGGAAAACTGTATGGGAGATATGCAGGAGTGGTATGGGAGGGAGGGGGCGGGGTGTAGGTCCATGTGCCCTGTTCCAATGGCTATCTTGAGAAATTGCCTGTCCTGAGGTTTGGTTGCCATTATCTTGATGCTGGCCCGATGGTGGTGGTGGACTAATTGTCCATAACTCCATTTAAGCAGCAGCTGGGTCTCGGGACTGGTTTGTTTCAAAACAAGCCCCTAGAATTTCTAAGTAAGTGCATACTTGGAGGAGGGAGAATAGCACATCCGAGTGCCTGGTGGAAAGGAGGGAAGTGAAGTCTTAAAGTGTATTTCCAGGCTACATTCTGAGATGAAGAAGGAAGGGAAAGGAAAAACTGTAAAATGTGTTTCAAGTCTGGGCCACTCGGTTACAATCCCTTATGGAGCAGATGGGCCTCAGTCCTTGAACAGTGATCCGAAAGTTCCTGGGGAGGAAGAACAGAGATGACACCCCCTCAGTGATTCCCCCAACCAGGCTGGGTGTCAGAATCTTGTGGAGAGCACATTTGAAAGTGAGGAATCCTGGGTACTGCTCATATGCGACATGCTTGAATTAAAAAAAAAATAGTTTTAGGCATGTAGGCATTAGGAACAACAGCCGAGATCCCCAGACCTAGTTATGCTATTTGCTTGAGAGGAGTTTCCTGTAGACTGACACCGACTTGTTAAATGCCTTGCCCATGGGCAGAGGAGTGGAAGCTAGAGCTGAAATTGGGGACGGTGCCTGTGGCAATGGGCTGTGAATTTCACATGGGTACAGCTTTATTCTTAGAAAAACACAAATTCACATTAAAAACAGGAATGAAATGAAACAAATATTCTGAGTTTTTTGTTTTTTTGAGATAGGGTCTTGCTCTGTTGCCCAGGCTGGAGAACAGTGGCGTGATCACAGCTCACAGCAGCCTCGAACTCCTGGGCTCAAGCGATCCTCCCACCTCCTCCTCCCAAGTAGCTGGGACTACAGGTGCACACCACCACAGCTGGCTGTTTTTTGTTTTTGTTTTTGTTTTTGTTTTTCATTTTTTTGTAGGGATGGGGTTTCACCACATGGCCCAGGCTGGTCTCAAACTCCTAGGCTCACATGATCCGCCCACCTCAGCCTCCCAAAGTGCTGGGATTACAGGCATGAACCACCATACCCAGCCCAGAAATATTCTTTAATGGTGTAGGAAGGAATTACAAGGGCAGAAAGGGAACAAGGTTTGCCTTTGTGTGTGTCCGACTGTAGCTTACTTGAGGCCTGCATTAAAAACAATTCAGTTGCATGGGTCACACATCAATGCGAGGACAATTTATCTGGAAAAATATCTACGGGGTCTATGAAAGCCAAGTAGAGTTGTGTGTGGAGCACACACTAAACCACAGAACAGCCTGCACTCAGGCACGAGCATCTTCAAGGTCAAAGTCTGGACATCGGCCAGAGGCATTTGTAATTTGCGAGAGGCATCAGTGTGAAGAACCCGTAGGTCAAGGTTGACTTTCTGAGAGTGACCAGCTAAGGTAGGGAGTAGAGGGGGATTGCGAGAAAGAGTTAAATGAGTTTGCTAGTTCTTAGCAAGGTGGAACTTGGATTGAAGGGGTTGAAACTGAATTCAAAACAAGCTCTCTGACAGGTGAAAGTGGGATTATTGGAGACGGTGCCTTTGAAGGACTCCCCCAGGATTCAGAAAAGTGACGGCTCCATAAAGAAAGCCTTCCTCTCAGATCATGGCCGGGTTTGTGGCAACAGTGACGGGCGGAATGGAACAAATGCCTGCAGCGTCCCCTGACTATCTCTGAGCCTGCGCACCTCAGCCCTTCACCTGCCGGGCAGAGGCCTGGGAGGAGGCAGAGGTGGCCATGCTGGGATGGACCTAGTGCTGCAGAAGCCACAAAAATACTCAGATATGCATCATCTTGTTTGATGCTCCCAGTGGACCTATGGGGGAAGCTGCGAGGATGTCATCTCCCCATTTCATAAACAAACAGGCTCCATGGTTTAGTGCAGGGTCTGCAAGCTTTTTTGTAAAGAGCTACGTAGTAAATATATGTCCTATTCGATATGTTATATACCATGTTATAGAATATAATATATAATATTTATGATATATCCTTTTACAAAAATATTTTATGTATATATATAATTTGTAAAACACATGTGGCCTCTGTTACATCTTCTCTTCCTCCTCTTCCTTTTCATTCTTTCCCTCCCCCTTTTTCCTCTCCTTCTTTTCTTTCCGTTATTCTATATCTCTTCCTCCTGTTCCTTCTTCCAACCCTTTAAAAATGCTACAAAACGGCCAGGTGCAGTGGCTGACACCTGTAATCCCAGCTCTTTGGGAGGCTGAGACGGGCGGATCACGAGGTCCGGAGATTGAGACCAGCCTGGCCAACATGGTGAAACCTCGTCTCTACTAAAATACAAAAAAAAAAAAAAAAAAAAAAAAAAGAGCCGGGCATGGTGGCAGGTGCCTGTCGTCCCAGCTACTCGGGAGGCTGAGGCAGGGGGATCTCTGGAACCCGGGAGGTGGAGATTGCAGTGAGCTGAGATCGTGCTACTGCACTCCAGCCTGCCAACAGAGCAAGACTCAGTCTCAAAAAAAAAAAAGAAAAAGAAAGAAAGAAAAAGAAAAGAAAAAAAAATGCTTCAACGTGTGCTTATTTGGAGGTCATGCACAAACAGCCTGGGGGTTGTTGGGAGGCTGGAAGATGCGCACCCTGGGTTTAATGGCTTGCTCAGTTTTTCTGCTGGTCAGTAGAAGAGCTGAGAGCTGGTGAGGTCTGTCGGCTCTGAATCCAGCTCTGTTTCCTACTGAAACTAGAAGCAGGAGGCTAATCATTGTTATAACTGCGTATTCATTCCTTAGAATACAGAATAATAGAGAAAACCGCTAGGTCATGGTCTAAAGCATTCACGTGTGTCGTCTCGTTTGGAATCCACCCTGTTTTATTTTTCACGGCTGAGCCAGCCGAGGCACCGGCCGCATAATCCCCATCCGGGATCAGAAGCTGTCGGGCCTCAGAGCGCCTCTCAAACCCACACTCACTTGGCATCAAAGACCACAGTCTCTCTATATAAAATATCATTGCGCCTTGTGATGGAAGCAGACACACGCAATCGCATTTGCGTATTCAGTGGTGTGCATGTGTGGGAGGGACAATGGCTGTCTACCCTGACTCCAGCCTTGAAAGGGTCATCTGTCAGTGCCCATGTCAGCGTCTGTTCTCTCTTCTGTGGGTATCGGGGTCTGGAGTTCCCTTTTGGGAAACCAGCTTTCTTCACCCCTTCAGTGATGTGCTGGTGAGTGGGCTGGGTCCCAGTTCCTGGCTCCAGAGGAGGGTATGTGACCCAGGGGGTCAGAAATAAACAGGCCAATGAGGTTCAATTTCAGGACTCATGGTGGAACTTCTAGAAACTAGAAGCCTGGAGAGAAGGAGCTTGGAAAGAGAGAGCCTGCCTGTGGGTGGAGCCAACTCCTAGCCTGAGCCCAGGAGGGAGGGAAGGGGAGGAGGGGAGCCAGACGGAGAGTCCTGGGGTGTCTCCAACACTTGAATTCTCGTGACTTAGAAATTTGAGTAGCATGCAGTAGAAAAATCACTTCTCAACACCCAACTACGTTGACTTTTCCATCACCAATTATTGAAACTCCTGAGTTAAACACTTAGGTTTGAGTTTTTAAATAATCGTTGTAATAATAATAACTAACTTTTATAAAGTGCTTTCTACGTAGAGAAAAATGACGAGATAAGGCCCAATCATTTTGGGAGGTTTATCTCCCAAAGTTAAGGACGAGTGCCTGTGACACAGCCCCAGGGAGTCCTGACAACTTGTGCCCAAGGTGGTTGGGGCCCAGCTTGGTTTTATACATTTTAGGGAAACAGGAGACATCAATCAATTTATGGAAGAAGGATACTGGTTCCATTCAGAAAGGCAGGGACATTGGAAGCAGGGAGGGGGCTTCCAGGTTACAGGTAGGTGAGAGAGGAAAGCTTGCATCCTTTTGAGTTTCTACTAAGCCTTTCCGAAGGAGGCAATCAGAATATGCCTCTGTCTGAATGAGCAGAGGGATGACTTTGAATAGAATGAGAGGCAGGTTTGTCCTGGGCAGTTCTCAGCATGAATTTTCCTTTTAGCTTTTAGTGATTTTGAGGGCCCAAGATATTTTCCTTTCACAGCTCTTCTGGATGATATATGAGTGTGTATGTTGTCATCTATCGTCTCTCTTTCTCTCTCTCATGTGGCTGTGTATGTATTGATGGATATGTGTGTGTATCACATATGTTTGTATGTATGTGTATGTGTGTATGTATGTATACGGTTCTTCAATCCTTCCATTGACTGAATGAAGTAGATATTGCCATCAGCCTTAATTTGCAGTTGGAGGATGCAGGTGTGGGTGCAAATGCACTGTGTCTAAGGAAACAGCTCAGAGCCTGAGCTCTGTGCCACTCTGTATCTGAGAGGCTTGGAGCTGAGTGAGATCACACTCTAGATTCTTTTTCACAAGTAAGTAATGAAATATAACCTGAAAGGAGACAAACAAACTTAAAACCTGAGGTTTTAGCTGGAGATTTGATTCAGTTGGTTGCAGCAGTCCAGGATCTGACCTGGGTGAGTCGTTCTAATTGATGGTAAAAGCTCTGGGTTTCTCAGAAAAGACACCCTTATTTTTTGCTGTCTTGGCTTTGGATGATTTCAGATGAAGTGTGGAGAATCACCTACCCTTATTTCAGGAACAAGGTTGATGCTTCAAAAGCTCCCCCATCTCCTGTGCTCTGCAGTGAAGCTTTCCAGCCTCATCTCAGTTCGCACCTGAGACTTAGTCCTGGCATTTCCTGGCAGAAGCAGGAAGGGAAAACACGGGGCTAAGGTGACTCAGCTGTTACCCCAGGTCTGGAGACTGTCCCAGGAGTGGCTCAGGACAGACATTGACCTCTGTAGACAAGGAGGCCCTGAGTTTGGGTGACCTGGTGTGCTTGGCAAGCTTTAGTCTCATTCCTTAGGGGAGCATTGGGTGCCAACTTCTCCACCTTGCCAATCCCATAAAAGCACATTTGTCATGGAAAAATTGTGCTGTACTCAGTAGTGGAATTGGATTTCACAAGTCTTATTGCCATCATCCCTAAATTCCCGGGAAGAGGAAGAGGAAGAGGAAGGAGATGTCCCTTTCTGGGGTGATGCCTCTCCCTGTGGCCGTCGTATTTCAGAAAAGCCACTGAACTCTATAATAACCACGATTATTCTAACCATGATTCTGGTTTTCTTTTTTTTCATTTTCTGATTCTCATTGTGCTTTGATGCCACTGGTTTGTTATAGGAATAACATATCAGCTAGGAATGCTGCTGGCTGCAAGTAACAGAAAATTCAATCAACAGAGCCTTAGCCATCTTTGGGCTTGTTTGTCTCACATAAAAAGAAGTCTAGAAGTTGGTAGCTGCCAGCATCCTTGGTTCAGAAGCACAGTGGTGTTGGAGATTCACACTGGCTTCTTGCAATTAATTCCCTCGGCCACCTCCTCATAGTGACAGTATGGCTTTATACCCTTCCACCTCTTTCACAGGCAAGGTGCAGATGGCTCTGGGATAGATAATTTTGCCTGTTTCTCTCTTGGAATAATTTTTTCCTCTAGAGGATACCTTTCATCCTTCTCTTCTCCCTCCCTTTTTTCTCCCTTCCTTTCCTCCCTCCCTCCCTCCCTCCTTTTCTTCCTCCCTCCCTCCCTCCTTTCCTCCCTCCCTCCCTCCTTTCCTCCCTCCCTCCTTTCCTCCCTTCCTTCTCCCTCCCTCCCTCCCTTCCTTCCTCCCTTCTTTCCTTTCCTTCCTTCCCTTTCTTCCCTTTCTTCTCTTCTTCCTTACTTCTCATTAGCCCACAGGGAGGATAAAATGTTTTTGAGTAGCCAACCAACCATATCTCCCACAAATAATAACATGAATTTAATTTGAGTGCTCATATTGTACCAACGTAATAGGTAATGGTTGTGATATTGGGAGGGGAAGGAAGACTGCTGTGAATGCTAATAGATATTTGGGGTTTATCTACATGGATAAATCAGAATTGTTAACATTATTTATAAAGATAATACTTACATAATTTCTAAATTCACAAAGATTGTTTGGCTTAATGATTTCTAAATGTATGCAATATAACATTAGGCGGCTTTTATTAATTCTATTTATGTAATGGAGAAGCAAAGACTAATAATCCTGAATCTTAAATATGCCCAAAGAACAAGCTAAGGAAAATTCTCTGGCTCGGTGAGATGAATTCCTGAGCCATTGCAAAGAGGGTGAGAGATCATTTCACAGAACCTCTGCCAATAATTCTCTGTCCCAGGCCCCCTGCTTAGCCTTTATTTTGCTACTGTGGGTATCTTTGCATATGATTTGCATACAATCATTCTCATTGCAGTAAAAGAATAAGTTATTAATGTTCCTCCTCTAAACTGGGTGAGCATAAGCTTTCATTTACAGAGTCTGTCTTTAGGGCACACTTCATTTTACTTAGAATAAATTATCATACATTTATCATTACTTAGCAAGTTATTAACATTAATATAAACAAACATGTGGCCCATTTCTTTAGGAAGATTATGGTTTTATCACTTAGTGGCTGTAGCAGGCAGCTTATACATATTTTATTTTTTAATGGCTGTGCTTTCTCAGTTTCCATACTCACATTAAAAACATAATTCCAAGCACTTTGCATCTGTTAGCTCGGAATGCACTTAACTGAGGTGAGGGGGCTAAAGATTAACTTCCAGTGACAAACAAGAACTTCCTCAGACACCTTTTTACACTTGAGACTTGCTGGAATTTGTTTGTTAAGGATGTCTGGGTCTATGGCAAGGAATGTTTTGAAATTTAATTTAGTGAACTGCCACAGCAGGAAACACCGCAGGCTCAGAACGTGGGTTCCAGCAACCACTAATGAGGAAGGACAGAAATTACTGTGGACTCAGTCTAATCAGCCATAGAAGTAAAATAGTTAAAAAGTTGCAAAATACCCATTAGTATTTTGCAAATTCTACTCCTTGCTTATATGAGGACCATGGAAGGGAGAAGAAAGCCTGTTTTGGTTCAGCTGCTTACAGTTTTTAGCCAGTGCTCCAGAGTTCTGCCTGGGGGTGTGACCATGAATTTGGGGCTTAGAAACTGGAGAGGACCCTTTGTTAACTGGGTGCTGTTGGGCAAATTACTTAGTTTCTTCAAGCCTCAGTGTCTTCATCTGCAAAATGGGAATAATCATAGCACTCATTGCATAAGACAGCCTTAAGAATTTAAAAGGTCAAGCCTGGGGAGAGCTTAGCAGAAGATCAAATATAGAGACGCGCTTAATTATTAATTGCTATTATTAAGAGTGATTGTTATGAGATGTTAAATTGCCTTCTGAACCACCAAATAATGATCACTAAAATCAATTCATAATTTAGTATTTTGCATATTTCATTATGGTGTAATTTTTAGAATAGTTATTAGCACAGCCCCTTTTTATTTTTGCATTTCAGTTCAAGACAAGACTTATTTAGTCAGCTTCTGAGAAAAGACATCATCAAACTGCTTTTCACTCTATTTTTCTTTCACAACTAGGTCAAAGCAGAGTTTTGATTTTTTTTCCTTTTGTACTTTTTTTCTCCATCCTTGTTGCTGGTTGACCAGCGAAGCTTCTCCCCACACCTGCATTTCACCCAGTCCTCGGATGGATCTTGCTGTCTCAGGCCTCTGACCCTGCTAGTCCATTCGTACCTGGTTACCAGGCTGGAATGTGTCCATACCTACAAAATCCAGTCCAATCCCTGTCTGTTGGCTTTTGAAATTCTTTAGGTAAATAGCCTTCCGCTGTGGGGCATTGGGATGATTTTCCTGACCGGGTCGTTATCACAGCGGAAGGATTCCAGCACTTCATGAGTACAAAGTTGAGTTCAAAGAAGATCTTTTTCTTCTTGATAAAAGACTCTTGTGTCCCAGGAGCAAGGCGGGCTGCACTCATTCAGTGCATTTACCTCTAGAGACATGAGGAACGACAGGCACGGTGAAAGGCTGACTCAAGGGAACTTGTCATTTGCAGTGTGGGCTGTTTCTCCCTGTCTCTTTTCTGTCAAGAAATCAGCTATGTCATGCTGTATCAAACAAAACCCTACGACACCTCTAGGCGGTTTAACCCAAAGAAGATGTACTTCTCACCCACGCTGTGTGCTCAGCTCTGGTCAGCAGGATGGGCCCCTCTTAGGAGGGTCACTCAGGGACTCAAGCCGATGGAGGCTGTATCCTGGCCCCTGCTCCCGTGGTCACAGTGGAGACACGTGCGGCCCTTGAAGTTGTCACCTGAAAGTGACATGTGGCCCTTCTGCACAGTTCAGGGATGCAGCAAGTCTCAGGACCACTACTGACTTAATACTTTTTATTTTATTAACTTGATTTTTTTAGAGACTGGGTCTTGCTCTGTTGCCCAGACTAGAGTGCAGTAAGCAATCACAGCTCACTGCAGCCTCTGCCCCCTGAGCTCATGATTCTCCTGCCTCAGCCTCATGAATAGCTGGAATTATAGGCATGCGCCACCATGCCAGCTAATTTTTTAATTTTTTTGTAGAGATAGGGTCTTGCTGTGTTGGCCAGGCTGGTCTTGAACTCCTGGGCTCAAGTGATCCTCCTGCCTCATCCTCCCAAAGTGCTGGAATCAGAGGCGTGAGCCACTGCACCTGGTTATACCCCTCGCTTTAAAGTGTGGGCCTGGAAGGAATGTTTGTGTGCAGCCTGGATGGCAGCCACAGTGGGCGTCCCGAGGGCACAGTCCACCCCATACCATGCAGCCCCTCCTGGGTAATTGTCTGAAAGTGATGACTCCACCCACCCAGCAGCACACACAGTGGCTCCAGATGCAGCAAGGGGCAGAGAAGAGACACTGGGCTTGGGAGAGTGCAGGTGGAGGGCCTTGTGTCCCCAGGGCATGGCAGGGGAGGCTGGCGTCACCGATGGGTCAAGAGGACATTATGGAAGGTGGTTGGAGCTCAAGCCTCTCGCCAGTAACCCTATTAGCAGATAAATTGATGAGTAAATGAGGGATAGCAGCGGTGGAGGCAGCAGAGTGCACTGCCCAGCTGGAGGACGGGAGAGGAGCTTGAGCCTGAAGCAGTCGCCCACCCAGGGAGACACGGAAGAAAGTGACTGGGCCGGGCGCAGTGGCTCACGCCTGTAATCCCAGCAGTTTGGGGGGGCCAAGGCGGGCAGATGACCTGAGGTCAGGAGTTCAAGACCAGCCTGGCCAACATGGCAAAACCCCATCTCTACTAAAAAAAAAAAAAATACAAAAATTACCCGGGTGGCCTGTGCCTGTAATCCCAGCTACTTGGGAGGCCGAGACGGGAGAATAGCTTGAACCGGGGAGGTGGAGGTTGCAGTGAGCTGAGATCATGCCACTGTACTCCAGCCTGGGTGACAGAGTGAGACTCCATCTCAGGGAAAAAAAAAAAAAAAAGACTGCCCATCTGTGTTAAAGGAACGAAGTGAGCAAATAGGGAACAGTTGTTAAAGATCAATAGCAAACAACCAGTTATCCAGGGGCCATCCCTTAAGGAAAAAGAGCTCTCTCGCCTGCTCTCTACCTCAGCAACAGAAGAAATACTTGCCAGATAGTGGGAGGGTGATGAGACAGCAGGATCCTCTTACCCATCCGGACCTTCAAATGGCTAATCTGTAAGTGTCAGCTCAGATGGTGGAACAGGTGCCACAGACTGGGTGGCTCAAACAACAGACATTTATTTCTCATGGTCTGAAGGCTGCAAGTCCCAGATCAAGGTGCCTGCAGATTCAGTTTCTGGTGAGGGCTCTGTCCCTGTCTTGCAGATGGACACCTTCTTGCTGTGCCCTTGCATGGTGGATAAAGGAAGCTCTGATGTTTCTTTCCCTTCTTATAAGGGAACTAGTCCCATCCCGGGGGCCCCCACCGTTGTGACCTCATCTAAGCCTCATCACCTCCTAAGTGCTTCACCTCCTGAATCCGTCATACTTGGGGCGAGGGCTTCAACATAGGAATTCTGGGGGCGGGGGAGGGCACAAGCATTGAGTCGGTAACACAATCTAATATTGGTTAGAAGCTGATAGCTTAAAATATGGTTGAACAGGACTGAGTCTTCCTAGCCATAATAAACATTTTTCAAAACTCAAAAAGTACCTGAAAAATTATGGAGTTGCCTGAAATGTTGATGATGGAGCCTGCTATGTAGTAGAAAGAGATTTGATGGAATAAAGTTGAGAGCCGTTACTGGAAGAAGATTAAAACTGCTTCAAAACTTTACCTTATGAACTGAAATTTTGTAATCCAGCTGGTTTCTTGTATGCTTTGGTGGGCTTCCTGGGTTCGAATTCTTGCGCAGCCCTCCATAGCTGTGTGACCTTGGACACCGCGCTCTGTGCCTCAGCTGTCTCACCTGTAAACTGGCCCACGGTAGAGTGTCTGTCCCTCACAGGGCTGTCATAGGATGGGATGACTTCACCGATGAGAAGCACTTTCCTACATCAACGCCTGGCTCATGCTAAGGCCTCTATTCATGTTAGTTATTTTAACGGGAATGAGATTAAATCAGGCCCCCAATTTAAAACCAATAATAAGAGACACCATATTATGTTTTAACAAATATCTGGGCACTCTGCTTTATACCTTATATTAAGCCCTATAAGATAGGTATTGTTCCCATTTTACATATTAACAAACTGAGGTTTGGAGAAGTTAAATGTGACATAGCTAGCAAGTGATAGAGCCGCAAATTTGTTCTCACTTCCACCTCTACCTCCTTCCTCTCCACGATTCTTCCTACAGCTGAATTCTAAACACACTGACCTGCCTCTGTGTTCCTGACCAGCCTGCTTTTGCTTCCCTGGGCCCTTGCACAGAAGGAGCATCATGGCTGAAAGGCCAATGTGCATAAAAGAGTTTGCATCACAGGCCTGAGCCCGCTCTCCTTACAAAGGCTGCTGGCAAGGCTGGCCCTTGGCTGGTCCACGGAAATGTGGATTTTAGGAGGACTCCCACCATTCCCTAACTGATGAAAGGGGCGTACTGCGCCTAAACTCTTTGTATAAAAAATATGGCTTATGCAGGACACCTGCTTTTCTTCTAGGAGTCTGGAATTTCAGCATATGCTGGGGAGAAATGTCCACATGACCAGCCCCCAAAAACAACTGTGTTAGGCCATTCTTCCATTGCTATAAAGAAATAGTCGAGACTAGGTAATTTATAAAGAAAAGAGGTTTATTTGGCTCACAGTTCTGCAGGTTGTACAGGAAGCATGGCAGTTTCTGCTTCTGGGGAGGCCTCAGGAAGCTTCCAATCATGGTAGAAGGAAAAGGAGGAGTAGGCACATCACATGGTGAAAGCAAGAACAAGAAAGAGATGTGCGAGGTGCCACATACTTTTAAACAACCAGATCTCACGATGACTCACTCACTACCTCGAGGACAGTTCTAAGTGGATGGTACTAAACCATTCATGAGAAATCTGCCCCATGATCCACTTCTCACCAGGTCCCATCCCCAACATTGGGGGTGACAAATGAACATGAGATCCAAGTGGGAACGCAGAGCCAAACCATGTCAGTGTGAATCTCTGTCTCCTGAAAATCATATCTTGAATTACAATAATCCCCAAATGTCAAGGGCAAGACCAGGTGGAGATAATTGAATCATGGGGGTGATTTTCCCCATGCTCGTCATGGTGAGTTCTCACAAGATCTGATGGTTTTATAAGGGACTTCCCCCTTCGCTCGGCACTCATTCTGTCTCCTGCCGCCCTGTGAGAAGGTGCCTTCCGCCACGCTTGTAGGTTTCCTGAGGCTTGGCAGCCGTGTGGAACTGTGAGTCAATTAAACCTCATTATAAGTTATCCAGTCTCGGGTATTTCTTCATAGCAGCTTGAGAATGGACTGATACACAAACCATATCAACAACTCCGGATGCTGAGCCTCTGACAAGCTTCCATGGTAGGGGACACTGTAGGTGTTGTCAGAGCTCAGTGCTGAAGAAGTTAAGTGCGTCCTGTGTGACTCCCTGGGGAGGGACCCTTGGGAGCTTGAGCCTGGCTTGCCCTGACTTCCACCTGTGTTACCCTGGTCCTTTGCTGGTTTTGTGGTCTGACCTTCTGTTGTAATAAGTCCCAGCTGTTTGTGCAACCATATGCTGAGTCCTGTGAGTCCTCCAGTGAGACAGCCAACCTGAGGGTGGTCTTCAGGACCCCGGCAGGTCTCTCAGCTCCTCTAGCCACTCAGCCCTTCTCCCCTCCAGCCCTGCTCAGTGCCCCATCCTCAGAGACGGTGCCCCTGGTCACCCTCTCCATGGCTGACTCTTCCACTCCTGTCCTCTTTCCCGTCTCTTGGTTTTGTTTTTGTCTTTGATCCTCCAGCGTGTGTCTCAGATTGTCTCTCTGATGTATTTATTTCCTGTCACCCCCCAGTGAATTTGCTCCATGAGTACAAAGATCACGTCTGTCTTTTGCACTATTATATCCTCAGCACCTAGCATGGTGCCCAGCATACAGCAGGAGATCAAAAAATATTTCTTCAACAAAGGAAACCTGTGGTCTTGGCCACTTAAGAGCAGCACTCCTGC
Organism: Homo sapiens; assembly: GCF_000001405.40. Taxonomy (NCBI): domain Eukaryota; kingdom Metazoa; phylum Chordata; class Mammalia; order Primates; family Hominidae; genus Homo; species Homo sapiens. Next base: position 129,821,886 of record NC_000012.12, on the reverse strand, counting down.
TCCCCACTTCGAAAGACCAGCAGGCTTCATGACTCCCTAAATCCCAGGGGTGGTCCAGTGACCAGTATCACATCTCCTGGAAGTTGGCAAGAAATGCAAGTTCTTGCCCTTTTCCCCCAGCCCACAGACGGGCAGAGTCACAGGCTGCATTTTAAGAAGATCCCAGGTGATGCACCTGTGTGTTGAAGGGTGAGTGGCACTGTCCAAAATGGGCTCTGTGAGTTCCGCTGCACGTTTTGATTGGCACTTTTGCCTCTGCCAGAAATACTGTTCCAGTGTTTCCATATTTCTTCAGATCGAATGGGTTTTTGAGGCCTGCCTGTAGTCCAGCTTTCCCTGTGGGAAATCCTTACGTGGCTTCCTTTCCAGGCAACCGATGTGCAGACCCTGAAATTATGGGCTGGCAGACTGACTTCTGGTGCCTTCAAAGTAGTTCCATTGGCCTGTTTTCTGAGGACGAAGATTCCATCTGACAGCTTTGCCACCTGTTAAAATTCAAACCCCCCAGAAGGCCAACCTTTTGGAGTCCTTTAGTCATTCTCCAGCTGTGGGGAGCATCTGACGTGCGTTTCAGAGGACACCAACACCGTGGAATTCTCCAGGAAATTAAGTTCTCTGTGCCCAAAGATGCTTGACAAATGCGAACACACAATACACACCATTGTGTCAAATAATCTAAGTCCTGCGGTGAGAGAATCTGTCTTAATTTCTCGAACCCCCTATTTCTTAAGCATTTTTGATCATGGAATGTTTTCACTCTGGAATATAGAAAATCAGAATTGGAATCAGAGAATGTTGCTTTAAAATGGCTAATTTCAGATCCATTGTTAAAATGGGTTTATATAGGAGAAAGGAGGAGGGAGAAGAAAATGAAGAGAGGTGGTTGAGAAGCAGGCCAGAGAGGCTGACATATAATCTTTGCTACTTGTCAGATTCATCAGCACTTGGTTTGAGCCTTTCTTGCATCCCTTTGGAATTTTTAATTAAAATCTGGGGGCAGCCAGGCGTGTTGGTGCACACTTGCAGTCCCAGCTACGTGGGAGGCCAAGGCAGGAGGATGGCTTGAGCCCACGAGTTTGAGGCCAGCCTGGGCAACATAGCAAAATCCTATCTCCAAAAACAAATAATAAAATAAAATTTGAGGAACAGTTTGTTCAATTTTGCCTTTTCCTCTAGCTTTTGCATGCATATAAATCATTTCTTTACACCTGAAATATGAGCTCCTTCATGATGGAACCGTTCATCCCATATATTTTCAGCTGATGCTTCCAAAAGGCTGCTGAAAGTTTTGGGCATGAAAACATAAGTAAATATATTTTGAATTAAATGAGTTTCTGGTATACCTCTGATTAGGAACACTCCACTCAAATAACCTTGTGTCTGCATCTGTGCTTGAGATATTTATAATGTATGGTTAACTGCTCCAGAGGGGATGCGCACGCTGAGTGTGCATCAGAAGACCTGGGCTTGTGCCGTAGCTCTGCCAGACTCGAATAACCACGTAGATTCTCTGAGTCTCTGTTACTTTACCTGCAAAAGAGCACTGATGGCCCCCATTGTCACACAGGGTTGTTGGGACGTGCAAATGGAATAATGGGTGGAGAGGGGCCTTGCAAAGACATTGAGTGGGTTAAGAGCACCATCTTTGCAACAACTGGCCCCTAAATTCCTAAGGGAGGCAAGATGGTCTTTCAAAAGAACTCCTGAAAAGGATTCAGGCTGCTTGAGGGACTTGGTCTCTGCTATGGCCAAGGTTGCAGAGATGGAGAACTTCCATGCGGAAGGTAAGGAGCTTGCTTTAGCTTCAGACAAAAAAGAGTGCCAGGTGAGAGGAACCAGGGGAGGAGGAGGTGCTGAGCTTTTCATGGAGGAAGGGCTGAGAGAAACCTCAGCTGCCATGAACAAACGTCTTGAGAGCAGTCATGTCCACGGTGCACGTGCGGTCTTGGAATTCTGTCCCCTGCTCCAGCCTCAGCTCCAGGACACTGCGTCTCCCACTCATGAGCACTTTGGGTAGCAGCAGCACTTTTCTTTCTGGTTGAATCCGGTGAAAGACCTGCCTAGAATAGGAGGAAAACATGTTTAAATAATATTGATGATTATGTTAATAATAGTAGCAGGCCATAGTGCTGGTACTAGGAATAATAACACGAACAGCAGTACCAGCAGCAACTAACACTTAGCACTAACTACGTGCCAGGCACTGCAGAGCATGCCACACATACCGTTAGCGATGAGGGCTAATTTCATCCCCGTTTCATAAGAGGAGGAAATGATGCATGAAGAGGCAAAAGTGTGACTCAAGGTCAGGGTCCGCAGACTCCAGAGTCTGCACAGCAAATAGAGTCTACACAAGCAAGTTTTGTGCTGAATGCCGCAGGAAGAACCTGGGGCGTGTGGAGTTGTACCTCCATCCCTGGTGGAACTGGGGGCTTGCTTGCACGGAGATCTGAAGAGATAGCGACTCCCCGACCTAGCAGCTAAAGTAAATCGTATATGGTATTACGATATTTTAGTATATCTTATTTATTCAATTATTATAAATATCACAATTGATGGGGAAACCAGATGCCAATTCTCCTTTGTAGCTCCTTTTGATCCTCTCATGAATCCATTCATCAAATGCCATGATCAAAGTGCAGTGCTTGGCACTGTGGGGTAGGTAGAAGGGATGAACAAATTTCACTATCTTTATGGAATTTCCACTCTAAGCGCGTGTTCTCATGTGGGGCAGCATGAACCTATGTTTTCGTTCCTTTTCTAGGCTGTCTCCCGCAAGACAGCAGTTGTGTGCATTTAGCAGAGGAGGAAAAGAGAGATGGGACATTTTTTTTTCTTGTCTTTTTTTTTTCGAGACAGAGTCTCACTCTGTCACCCAGTCTGGAGTACAGTGGTGCAATCCTAGCTCACTGCAGCCTCGACCTCCTGGGTTCAAGCAATCCTCCCACCTCAGCCTCCTGAGTAGCTGGGGCTACAGGTGCAGGCCACCACGCCCAGCTAGTTTTTGTATGTTTTGTAGAGACAGGGTCTCGCTATGTTGCCCAGGCTGATCTCCAACTCCTGGGCTCAAGTGATCCATCCACCTTGGCCTTCCAAAGTGCTGGGATTACAGGTGTGAGCTACCACCCCCGGCACGTTCTACTTTAAGTGGCACTAATTCAGCCACAGTCTGTGTGTGCAGGTGCATACACCCACTGATACGGCCGTTAAATGAAAGGCAACTTGCTGTCTTGAAAGAAAGTATTTACATAAACACACCCCCTACACCACACACACACATATACACACACACAAACACACTCCACACACATACACATACACACATACACCTCACCACACACATATATGCACCCAAACCACATACACACAGATGCGCACATACACACATACACACACCACACACACACCCAAAACCACATACACACAGATACACACATAGACACACACCCCCCCACCACACACATACACACTTAAAACCCCACACACACCCCCGACATCACACACACCTCACACACATACACACACATACACCACACACACCCCAAAGCAGATACACATAGATACACAGACATAGACACACACACATCACACACACCCCACACCGCACACACACATATACACACATACACCTCACACTACACAGACACACCCCAAACCACATACACACAGATACACACTCATAGGCACACACAGCCCCCACACCACACACACATACACACACACATACACCTTATACCACACACACACATGCACAACCCAAACCACATACAGATACACATACATAGAAACGCACACACCCCACACCACACACACCTGACATACACACACATACATCTCACACCACACACACACCCCACACCACATAGAGATGCACATAGACACACACACTTACACCACACACACACCACACACACATATACACACATACACCTCACACCACACACACACACTCCAAACCACATATACACAGCTACACACACATAGGCACACACAAACCCCCACACCACACACACACACATACACCTCACACCACATACACACACACCCCAAACCACATACACACAGATACACACACAGACCCCCCCACACACCCCCAAACCACAGACACACAGATACACACAGACACACATACCCCACACCACACACACACCTTACACCACACACACCCCAAGGCACATACACACAGATACACACACATACACACCCCCCACACATACCCCCCACACACCCCATATTACAGACACACCCCACATTACACAGAGGCACACCCCATACTACACACACACACACACACCATCTTATCTTTATGATGTGATTCTTTCCATTCTCCCAGCTTGCTAAAATGTGGCTTTGGGTTCTCAGACTGAAAATGGAAGGAGTGAGACCTGAGGTTTTACCAACAGATCCTGGAGAAGTGGGGAGAGAGAGCGAGCGGTTGGTGCCCCAGAGTCAGACTTTATTTCTCCATGCTCTCCATTGCAGAAACTAAGTGTGTGAACTTCTTGTTACGGCGTCTGGTTCTGTGTGTTCACGGTGAAGGCTGACTAGCAGAACTCTGTGGACCTGGTCAAATGCTCAGTTCCTTGGTCCTTGCAGAAAGACATCATCTGCACAGCTACGGAAAAGCCCACTGTGTCTGACGCTGAGCAGGCCTTCAACAAATACACACTAAGTGCATGAATGCTTGCATATATTAAGGTGCAGTGGGGATTGGACTGCCAGGAACTTTGACTGCAGCCATTGCATATTGCTCATTAACTTATCATTGCTCCGATTTCATGCATTATACCAGCTTTCACCATTCTTTTGCAGTCGTAAACAATTTTTCATAGAACCCATTTCTATTCTTATAAATGCCAGCTAGTTATTAAACTGACTCCTGTCTAATTAGCCAAGTGCTATTCTTGATAAAATTAGATGACTATAATAAGAGCTGACTCATTATTTGAATAGGAAAATATGGTATCTATTTATGTTCCTGTTTGTGATTAAATTCCAGAATTCTTGTCTTTGATGAAACTATCTCGGTATTTTAGAAATATTCATTCACGCATGAGAACATCATCTGCGTTCGTTTTAGCAAATGCTGTAATCAAAGTCCTCATATCAGTGAAGAAACATAAGCTATGGAATAAATGGTGTCAGGGTGAATTCACAATAAGTCCGTGACACACGTCTTAGAAATGAACCTTTTCCCCAAGACTCGGGAAGACTTGTGATTACAAAATAGATCTTTCTTCCATTTCATCTCGTAATTATGGTTTTCATCATTTGTGTCTCTCTTGTATATGCTCAAAGATGGAAATTGCTGCTGTTTTATTTTGACTTTTCTGTCTCTGTGTGTTTTATTTTACTCCTGTTTTCCTGTTATGAATACTTAGTCTTTCTGTGGTATAAGCTGGATAGGCAGTTGTGCAGGCCTTTTGCAATAAATAGGCCCAGAGTTTTTCAGAAGCGGGGCGATGGTGATCTCGCATACGGAGGAAGTCACCCAGCTGTTCTGTCCAAAGTGGATCTCATACTCCTCCCGGTTCCACTTCACCAGAATTTATTGTGTATAAATGACAGCTCTTTTAACACATTGTAATAAATGATAATCAGAAGATGTTGAAGTTTTTATACAAATATTTTATACAAATATTTGCATTCTGACTGACATCATTTTCTACATTCTCAAAAAAGATGAACACGGCCCCTAGCAAATATATTTTTGAAGTGTTGAACTGGAACTAGGAAAATTTTTTTTACACCCCGACTCTACTTGCCTGCATGGCAGGTTTATTGTTTGGATTAAATGACAGGCAAGTGCACACCATGAGCGGAACAGCTGTCCTGCAGGTGAACTGGGTCACCAGCGTGTTCCACACAACATGGGCAAGGAAGGGAGGAAAAACAAAACACAACCACAGGCCGTCAGTCATCTGGCTTGCAGTTGCCAATTAAAGGTTTCCCGGGCTATCTGGATTCAGATGAAGAACTAAGCCTTCCTTCACTTACATTGAATTCATACGAGTATTCAGTCGTGACATTTGTCCATATTTCCAAAGGAAAATAGCTTCCATTTCTAGTTATTAAAAAATACAAAGTAATTGTAGAAAATTCCAACAATGTAGACAAGCCGAAAGCAGAAAATAAATAATACTTGAAATCTCATCACTTGGAGAAAATAAAACTAATTTTTGTAACCGGGGGAGCATTCAGACAGCAACACAGATCCCCCGCACACATAAACACATCCTGTAATAAAGAAAAATTAAGTCCTTGACATCTGTTGCACGTGCATCTAATTGAAAAGATGTGCTTGCAATGGTCTGATTTAAAATATCGGCTAGATGGTGTTCTAGAAATGCAGTCGGGCCCCTGCAGGGTGGGGGTGGCTCCTGGAACGGTGAGACAGTCACCCCCCCAGAATAGCTGTAGGCTTGGGTTCGGTTGTGATTTCTGCACACGTGCAATTCTAGCTACATTCTACATTCTATTCTATGTACCACTGTGAGAAGTGGCAGGGAATTACTTATTTATTATGTTGCTTAATGAGTCTCTCAAGCGATGCCTGGAAGAGTCACATGTACACTATTTTGAAACCTGCTATTTTCACTCAACAATGCATTCTGGATTTTTTTCTGTGGATTTTTTTTTGTGGTAGAACTAAGAGCTAAATTACTCTCTTAATAGCTGCGTATGAATCCATCACATGTATATACTAACCTTGACTTAACAAATGCCCGTAGGCTAATTACTTAGCGCAATTAAAATCCTTGAATACATCTTAAAATATTGTTACGACAAATATTCATTAAGCATCTAATACGTTCCAGGAAAAGGCTCCAATCTCAGGGAGCTCTTAAGCTCATGAGGGAGATTGACCACAGATTTACAAACAGATAAAAAAGTAATTACAAATGGAAGGGAATGAGGATATAATTTGATGGAGAATGTGGCATGTGGGGGCTTATGCTAGGTTTGTCTGGAACAGCCCCTGTGAAGGCAACGTTTAAGCTGAATCATGAAGGATAAGAAGGTAGCAATTAAATGGATAGCAGGAGAAAGGCATCTTAGATGTTGAGAACTGGGCAACAGTCCTGGGAGGAGGAAAAGCTCAGTGGGTTAGAGGACCTAAAAGGAGCTCAGAGTGGTTAGAGCTCAGTTAGTAGAGCGGTTGACAGCTCAAAGGAAGGCTTGGAAGAAGCCTAGCTGAGTTCAATACAAACTCATAGGACCCCTACATCAGGAACTTCAGATGTTTTTTATTTAGTTTTTTTTTTTTTTTTTTTTGAGAGGGAGTTTCGCTCTTGTTGCCCAGGCTGGAGTGCAGTGGCGTGATCTCGGCTCACTGCAACCTCTGTCTCCCGGGTTCAAGCGATTCTCCTGCCTCAGCCTCCCAAGTAGCTGGGATTACAGGTGCTCACCACCAAGCCCAGGTAAATTTTTTGTATTTTTAGTAGAGACAGGGTTTCTACATGTTGGTCAGGCTGGTCTCAAACTCCCACCTCGGATGACCTGCCTGCCTTGGCCTCCCAAAGTTTTGGGATGACAGGCGTGAGCCACCGCACCTGGCGTTAGTTTTTAAAAAATTGAGGTGAAATATGCCTATATAACTTACTGTCTTTACTATTTTTAAGTGTACAGTTCAGTGGTGATACCAGTTTCATTCTTTTTTCTCCTCAGTTTCTCACCCCTTCCTGGCCTCTGGTAACTGCCAATCCAACCTACTCTCTAGCTCCGTGACATCCACTCTTTTAGCTCCCACATATGAGCGAGAACATGCAGTGTTTGTATGTCTGTGGTTGGCTTATTTCACTTAACATAGGGACCAGTTCCGTCCATGTTGCTGCAAATGATGGAATTCCATCATTCCATCAGACCTCAGTGAGGTCTAAACATTTTCTTTAAAAGATATGACAAATTTCTTGTTAAATCTGTTCATTGGTATTGTATTTTTATTGAATATTAAAATGGAATCTTTCTGTCTTTGCATTTATAACTGGTTATGGTTTTAGATAAACACGTTCTTGCTTTTATTTTAGTTGTGTTGACGCCCTTGTTGAATGATCTTATTTTCCATAACTTTCCTGTTACTTTGAATTTTCTAGGCACGCAATACCATCAGTGCCCAATATCAATGAATTTATTTCCTCTTGACAAATACCTATGTCTTGTATTTTGCTTGGGGCTTAATTTTTAGTTAGGAATAATTTTGATTTTCCTCAACTCGATTTTTTGGACATTGCCCAATGTCTGAAATAGTCCTGAAAATATATATATATATATATATCACATTTTCTGTATCCGTCCATCCTTCACTGGGCACTTAAGTTGATTCCATATTTCGCCTATTGTGAGTTGGCTGCAGTGAATGTGGGAGGGCAGATTTACCAGAGTGGCTGGACTGACTACTTTACGTTCCCACCAACAGTGTATCTTTCTTCACATCCTCACTGGCATCCATTACTGCCTGCCTTCTATTTTATTTGCAGGAATACATTAGATTTTATTCACAGGAAAATGGGAAGCCAATGAAGGGTGTTAAGCAGGGAAATTGGATGGTCTTATTTATGTTTGTTTCAAGTTCTCACTGACAGTTGTGAAGTGTGTGTTTGGCAGAGGTCGGGAGTATGTGAGGAAACCAGTGACGCATTTTAGCAACGTCCACCAACAAGATGAGGACAGCGTGGACTAGAGTGACCACTGTGGATTTAGACACAGTTGGACAGATTCCAGAGATATTTAGCAGGTGAAATTAATAAGATTTACAGATGGATTGAATGAAAAAGTGGGAGAAAGGAGGAAATCAAGAATGACTCAACTATTTCTGCTTTGAGCAGACGTTGCTGTGATGGTGTTCTGCGCCGAGACGGAAAGAAGTGGAAGGCGCAGGAGTCGGGATAAATGCATAAGATTTGTTGTGGTCATTTCAGAAACTTCTGTGACATGCAAATGGGTATGTCTACTAGGCACTGAATTTACAAATCTGGGGTTTAGCAGAATTGTCAGGCTTAGGGACACACATTTGAGAGGTGACAACTTGTAGATGGTTTTAAGAGTGAAAGAATGGAAGAACTCTTAGGGAGACAGTATGGAGAGGTTAAGGGGGGCCACATCTTGGTTGGATCACACAAACGGCCCAGGAAAAGAGATTGGGAAGCAGTGATCTGTGGAGTAAAAGAAAAGCCAAGAATTTGTGGCATTATAGATTTCAAGAGAGAGGCACGTATCAATACAACGAAAAGAAGCAATGGTGTCAAATGCTGTTGAGCGGTCAAGAGAAGATAGACACTGTCCGTTTGACTGGGAGACACAGGTGAATACTTTCAATGATGTGGTGGAGACAGAGCCAGATTGGAAAGTTTTGAAGACTAACGAGGAAATGGAGACAGCTTCTGGAGACGATTCTTAGAGAAGTTTGCCAAAGATGATGGAACAATGGCAGAGTATTAAAGGGAAAATGAGTTTTTAAAGGTTGCATAACACTAGAAGATGATTGTGTTGGGTTTTTAGATGTCCACGAGATAACCCATCCTGGCAAATTTAAGCAAATGAACGGTTTCAAACATGATGTTACACGTGGTGTCAGTGATAGCAGAGTCTTCTTTGGTGAAAACACCACTGTCAGAGACACACAGAGAGAGGTCGGTTAAGGGGGAAGAGAAAGAGATAAATAGAAGAGGGAGAAAGGTTGGGACTGGAGCTGATGGTGATGACACGTTATGGGAATGTGCGCATTTGGGTTGTAGGATTGTGTAATGGTGCATTCTCAGAATGTAACTGTGAAAGTGAAGGTGTCTTAGTTTTCTATTGTTGTGTAACAAATCACCACCAAGGTAGCAGCTTGGAACAGCTGGTGCTTATTAACTCCAGTTCTGTAGGGCAGACGTCCAGGTGGGCTCAGCTGGGTCTCTGCTCAGCATCTCACGAGGTTGAAATATATGTGTCAGGTGGGTGGGCTCTGAGCTGTGGGCTCTGGAGGAGAGCTGGCTTCCAGGCTCACTGAAGCTGCGGAAGAATCCCGTGTCTTGGAGTTGGGGGACTGAGGTCCCAGTGCTCTGGCTGGCCATCAGCTGGGGTGGCTTTCTGCTCCTAAAAGTCACCCACATTCCTTCTCCTGGGGTCCCCTCCATCTTCAAATCCAGCATGCTGAGCCCTGCTCCCCGTATCTGTCTGGCGTCTTCTCCTGGCTCATGTGACAGCATCGGGTCCACAGGATAAACCTGGAGGATCGCCCTATTTTAAGTTCAGCTCTTCGGTAACTTTCTTCATATTTGCGAAGTCCATCTTGCCAGGTAAGGTCGCACACTCACAGAGGTGGCATCTTTGTACGCACAGGCCCTGGGATTTGGTCAGGAGCCTTCTTGGAGTCCCAATTCTGCATCCCCAAATGATAAAGATGGGGTGAAGGAACTGAGAGCCATGAGTTGGAGAGTCCTCTTGCTTGAGGTCCCTGAGAATGTGGTCCCGGAGTATCCGGATCACTGGAAGCCAGGACTTCAAGCATTGGGTAGTGAGGGATGGAGGGAGGGGCTGGAGGCAGAAGCAGGATGAAGTCTGCTGGGTGTGAGCCTCCAAGGAGGTAGAACAAGGAGGGAGGCAGGACCGAGCCCACCCCACCCCATCCCTGACACTCACTAAGTGTTGGGCATACAGATTGCCTTAGGAGAGAATTGATATCTTTATAATATTGTACATTTTTACATAAATCCAGGTCATTTTCCCCAAACATTTTATGTTCTTCGGTGAGTTCTAAACATTGTCTTAAAAAGATATGACAAATTTCTTGTTAAATCCGTTCATTGATATTGTATTTTTATTGAATATTAAAATGGAATCTTTCTGTCCTTACATTTATAACTGGTTATGGTTTTAGATAAACACGTTCTTGCTTTTATTTTAGTTGTGTTGACGCCCTTGTTGAATGATCTTATTTTCCATAACTTTCCTGTTACTTTGAATGTTCTAGACACGCAATACCATCAGTGCCCAATATCAATGAATTTATTTCCTCTTGACAAATACCTATGTCTTGTATTTTGCTTGGGGCTTAATTTTTAGTTAGGAATAATTTTGATTTTCCTCAACTCGATTTTTTGGACATTGTTCAAGATTATGTTTTTTCTTCAACCTATTAACGCGTTGAAAGATAAATTAATACTTGTTTGAATGTTTTGTTATTCCTGGAATGATACCACTCAGTCAAGATACTGCTGAAACTTACTTAGATTTTTTTAACTTTTATTTCTTTTGCACATCTTTGCACTGGTATTTTGGGGGCCGCTCTACTTTCTGTATGGTAAGGCACAGGTTAAAGAGTGTGGGGGGGTGTGTGTGTGTGTGTGTGTGTATGTATATATTTTTCTTGAATATGTGAATTAATTTATATGCAGGACCACCAGGGCCTCATTTCCCATCCTCATTACCTTTTTTTGGTAAATGTTACACACACATACTACCAAAAACAATGTAGCCGTCCCTCATTTACTGACCATCCAAAATGAATAAATGTTAACATTTTGTGATTTT